>NC_000001.11:173487617-173790647 GCF_000001405.40 Homo sapiens | reverse complement strand
AGGCGTGCACCACCACGCCCAGCTAATTTTTGTATATTTAGTAGAGACAGGGTTTTGCCATTTTGGCCAGGCTGGTCTCAAACTCCTGACCTCAAGTACATCTGCCCACCTTGGCCTCCCAAGGTGCTGGGATTACAGACATCAGCCACCGTGCCTGGCCCAGACTATCATTTTTAAAACAAATTTTTTTATTTCAAAAGCAAAAAAATTACATTTTTGTATGATTCTTCAATATCTGGCTATATTAGAAGGCAATTGAGTTCTTACCTGCTTCTGCATTCAATCTTTTGCAATGTTATTTTGGTTGAAGTATGTCAAGAAAATATGGCTTACACAAATATGAAATTGGAAGGGGGAGGAGGATTTTAATAGCTTTTCTGATAATTATGGATATTCTTCTTGATATTACATCAAAACTTGACAAGTGACTGCTGAAATCTAAAACCATATCAATAGACCTTTCATATTGTTCCCATTAGATCTGTTGGTCTATCTTCTGCTTTGGATACATCTTAACCTGTGCATTAATCATTTAGAAAAACTGATTCCATGAATTATGCAGATCTTCCACATGTTGACACACTTCACTATACAATTAAAAAGGCATTCATCAATGTCATCAGCAATTTCATCATAAAAGTTTTTAAGTAGCTGTCAAGTTCATAGTCGACACAGCTTTCTCAAAATTGTAATTTTTCTCTTGAATATGGTTGACAATAAGTACTGTCGGTTGTGTTCCTTGAAATGGTAGCCTCATTTTGTTCATTTGAGAGAAAATGTCTGCTCAACACCCCAGTCTGAATGACCTTAATTTCTGTGTCCATCATTCTTTCAAAAAGTAGGTAGTTCAGCTTGCATCTTAAAACAATCTCAGAAGATTTTCTTGGGATGACCACTGTATTTTGGTTTGCAGCAGTGTTTTATGTATACTTCCCATTTTGTCATAAAATATTGAAAAAGACATATGTCCACAGGTTGAGATTTAGTAAACTAATAATTTTTGTTGCTTCATCAAGGGCATGCTTAAGCAAATTTACAAAACTCCAGGCCAGGCACGGTGGCTCATGCCTGTAATCCCAGCACTTTGGGAGGCCAAGGTGGGCGTATCACTTGAGGTTAGGAGTTCCAGACAAGCCTGGCCAGCATGGCAAAACCTCGTCTCTATGAAAAATAAAAAAATTAGCCGGGGGTGCTAGTGGGCGCCTGTATTCCCAGCTACTTGGGAGGCTGAGGTTGGAGAATCGCCTGAACCCAGGAGGTGGAGGCTGCAGTGAGCAGAGATCTCACCACTGCACTCCAGCCTGGGTGACAGAGCGAGACTCTGTCTCAAAAACAAAAACATGTAAAAACAACAACAACAACAAAAAGTCCTGCAAGTCTATGGTGGTGAATACTATGTCTAGTTGTACAATTTGATTTATGCTTTGATTTATGCCTTGATTTATGCTAAGACACCGGCAGTATTACCCACCATAGCTTTTGCACCATTAGCACAAATGCTACTACAGTATAAAAGGCAGAAAACTTAGTTTTACTAAGAAAATAGTTTCAGCCGGGCGCGGTGGCTCACGCCTGTAATCCCAGCACTTTGGGAGGCCAAGGCGGGCAGATCACGAGGTCAGGAGATCGAGACCATCCTGGCTAACACGGTGAAACCCCGTCTCTACTAAAAATAAAAAAAAAAAAATTAGCCGGGCGTGGTGGCAGGCGCTAGTAGTCCCAGCTACTGGGGAGGCTGAGGCAGGAGAATGGCCTGAACCCAGGAGGCGGAGCTTGCAGTGAGCCGAGATCGCGCCACTGCGCTCCAGCCTAGGCGACAGAGGGAGACAATGTCTCAAAGAAAAAAAAAAAATAGTTTCGACTCATGGATACTTAGAAAGATATTGGGGACTTGGCTGGGTGCGGTGCAGTGGCTCACGCCTGTAATCCCAGCACTTGGGAGGCCAAGGCGGGCGGATCACCTGAGGTCTGGAGTTTGAGACCAGCCTGACCAACATGGCGAAACCCCGTCTCTACTAAAAATACAAAAAAATTAGCTGGGCCTGGTGGCACATGCCTGTAATCCCAGCTACTCGGGAGGCTGAGGCAGGAGAATCGCTTGAATCTGGGAGGCGGAGGTTGCGGTGAGCCGAGATCGCACCATTGCACGCAAGCCTGGGCAACAAGAGCGAAACTCCGTCTCAAAAAAAAAAAAAAAAAGAAAAAAGAAAGAAAGAAAGATACTGGAGACCTCAGGGGTCCACAGACCATACTTTGAGAACCACTCATACAGAGGCTTGATGAAAAAGGCTTAAAACTAAGCTTTTTGAAAGCAGGGGCTGTTCCTGTTTAGAAGTCCAAGGGTTCACTGATCTAAATTCACCCTGAAGATATGTGTCCTTTTTTCCTAGGAATTCAGGCTTAAACAGTCTTTCTAGGATAGGGGTATTAGTAGGTTACTGTTATTGGAATAATCCCAAATATTTTATGATAGTTCAGTGAATAACCATCCTTTCTTTTTTACATTTAAAATAATCTAAGTTCCTAACCTTACACAGCTAAATAATTGAAAGATCAATATTAAGGACATGTAAGACAACTTAGTTGAAGAGTTTTGTCATTTCTTGGGACCATTCTTTTCAGTCATTTCCAGCAGGGCCCTCAAAGCAATTTACAGAGCCATTTCTCACAATTGGGCAGACATACTCAGGTTTAGTGGGTCATTTTTGCCTCCTGCTGCTTCTTTCTCTCCTCTTCTGTATTTCTTTCCTTCTTGCATTTTTTTCTTTGCCCATCTGTTTCCTCAGTTAACATAAAGTTTGAAAGGTTCGTCCCCTACTCCGTCACATCTTGTTCAGGAAAGACCCCTTTTACACAGTGGTCAAGAAGTATTATCTGCAGTGTGAATATCTGGAGGTAAAACATGGAACAAAGCTGGGAAGCAATCAAAAACAGGAATGGGGGAATGTGTATAGAGCACAAAGGATTTACAATCAGGGGCTATAGATTTAAGGTTCAGCTCCTACCATGTCATTTTAACTTTTCTAAGCTTCAGTGGACTTATTTATGAAATGAAAATGACTGCCAATCCAACCCCCATTCCAAACTTGAGTTGTGGAAAAAACTATGCACACAAATTAATAAACATTCTATTTTACAGCAACACCTTTAATACAATACATTTCAATCAATAATAAAACTGGAGTGCCTTCAGTGGAGGGGGAAAAACAAACCCCTAACAGGCTCCAATGAAGACTGGCCAGTGCTGTTAATTCCTGGGTCTCTACTCTTGAATCAATGCCCTGTGAATTGCTCCCACTGGGGACTTCCTGACTAATGGAGAGTCTAATCCCTAGTTTTGTTCTTGCTATCAGTGATAATGCTATCATCACTCTCTTTTGCCTCAGATGTATGAAGTAGTAGAGTCTTGGGAAATACATGATTTTGTCTTGAAGACTGATTGTTAATGATGTACTACAGTGAGGATCTCATAAAAGTTTTTATACTTTTTACATGTTAATACCAGACTTAATTAAAATACTTAAGGTCTTTTATTATATTTAGTTTCAGGTAAACCTATAGTGGCAGTGTGGCATAGAAAGAGGAATGGACTGGGAATTGAGGAAGCTGATTTCTAATGTTGGTTCTATCATTAATTGACTATTTATTCTTAGGCAGACTTTGTGGTTTTCAGACTTGGATCAGTGTAATAAGTGGGTTTGGACTAGATGATTGTTAAAGAGTCCTTCCAGCTCAAAATTGTATGAGTCTAAGTCCTACCTAGAAAATAAGTTTATAGGTTAGGTAATATAACATATAAAAATATATAATGAAAATTCCTATTAATTCTAGCTGGCAATCCTTTTATTCAAGTTGAAAGCACTTGTAACTTTACATACAGATAAAATAAATTATATAGAAACAGAAATTCCAAATTAAATAACAAAAGTACAAGGATAAAAAGCATTAGCTAAAATTTTTTTAATGGTAAATACTACCTTTATTTAAAAAAGTTATACATGCTAGAAAAAAGCATAAATGATATATGTAAACAATTGTTTACTCAATACTTTTTTTCCTTGAAAAAGGTGCAAATGATCTTTAAATGTAAACACAAAGTTGCCAAACATTTTTGTAGTTGGGGAAAGGGAGAAGGAGGTTATTCCTTTTAAATGCAGTTAGTCTTATTCAAAGATTTTTCTTGCAAAATATATTGAAAAAAATTTGTCTATGAATACAATGAGGAAAAAAAACTTTAACCATTGAAATTATTTTTTCCTTAAAAATTTTTAACTTTTTACCAGAAAGTGCAATTTGAGAGAAGTAGTAACAATGACCTTATAGAATGAAGATAATGATACATTGTTTGTATAAAAGAACCAAGATATTAATAAAATGCCTCAATTGATTTTACACTCTTTAATGTGTGCTATTACATTAACTGAATAATTCATTCCCTTGGAGGCTGTTATTAAAGGTAAGCCTCAGCTTAACCAGGCCTGAGCATCAAGAATAAATTGCATAACAGAATTCACTGCTGGGAGAAGACATTTCTCCCTGCTGGTCCTTGGTAGCAATAAGGAAACAGGAAGGACAGTTGCTTTAGTCAGTAACATTTTTGAGCAAAAACTGTTGCAGAGCTGCATGTGATTCTCTTGGATTCTCAAGACAGCATATGAGACTTATATATTGTTTTTATAAGAGGCACTGAGCAGAGCTCTAGATCTAGCAGAAACTCTATGAGAATATTATGAAAAAAAGACTAAATAAACAAGTTCATATAGAAAGAAACAAGACATAAAATTACACTGATGAAAACTGTAGTGTCTGAGTCCTGGTTTTTATTGATTTAGTATCCCTTCTGAATTGTACTATTTAAAATGAGATGTTGCCTTTTCTTGTTTTTTTGTTTTTTTTTTTTAAGATTTTCAAGTCTTCTGGTGGTTAGTGCGAGAATAATGGGTAGCTAATACATTTTGCATACCTACCTTTATTCCTGGTAATCCTTGTTAGTGGAATCATGTGGATGGAGTGTCTAGAAATAATAGCCAAATCATATATAGCCCTTCTGCCCTTATTAAATAGTATTTTCAAACCTAAATGAATACCTTACAAACAAAGTAAGTTTTGCTGCTTGGAATTTTTTCTTCTTTTCTTTTTTTGTGGGAGGAAGGATAAGTTCAAAACGAAAACAACAAAAAACCATGATAAATTAAAACCAAAAATAAATATTCTTCTGCACAGAGTTGAAAATTATTGTGCATCTTGCAGGTGAAGTACTTTCATTGGATTGTATTTCCATTTGTTGAGGCACCGGCAAATAATAAAATTTGTTCTAATGTTTTCTCAAGCTGTACAAAGCTCCAAGGTCAAAGCTCCCCAGAATACAGAGGAATATATACAAGACTGTCTTCTCTGTGTTCACCAAATATGGGATTCACAATGTGTCATTTTAATAACTCCTACGCCACCCCCTAGCCGACGGTAATTCATCCCGCCATATAACCTGCAAAGAAAGAAACATAATCATATTTTCTAACTGGAAAATATGTTACAACTAAGATGTTATTAACTACGACTAAGATGTTATTAACACGTTTCTATGTTTTATATTACAACTAATATTTTCAGCTTCACACTAATATTGTCTTCATTCTAAAGATTAGAAGCTGCAATTGAGCACTGTTGAGTAGCAGGACTGTTTCAGAGATTGACTGACATGCTCTCACTCATAGGAGGCTGTGTGAAGAATAAGAGAGCATCATATTCACGTTTGGCATCAGAACTTTACAACTGTATACCTCACTGACTTCTAACGGTTACACAGAATTATATATTCTACATTTTCAAAATTTTGCCCCTGGCTATATTATTGTCCCACCTATGTTTTCCCTTTGCCTAAAATTCTTCAATTATTTATTTTTATCCCTTTGTCTTATATGTACTCTGTAAGCCTCTTCAAGTCCTTTATAGAACAAAACCAGATTTGAGTAAAGTCAGCATCTAGTTTGTGACAAGATCATCTTCAAAATTAAGGACTTTCCATGGAGAAGAATACTAGACCCTTATCAGCTATGAGGTAGAGTTGGTTTTTAAGTCTTGGATATGTAACTGCAAATATTTAGTTATTAATCTTTCAACAGATGATCCTCAATAATTTCATGACTATTACTTTGTCATCTATTACTAATTCTATTTAGTGACAGTTACTAAGAAACAAGTCCTCAGATAAGATTATAGTGATTAAGTGACAGTAAATTTGGCTGTCTTCAGAAATTATGCTTAATCAAAATTCCTAGTAAAAATAGAAAGCTGTATATGGAAGAAAATATCCTGCCAGTGAGAGGCCCAAAGCTGCCATTACCTATCCTTTACCGTATTTAGGTTTTGCTAAAATGCTACCTTTCCAATGAGGCCTTCCCTGAACACCTTTAAAAACAGATTCCCCTCCCTGTACTCCCTAGCCCCCTCCCCTGCTTTGATATTTGCCACAGCACTTCCATCTACTGGTATGGTACTGTTTGTCTCCCTCAATACAATTGGTTAGCTCCAGCAGGGCAAGGAACTTTTTTGTTGTTTTGTTTTGTTTTGAGACGGAGTCTTGCTCTTCCACTCAGGCTAGAGTGCAGTGGTGTGATCTCGGCTCACTGCAACCTCCACCTTCTGGGTTCAAGAGATTCTCATGCCTCAGCCTCCCTAGTAGCTGGGATTACAGGCGTGCGCTTGGCAGGAATTTTTGTTGTTGTTGTTCAGTTTTGTATCCCCAGGGCTCGGAGCACTTAGTAAATCTTTTTTTTTTTTTGAGACGGAGTCTTGCTCTGTCACCCAGGCTGCAGTGCAATGGCCCAATCTCTGCTCACTGCAACCTCTGACCCCAGGTTCAAGTGATTCTCCTGCCTCAGCCTCCCAAGTAGCTGGGATTACAGGTGCCCACCCCAATGCCTGGCTAGTTTTTGTATTTTTAGTAGAGACGAGGTTTCATCATGTTGGCCAGGCTGGTCTCGAACTCCTGACCTCAGGTGATCCGCCCACCTTGGTCTCCCAAAGTGCTGAGATTACAGGCATGAGCCACCGTGCCTGGCCATCAATAAATCTTTACTTAATGAACAGGACTGTAAAAATGTGATGTAGGAGCAAAACGTACACGCTGTTATTAGCCTGACTTTAGTTTTGTGACCACTGAGTCATATGGAGCTGTGAGACATATGTAGGATCCAAAGCATGTCACTTAAATCTCTGTGAGAGTTGTGGCTTTCCTAGAGATAGACTATTAGAATACAGTAAGAAAGGACTACAAGACTGCCTCTTTTAGAATAGTAACAATAAAACAGAGCTCAGCTTATCCTTCATGGTCATAAGAAAAATTTCCCAGAATGTCTGCTGCCTCAGCTCACATGTCCAGCCTGATATTTCTGGTTGATGTGCAACCTTAACCACTGAGATGGTAACCCTAAACTTGCTTAGGCAAGTAAGCCCATTTTATTGAGAAGGAAACCCCAAATTGCTTGGAAGGCAAAACTGTTTTCTTAGAAGACTAGTATTTAGAATTAAGTACAGATATGCCATACATCAAACCCATAGTATTGTTATTTTTAAAGTTTGAGAATAAACTATGTGTTTTGCATTTTAAGTTCCTGTAGTGTTTAAGAGAATTTGGCTTTTTAGGGCATCTATAAGATTACTCTTGTGATTCAAGTATAAAATATGATTGAGTAAAGATTTAGACTTAATTATTTTAAGTTTAAAGGTTTAAGAGAATTTTGCTAAGTTTGTAAAGGTTCTTGAATATTTAAAATAAATGCAAAAGTCACCTAATTTATGTGAAATTATAAAAACTACTTAACTACTTAAGAAAGCTTTATTAGACAATTGAGGATTTAAAAGCAAAGTAAAATTAAACCTAGAAATGAAGTTTAAGTTAAGCTCTCTTAAATAAGATGTAGCCTCCTCCCTAAAAGTTAAAATGGCTTTAAAAATGAAATATTATTTTTCAAATATTAATTTTTCAAAAGTAATTGCAATTTGTTTCTCCTAGGCATAGGTTTCCCACAAGAACACCAAAAAATGGCATGGACAGATTTGGAGCCAAAGACCTAGGTTCTAATTCTAACTCTGTCACTAACTCACTTAGGCAGGTCATTTTATTTCTCGGTGCTTTTGTTTCCTCAGCTGAACATGATGGGACTAGGAAGATTTTTTTTCCCTATTTTACCCATCTCTAATTATAAAACTGGACAGTTACTGAAAAGGAGAATTTTGTAATATATCAGCCACTTTAGAGCAATCAAGTCAAAATGAGCCATAAATATGTGTAACTTCAGCCCTCTTCAAAGTACTCCAATGTACTGACCATCCCAGTTCTGATGGTCATAGGCTATTTCAAGCCCATGATTTCCAAATCAGTAGTGAGGTGATTTGCTACACAGCTTAAAAGTTACCTCCATGTATTGGCATCAGGATCAAAAACTTCTATGGTCTTCAAGTATGTTGTGCCATCAAAACCTCCTACTGCCATGAGCTGTCCATTGACCACTGCCAGGCCAACCTACAAAACCAAAATACAGTAAGCTGCTGAAGAAACTAGACAATCGTAAGGAAATTATAGACTGGTTTCTAGATAAATCTATTTACAAAAGATAATTCTTTATGGCCTTACATTCTGGTTTACTGAAACACAGGGAAAATGTAACAACAAAAGTCTATCAAATTATGGGAACTATAAAATTATATATTCAATTAGAATATTCACACAGAATCCAAAACATGTATTTCTTAAATTTTAGAAAAACTGTTCACTAGAAGTGAGCAAACAACCTCCAAACTGCTCTCACTTCCTCTGGTATTTGCCTGCTCTAATCTTTCTAATTGCTAGTAAAATTCTCTTTTAAAAATACAAATCTAGGCCAGGCATGGTACCTCATGCCTGTAATCCCAGCACTTTGGGAAGGCCCAGGTGGGAGCATCACTTGAAGCCTGGAGTTCAAGACCAGCTTGGGCAACACAGTGAGACCCCTATCTCTACAAAAATAAAGTAAAACAGAAAAATATAAATCTAATCATATTGTCACTTTCCTCTAAAAACTTTCTCACTTTGGGAGGCTGAGGTCGGTGGATCGCTTGAGCCCAGGAGTTCGAGACAGGCCTGGGCAACACAGTGAGACCCTGTCTTTACAAAAAATACAAAAATTAGCTGGGTGTGGTGGGGCATACCTGTAGTCCCGGCTACTTGGAAGGCTGAGGCAGGAGGACTGCTTGAGCCTGAAAGGTCGAGGTTGCAGTGAGCTGAGATTGTGTACACTGCACTCCAGCCTGGGCAGCAGAGTGGGACCCTCTCAAAAAAATCTCCTAAAACCAAAACAACTTTCTAAGCCTCCCTACTATTTAAGGGTAAGTTTTAAAGTCCTTATTATGTTACTCAGGCCCTCCAGAAATCTATCTTAGCCCACTATTTAAGCCTCACCTCTTATAGTTTCCCTTTACTCCTAACTAATGAATCCTATTGCTGCAGTAAAACTGGATTAACTGCTAGTCCCTGAAGATAACATACATTTTTCACACCTCCACACTTTTGCACATGTTCCCTGGCTGGTGTTTTCTTCTCCCCTCCCCTCCCCCACCTCCCTCCCTCCTCCCTCCTCTCTCTCTCTCCCTCTCCCTCTTTCCCTCTCTCTCTCTCACTCACAGGGTCTCGCTCTGTCACTCAGGCTGCAGTGCAGTGGCAGGATCACAGATCACCATAGTGAAACCCCATCTCTATTAAAAATACAAAAAAACAGCTGGGCATGGTGGCACGCACCTGTAGTCCTAGCTACTCGGGAGGCTGAGGCAGGAGAATCACTTGAGCCCGGGAGGTGGAGGTTGCAGTGAGCCAAGATCGCACACTGCACTCCAGCCTAGATGACAGAGCAAGACTCCATCTCAAAACAAAATAAAACAAAAAAACAGTTCACCGTAGCTTCCACCTCTTAGGTTCAAGTGATCCTCCCACCTCAGCTTCTTAAGTTGCTGGGACTACAGGGATGCACCACTACATCTGGATAATTTTTAAATTTTTTGTATAGATGGGGTCCCACATGTTGCCCACGCGGGTCTCAAATTCCTGGGCTCAAGTAATCCTGTCTCTGCCTTTCAAAGTGCTGGGATTACAGGCATGAGCCACCGCACCTGGCCCTGGCTACTGTTTTCTGTCTGTCTTTTAGAAAAGCTTATTCTTCCTTCATGAGCTAGCTTACATGTGACTGTCTTTGGTAGTCTCTTCACTGCCCCAACTCATTCTTACTTCCCCAAAGCAGTAAGCGCATTCTCCTATGTTCTTCTATAAAATATATAACACTACTGTAGGGTTTATTTATTATAGTTAGCTGTAAACATTTCAATTTCCTTCACTAAATTGGGAGCTACTTAAGGAGAGGAATCATGCCATACTCATTTTTGCTTTCCCAACACACAGCGAACACTTAACAGGAATGTGACTAAGATGTTGTTAGTTGTCAGTAATAAAAAGCCACAGATATGTGAAGGCTTTGACTTGCTGACACCTTCCAGTGGTGTTCCTTGATTTACGCAAACCAGAATTCACTCTCTTTTATCCTCAGATTGTGGAGTGCTTAGCTACTGCTTGCTTCTCCTTCCTGTTGTGGATGTCTCGATGAACTCCTGACATGATCAGTGGTTAATGGGTTATATTTTGCTCTCAGCAAACATCCCAAGATGGATAAATTCTATACTTCGCCCAGAAGTCTCTTGAGTTACAGGCCATCCATGGTCTAGAACATGTCCCAGGGCAGTCTGATCTGGTCTATACTATAGATAGGATAGACTCAAACTAGTTTGTGGGGACTAGGGGTGGAGCCAGATGTATTTTTGCCTAAACATTTGTATTAGTATGCCAACTACTTAAGACTATTAGCTAGAAACATTAAGTTGCAATATATAGATCTAATATTAATTTAGATAAGGTAGTAGATAATTTGGGGAGATTGTTTCAGAAAAGCAATGGATACAGGATAAATCCTAAAAGCCAGGTGCAGTGGCTTATGTCTATAATCCCAGCACTTTGGGAGGCTGAGGGGGGTGGATCACCTGAGGTCAGGAGTTTGAGACCAGCCTGGCCAACATGGCAAAACCCCATCTCTACTAAAAATACAAAAGTTAGCTGGACATGGTGGCACGCGCCTGTACTCCCAGCTACTCGGGAGGCTGAAGCAGGAGAATTGCTTGAACCTGGGAGGTGAAAGTTGCAGTGAGCTGAGATTGCACCACTGCACTCCAGTTTGGGTGACAGAGTGAGACTCCTTCTCAAAAAAAAAAAAAAAAAAGGAGAAATCCTAAAAAATTATTCTCTAATTAAAGATATGACGACATAAAATTTTTCAACTACATGAGATAAAAATAATCAAAAGAAATTCATTATTTTCTAGTGTCAAATTAGCAGGGCTTGATTTACCTAAAAGCATCCTGAATGACCAGTGGGTCAATGAAGAAATGAAGAAATTAAAAGTTTCTTGAAACAAATGAAAATGGAAAAACAACATACCAAAACCTATAAAGCGGTTTTGGACATAAAGTGAAAGTAAGAGGAAAGTTTATAGCAATAAGAGCCTACATCAAAAAAGTACAAAAACTTCAAATAACATAACAATGCATCTTAAAGAACTAGAAAAGAACAAACCAAATCCAAAATGAGAAGAAACAATAAAGATCAGAGCAGAAATTAATGAAATTTAAGTGAAAAAAACACAAAAGATCAATTAAATGAAAAGTTGACTTTTGAAAGATAAACAAAATCAACAAACCTTTAGGCAGATTAAGAAAAAAGAAGGCCCAAATAAATAAAATCAGAGATGAAAAAGGAGACATTACAACTGATACCGTAGACATTCAAAGGATAATTAGAGGCTATTATGAACAAATATATGCCAATACATTAGAAAATCTAGAAGAAACAGATAAATTCCTAGACACATACAACCTACCAAGATTGAACCATGAAGAAATCTAAAACTTGAACGGACCAATAGCAAGTAATAAGGCTAAGTGTGGTGGCTCATGCCTGTAATCTCAGCACTTTGGGAGGCTGAGGCGAATAGATCACTTGAGCTCAGGAGTTTGAGACCAGGCTGGGCAACATGGCAAAACCCCAACTCTACCAAAAAAAAAACAAAAAACAAAAATTAGCTGGGCATGATGGTGTGCACATGTAGTCCCAGCTAATGGGGAGACTGAGGTGGAAGGAAGGCTTGAGCCTGGGAGGTGGAGGATGCAATGAGCCGACATTGTATCATTGCACTCCAACCTTGGTGACAGAGCCAGACCCTGTCTCAAAACAAAACAAAAAAGTAATGAGATCAAAGCTGTAATAAAAAATCTCCCAGCGGAATTGAACAATGACATCACTTAGACACAGGGCGGGGAACACACACCAGGGCCTGTCGGGGGGTGGGGGGCTGAGGGAGTGATAGCGTTAGGAGAAATACCTAATGTAAATGACGAGTTGATGGGTGCAGCAAACATGGCACATGTAGGCACATGTAGACCTATGTATCAAACCTGCACTTTGTGCACATGTACCCTAGAACTTAAAGTATAATAAAAAAAAGAAAAAAAAATCTTCCGGCAAAGAAAAGCCCAGGACCCAATGGCCTCACTGCTGAATCTTATCAAATATTTAAAGAAGAATTAATACTAATCCTATCAAACTACTCCAAACATAGAGGAAGAGGTAACACTTCCAAACTCACTTTAGGAGGCTAGTATTACCCTGATACCAAAACCAGACAAAGACACATCAAAAAAAGAAAGCTACAGTCCAATATCCTCAATGAACAATGATGCAAAAATCTTCAACAAAATCCCAGCAAACTGAATTCAATGACACATTAGAAAGATAATTCATCATGACCAGGTAGAAATTATCCCAGGGATGCAAGAATGGTTCAACATATGCAAATCAATCAGTGTGGTACATCATATCAACAGAATGAAGGACAAAAACCAAATAATCATTTCAATTGATGCTGAAAAAGCATTTGATAAAAGTAAGCATCCCTTCATGATAAAAACCCTTAAAAAACTGGGTACAGAGGGAACATACCTCAACACAATAAAAGCCATATATGACAGACCCACAGATAGCATCATTTAGAATGGGGAAAAACTGAAAGCCTTTCCTCTAAGATCTAGAACAAGACAGGGATGCGCACTTTCACCACTGTTATTCAGTATAGTACTGGAAGTCCTAGGTAGAGCAATGGGACAAAAGAAAGAAAGAAAGGGCATCCAAATTGGAAAGGAAGAAGTCAAATTATCCTTCTTTGCCTACAGTATGATTTTGTATTTGGAAAAACCTAAAGACTCCACCAAAAAGCTATTAGAACAGATAAACAAATTCAGCAGAGCTGCAGGATACACAATCAAGATATAAAAATCAGTAGCATTTCTATATGCCAACAGCAAACAATCTGAAAAAGAAATCAAGAAAGTAATCCTATTTACAACAGCTATAAATAAAATACCTACGAATAAACTGAACCAAAGAAGTGAAAAATACAATGAAAACTAGAAAACATTGATGCAAGAAATTGAAGAGGACACACAAAAATGAAAAGACATTCCATGTTCATGGATTGGAAGAATCAATATTGTTAAAATGTCCATGCTATCCAAAACAATCTACAGATTCAATGCAATCCCTACCAAAATACCAATGACAGTCTTCACAGAAATAGAAAAAATAATCCTAAAATTGATATGCAACCACAAAGACCCAGAATAGCCAAAGCTATCTTGAGCAACAAGACCAAAACTGGAGGAATCACATTATCTGACTTCAAATTATACTAAAGAGCTACAGTAACTAAAACGGTATGAGACTAGAATAAAAACAGACACATAGACCAATGGAACAGAATGGAGAACCCAGAAATAAACCTATACATCTACAGCGAACTGTTTTTTTGACAAAGGTGCTAGGAACGTATATTGGGGAAAGGACAATCTCTTCAATTAACAGTGCTGGGAAAACCAGGTAACTATATGCAGAATGAAACTAGACCCCATTTTTTGCCATATACAAAAATCAAATTAAAATGAATTAAAGACTTAAATCTAAGGCCTCAAACAATGAAACTGCTAAAAGAAAACACTGGGGAAACTCTCCAGGACATTGGTCTGGGCAAAGATTTTTTTCAGTAATACTCCACAAGCACAGGCAACCAAAGAAAAAATAGACAAATGGGATCACATTAAGTCAAAAAGCTTCTGCACAGCAAAGGAAACAACCAACAAAGTGAAGAGACAACCCACAGAATGGGAGAAAACTACTCTTCTGACAAGGGATTAATAACTAGAATATATAAGGGCTCAAACAACTCAATAGAAAAAAACTAATAATCCAATTAAAAAGTGGGCAAAAGATCTGAATAGACCTTTCTCCAAAGAAGACATAAAAATAGCAAACAGGTATATGAAAAGGTGCTCAACATCTGATCATTAGAGAAATGGAAATGAAAATTACAATGAGATGTCATCTCACCCCAGTTAAAATGGCTTTTATCCAAAAGTCAGGCCATAACGATTGCTGATAAGGATGCAGAGAAAAGGGAACCCTCCTACACTGCTGGTGGGAATATAAATTAGTACAACAGTTTGGAGGTTCCTCAAAAAACTAAAAATAGAAATATCATATGATCCAGCAATCTTACTGCTAGGTATATACCCCAAAGAAAGGAAACCAGTATAATGAAGAGATATCTGCACTCCCATGTTTATTGCAGCACTATTAATAGCCAAGATTTGGAAGCAACCTAAGTGTCCATAACCACTTACTCCACTACGGCGTGATGTCATGGCCACCACTGGAGACCACTGGTTGGTTCTGGGGTTGTATCTCTCAGCACTGCTCAGCTCTGTAGTGTCATCTCTACCTCCTACAGCATAGATCATGTCCTGATATACTGCACAGCCTAGGTGTTTCCTCCGGGTCCCCATAGGGGCTATAGTGTGCCATCTGTTTTCCTGAGGATTGTAACGTTCCACTGTAGGGAAAAGAAAAACCAGTAAGTGAGCATTCAACCATTTCCTCTCACCTCCAGTTTTCTTTATAGCCACTGATACTTTGTGATAACACATATTTTCAACACATGATCTGATTTTTGCTTCTGAGAAGGATTTGTATACCTCTGGACAATACTACATATACTCTCATCAGGGACTGGTTTCTTCTAGGTATGGTACAGTGGAAAGGGCACGTGTTGGGATCCAGATACTCTGGTTCTAGTTTTATCTAAATGACTAATTAGCTACATGACTCTCAGCCTCACTCTCCTTATCGTTAAATGGGGAGCCTGACTACATGATCAATAAGCACCATTCAGTACTAACAATTTATCATCATAATCAGACAACTTCTGTACTCCTGTATTCCCTCCCCTATAGCACAGTGCATTTTAAGCTTCTGAAGAGAAGACAAGACGTGACGAATCTGGTGTGACTGTCACATTGACAATATCCTTAGGCAAAAATACCCATACTATCTAAATAGAAAGGAATAACAAACCAGGCCAGGTGCAGTGGCTCACACTTATAATTCCAGCACTTTAGGAGGCTGAGGTGGGCAGATCACTGGAGCTCAGGAGTTTGAGACCAACCTGGGCAACACAGCGAAACCCCATCTCTACTAAAAATACAAAAATCAGCCAAGTGTGGTGGCATACACGTATAATCCCAGCTACTCGGGAGGCTGAGGTGGGAGGATTGCTTGAGTCCGGGAGGTAGAGGTTGCAGTGAGCCAAGATTGTGGCACTGGACTCCAGCCTGGGTGACAGAGCGAGACCCTGTCATAAAAACACAAACAAAAACAAAACCCAAATAAACGAATTTGTAGTTCTAAGTTTTTATTTATTCTTGGATTAGAGTACGTTGTGGTTTTGAGGAGAAGTTGTGATGGAGGAAAAGGAACTAATTATATAAGAAAGTAGTTTTTAAAATTCATTATAAATTTCCAGCAGCTTGGAAAGCAGGGGAAGAAATAAATATTTGGGGAACGTACTTAGAATATGACTACAGTGGGAGCTGAGGAAGAGCTGAGAGCTGCACTCTGCTGGAGGGAAAAATCAGGCATTTTCCTAGTAAATTATAGGATAACCTGGAGTTTCTACACGTTTTGTAGGAGGACTCTCCAGGAAAATGTTCTGCTTTTGGGGAACCTGATTGCCTTTGGGAGGGACTAACCTGTGTTGAGAGGAGATGTCCCGTCAGAGCCACCTACAGCATATAAGAACCCTCCTAACACAGCCACAGCCACACCTAGTCTTCTGGTACTCATAGAAGCTACCCGAGTCCACTTGTTCTCCTTCGGATCATACCTGCAGTGAGGGAAACCAGACTGTATGCTTGTTCTTATTAAGTGAAGCCTTTTTCATAAGATCTGAAATCACACTAACGATATACTGAGTACACGGACTTGCTATAGTCAAATGTGCAATGAAAATCTAACATTTTACTTAGTCATTAGAAAAACGTCTTAGAATTTATATCTGTGCCAGCTATTAAGCTATTTTCTACACTCATACTTGGAAAATGTCCCAAGGAAAGAAAACAACCTATGACTTCAGCTCACATAACACAGGCTCTTTCTCTTTTTTTTTTTTTTTTTTGAGATGGAGTCTTGGTCTGTCGCCCAGGCTGGAGTGCAAGTGGCGTGATCTCAGCTCACTGCAAGCTCCGCCTCCTGGGTTCACGCCATTCTCCTGCCTCAGCCTCCTGAGCAGCTGGGACTACAGGTGCCTGCCACCACGCCTGGCTAATTTTTTGTATTTTTAGTAGAGATGGGGTTTCGCCATGTTAGCCAGGAGGGTCTCGATCTCCTGACCTCGTGATCTGCCAGCCTTGGCCTCCCAAAGTGCTGGGATTACAGGCGTGAGTGACCGTGCCCGGCTGGCAACACAGGCTCTTTCTTCAATGGAATTTTAGTTCATTTGGTCATTACTTTGAAATGCCTCTGATGTATTTTAAAATATGATTTTTGTAATTTGTCTTTTTTTCCTAGTCGTTGTAGTGGGGGTGATGGCTGTTACTCTCTACTACATCCTATTAGAAAGTAGAAGTCTTTTGCATAGTTCTTTGAGACAACCTTTTTATTATAAAACTCAAATACAGAAAGTGCCATCCCTAGACACTTCAATCTTACTTAACATTACATTTAAAAAAATTTTAATTAATATTTATTTATTTAATTAATATTTATTTATTTAAAAATAGGGGTCTTGCTGTGTTAACCAGGCTAGTCTCAAACTCCTGGCCTCAAGCAATCCTCTCACCTTGGCCCCCCAAAGTGCTGGGATTACAGGTGAGCCACTGTGTCTGGCTGAGACTTAAAAAAAAGATAAAAAAAAAAAAGGCTGTGTGTGGTGGCTCATGCCTGTAATCCCAGCACTCTGGAAGGCTGAGGCTGGAGGACTGCTTGAGGCCACAAGTTCGAGTTCAAGACCAGCCTCGTCAACACAGAGAGACCTTATCTCTATAAAAAAATTGGAAAAAAAATTAGCCAGGCATAGCGGCATTCATCTGCAGTCCCAGCTACTTGGGAGGATGAGGCAGGGATTGCTTGAGACAGTTGTGAGCTATTATTGCACCACTGCACTCCAGCCTGGGTGACAGAGTGAGACCCTGTCTCTAAAAAAATCAGATTAAATTAAAAAGTCTCTTATTGTCTACAGGTTTTCTCTCCATTCCTTTTCTTCCCTGCAATTCATCTGTTTTAGAACCCAGAGTGTATGACAATTTTCCCCATAATATGGATTTGGTTGACTGTACGTTCATAGTGCAGTCCAATCTGTTGCTCTGTCCTTTTTATGTTGGGCAAATTGGTAGTTGGATCCAGAAATTTGATCAGACCATGTTTGGTTCCTTTAACAAGACTAAAGAAGGTGGTATGTTAGCAGCTGTTTATCAATGTCTAGATACACTAATTTACTGAGTGTTGCAAAATGATAATCACTTATTTTCTTTTATTGGGATAATTTTATAAAGAAACAATCCTTTTATTTGGTTAATCAATATAATAATATGGTTTGGTTAATCAATATAATAATATTAACTATTTGGTTAATCAATATAATAATACAGTTCTTATAAGAAAAGCAGGATATATGTTCACTTCATTTTATGTTTTGAGATAATAAATTTGTTCCATATGATCTTCCAAAGGCAACCAATTAGTCTTAAAAAGTTTATCATTAAGAACTCATATATTTAAGTGTATTTATTGGATTTCAATCTATTGCAATTATCCCTTTTAAAGCTGAAATTATGTTATCTTTGGTCAGTGGGAACATCTTCAAGTTGGCTCCTGAGTCTTTTTGACTCTTAGCGGTCTTTGACAGCTTGCTTGCTATTTGGTATGACAAAAGGGTACAGACTCATCTGCACATTTCCTGTTCTAAACCTGGAATCAGACATTTTCCAATAAGCTCTGGTTTCTTTAAGTGGGAAATAAAATTTCAAGATACAATCTGGGAGTAGAGATGTTCACTGACACTTTATTTCGAGGCTTTCTCAGTTGACAAGCTAGAATATATAGAAATTTTTTCAAAAGAGGAATTTAGTTCAAATTCATACTCAGGACTACAAGATACTTTATTTAACTTCTATTTTGCAACCTTTTCTTCTTCTACCTCCACACTCTGGTTTTCAAGGACAAAGGAGAGAGCAGAATTAGAATAATGCATACTCATTTCCTTTATTCTACATTTATACACATAACAGAATAGCAATATTATCACTCCAATATCCCTGAGAACAATTAAAATTCATTTTTGCATACCTCTTCTTTGTACTACATTTACATGGATTGAGTACATAGCTAGAGCATGCTACACTCTCTCCCTTTTATTTTTATTTTTAGAGACAGGGTCAGTCTGTCACCCAGGGTGGGGTAGAGTGGTGCAATCATAGCTCATTATAATCTTGAACTCCTGGGCTCAGGGCAATCTCCTGTCTTAGCCTTCTGAGTCGCTGAGAATACAGGTGTGCACCACCATGCCTGGCTAATTAAAAAATATACATATATACATTTTTAACATATAGGGTCTTACTATGTTGCCTAGGCTGGTCTCAAACTCCTGGCCTCAAGTCGTACTTCTACCTTGGGTTCCCAAAGTGCTGGGATTATAGGTCAGAGCTACCACACCCAGCCCTCCCCCTTTTAATCTTCATTTAGTCATAGTTCTACAGTTAACTGTATGTATCTATGTATTTATTTTTAAGAGACACGGTCTTGCTCTGTCACTCAGGCTAAAGTGCAGTGGTATGATCATAGCTCACTGCAGCCTTGAACTCCTAGTCTCAAGCGATCCTCCCACCTTGGCTTACCAAAGTGCTGGGATTACAGGTGTGAACCACATGGTCTAGCCCTTCTGTCAATGTCTTTCTAGTAATTTTGTCTGAAGTTTGTTCTCCTAGAGGGCTCAAGGGAACAAGATTCCCTAATTTCTTACATGTTGTTAATAGTTGTCTGTGCCCTTTGTACTTCAAAGTCAGTTTCTCAAGGTATAAAATCCTTGGCTCACGTTTTTCTTGAATATCTAAAACATGCAATTCTATTTTCTTCTGGCATGAACTACTACTTTTAAAAAGCCAGATGATAATCTAAGTTTCTTTTCCTTACAAGTAACATGTACTTTTTTGTAGATGTCTAAGGAATTTTTTCTTTTTCTTCAAGGTACAGTCATGTTATTAGCATATGTCTTGGTGTTCTGGGTCAATATTCGAAGGATATAGCGTATTCTTTCAAAAAAGTTTCTTTTTTTAATTATAGGAAAGTAACTTTGGATTATAGTTCTTAGTATTCATTCTGTTTCCTCCCTTTGGTTTTCTTCTTTAAGGACTGCTATCACCTGTATAATAGATTTTTACCTATTTTCAATATTTGTTACTATCTCTCAAATGGTATCTCTTGTTTTTTTTTTTCCTCTCTCTTTTTTTTTTTTGAGAGAGAGTTTTGCTCTTGATGCCCAGGGTGGAGCTCAATGGTGCGACCTCGGCTCACTGCAACCTTCACCTCTCGGGTTCAAGTCTCCCAAGTAGCTGGGATTACAGGTGCCTGCCACCACATCCGGCTAATTTTGTATTTTTAGTAGAGATGGGGTTTCACCATGTTAGTCAGGCTGGTCTTGAACTCCTGACCTCAGATGCTCCACCCGCCTCGGCCTCCAGAAGTGCTGGGATTACAGGCGTGAGCCACTGTGCCCGGCCTTCATTTCTTTTTGACCTTAAAATATTTCCTCTTTTCGCCTTCTATTTGTCTTATGGCATTATCTGTTTTGCTTATTATCCTTTAATCTTCATTCTGAAATGATTTTTCCTTTCATTTCTAATACATTTCTGAGTTCTGTCACTTCATTTCTGAATTTTTCTACTTCTGATTTATGTAGTTTCATATCTGTTATCATTTTCTTAATGTCTTTTATCACATTTTGAAACAGTTAAGGTTTTGATCTGTAGGTGTGTCTTTCTAGTGTGCTTTTATTGTCTGTAGAGATGTTATTCTGCTGCTTATTCTCTCTTCTTATATTAACTTTGTATGGAATCTAATCTCAATACTTTGCTATTTCATTTTTACATGAAATGAGTTTTCCTGAACTTTTAGAAATAGGAGTGAGTGGTTTGTGACAGTTTTTCTAACTTTGTGGAGCTCCTTCTTTTTTTTATGTAGTATTAAAAAACATAGTGCCTTGCCTTCAGAGATTATTACTTAAATTTTTTTGTATTTTTAACTTTTGGGCATATATTTATGGGGTATGTGAGATGTTTTGATATAGGCATGCAATGTGAAATAATCACATCATAAAGAATGGGGTATCCTTAAATTTTTTTTTTTTTTTTTTTTTGAGACAGGGTCTCACTCTATTACCCTGGCTAGAGTGCAGTGGAGCAATCATGGCTCACTGCAGCCTTGACCTCCCAGCAATCCTCTCACCTCAGCCTCCTGAGTAACTGGGACCACAGGTGTATGCCACCAAGCCTGGCTAATTTTTTTATTTTTTGGAGAGACAACGTCTCGCTATGTTGCCCAGGCTGGTTTGAAATCCTGGACTCAAGCAATCCTCCCACCTAGGCCTCCCAAAGTGTTGGGATTATGGGTGTGAGCCACAGCGCCTAGTCCAGAGATTTATTGACTTTATTCACTGCCTTACTTTTGTCTTGGCTTTCTCTTTTCAAGGAAAACAAGGGCATCTGTTGCCCTCGTCCTGCTTAATTTTGATTCTCCTCAGTGTAGGGTCCTGACCTGGAAGATTATCCTGGCTGGTCAGTTTTGAGAGTTCCCAGGGACTAGATGGCTCTAACTCAGCTGGTTCCCAACCAGGTGTTATTTTATTCCCCTTCATCCCCCCTTTCTCATCCCCTAAGTAACATCTGGCAATGTTTAGAGACTGTTTTTGGTTGTCACAACCAGGCACATGCTTCTGGCACTTAGTTGGTAGAGGCTATGGATGCTGTTAAACATCCTACAATGCACAGGACAGTCCCCCACAACAAAGAATTGTCTGACCCAAAACGCCAGTAGTGTTGAGGTTGAGAAACCCTCTTCTAAGCCCTTTAGATCTTATTGAGGGTCTTGCACTTACACTCTATGGCAGTGGACAAAACTGTTTCTAGTTTCAGTTGCTGATAAATTTTCCCCTTGTGCTTTCTATTTACTACGTGTTAGCTAGTTTGAGGTTCTTTTGTTCTTAGATCTGTCAGACATCCAATTGCTTCTTTCTGATTTCTCCTGAAGATACTAATATCATGCAGGTCTTGTGGCTAATGGTAGTTTGTCTTTGCCCGTTTGTGTTTTGGAGTTTGTGAGGATATTCTTTCCCTTAGTTTTGTGTTAAATTTTGTTCACAGGTTCTGATTTTTAAATTGTGGTAAAACACACATAACATAAAATTTACCATCTTAACCATGTTTTAACTGTTTAGTAGTGTTAAGTATATTCACATTGTTGTGTAACTCCAATCTCCAGAACTAGTACATAGGTTTTTAGCTTTGCTATCTATTACTCTATCTGTTTTTATGTGGGCATTTGGAGATATTAAAAAACTATGCCATCACTGCTGCTAACCTCCTGTACTGAGTTTTGAAAGTGAAAAAATAGATTTCTTGACAGAGAGATAAAAGGGAACTGGCATAGCTTTCAAGAGTTACCTTCTATTTTATCTCTACTTACAACAGTTAAACGTTTCAACATATACATGGTAAACTAGTAAATGCTACCTCAAAAATTTTAGAGTCATGACTCATTTCTTTTTAAGATGTGAGGATGAAATATATGTTCTTATCAGTAATCATAGCACATGAGACTCTAAAATCTAATGACGAAAAGCTGACAGAAGAAATTAAGAACAAAATCTGTTCTACCAAAATTAACTATTTGTACACCAGTATAAAGTGACTATGGCAGCCCACCTAGATTTCCCTAAGTATACTTCAATGATTAATGAGTCTATATACAAAATACTTTAAGCTTTTTATAAGATGTCCTATACAAAGTATTATTATGTAATCATTTCTCTGGGGGAAGTCTAAGTAGAGTCATTCATTAAGTACACTCCAGGTAGATTCAGGAAAAAAATCAGAACAGATTTCACAAGTGGTATGCTTGATATATATAGAATATAATCTGAAATACATTTCTAACATTTCAATGTTAGGTACAATCAGTGTGACAGTTGAAAAAATCAGGTTATGTGCCCCAAAGCATAGGCAACAAAAGCAAAAAAAGTAAGATTACATCAAACAAAAAGGCTTCTGCATGGCAAAGGAAACAATCAACAGAGTGAAGAGACAATCTACAGAGTGGGAGAACATATCTGCAAGCCATACATCTCATAAAAGGTTAATACTGAAAATATATAAGGAACTTAAACAATTCAACAGCAAGAAAACAAATAATCTGATTTAAAAATGGGCAAAGGACCTGAATAGATATTTCTCAAAAGAACACATAAAAATGGCTCAGTATATGAGAAAATGCTCAATATCACTTATCATCAGGGAAATGCAAATTAAAATCACAATGAAATACCATGTCACACCTGTTAGAATGGCTACTATATTAAAAAAGATAGATAACAAATGTTGGCAAGAATATGGAGAAAAGGAAACCCCTGCATACCATTGATGAGAATGTAAACTAGTATAGCCATTACGGAAAACAGTATGGAGGTTCCTCGAAAAATTAAAAATAGAACTATCATATGATCCAGTAATCCCACTACTAAGTATATATTCAATGGAAATAAGTATGTTGAAGAGATACCTGTACTCTCATATTCATTGCAGCATTATTTATAATAGACCAGATATGAAGTTAAGCTAAATGTACCTCAACAGATGAATGGATACAGAAAATGTGGCATATATGAATAGAATACTATTCAGTCTTAAAAAAGAAGGAAATCCTGACATTTTCGACGGCATGGATAAACCTGGAGGACATTAAGTGAAACAAGCTAAACACAGAAAGACAAATATTGCATGATCTCACTTATATGAGGAATCTAAAAAAGTTGAACTCAGAAGTAGAGAGTAGAATGGTGGTTACCAGGGGCTGGCAAGGTGAGGGGCAGTGAGGAAATCTTGGTAAATGAGTACAAAATTTCAGTTAGAGAGGAGGAATAAATTCAAGAGCTCTAATGTACAACATAGTAACTATAGTTAATAACAACGTATTATACACTTGAGAGTAGATTTTAAGTGTTCTCACCACAAATAAATCATAAGTATGTGAGATAATATGTTAGTTAGCTTGATTTAGCCATTCCGCAACCTATACATATTTCAAAACATCATGCTGTACACTGTGAATATATATAATTTTTGTTAATTAAAAAAAACTTTTTTTAGATCTTTCATTTTCCTAGACTTTAAGATCAACTGAAGACTTTTTGCTGAAAGCCTATGGGAAATCCACTGAATAGTGGATCCTCCAATGTCCTAAATTCAGCTCTACTTGTTTCTTTTTTTTTTTTTTTTCCCCCTTGATACAGGGTCTCACTTTGCACCCAGGCTGGAGTACAGTGGCGTGATCTCAGCTCACTGCAGCCTCAACCTCCTGGGCTCAAGTGATCCTCCCACCTCAGCCCCACAAGTAGCTGGAACTACATGCACCACCACGCCCGGCTAATTTTTTTTTTTTTTTTTGTATTTTTTATCTCACCATGTTGCCCAGGCTGGTCTCGAACTCCTGAGTTCAAGCAATCCACCTGCCTTGGCCTTCCAAAGTGCTAGGATTACAGGTGTGAGCCACCACGCCCAACCTGTAGTTTTTCTTTTAAAGAGCTCTATGTTCTTTAAAATAAAAATACGGAAAATGACTTAAAAAAAAGATCACCTCTCAACAATGTTGAGGCAAGACACACCATCCTGGCCACCCACAGCATAAAGAAAGCCTCCAAGTACTGCTACACCAACACTTGTCCTGCAGGTGCTTGTAGGGGCCACATCACTGCTCCACTGGTTTGTTTTGGGGTCATACCTGAAAAGAACATACCAAGAGGAGAGTTTGTATTACACAAAGGAAGCTTGGCTATGTTTACATATTCTAAATCCATGGATTTATATGATATATATTATTTCCCCTAAGTATGGGCTGATTAATAATAACCAAAACATTTGAAAATCTGGTTTGTGTTTTTATTTTTTGAAATTTATGTATGAATATATTTTCTTTAAAAAAATCAGAATATTATTGATAAAGTTAAAGCCCTCCTTGAGTTCCACCTGAATTCTTGTCTCTTCCCATTTTGATTTGGCATATATCCTTCAAGACTTTTCAGTAAAATGCTTTCATATAGGTATATATGTATCCACATATATATATTTCTTTATATGCAAGCATGTTTTCTTTGCATAAATAATACCACAGTAGGCACTGCTTTTTCCCTCAACGTTTTTTGAGATCTATTTATGCTAATATAGCTCTAGATTTTTCTTTTGAATTATTTTACTATTATATGTGTTATACATTATTTAATTATATTCCTACTGATATACCCCTTAGGCTGTTTCTGATATTTTCCTATTAAAAACAATGTTCATCCTTATATATTTCTCTTTGTGCAAATGGGTGATAGGTAGAATTACTGTAGCAAACAGTATGCTTAATTTTTTTTTTTTTTGAGACGGAGTCTCGCTCTGTTGCGCAGGCTGGAGTACAGTGGCACGATCTTGGCTCACTGCAAGCTCCGCCTCCCGGGTTCACGCCATTCTCCTGCGTCAGCCTCCCAAGTAGCTGGGACTACAGGCGCCCGCCACCACACCCGTCTCTTTTTTTGTATTTTTAGTAGAGACGGGGTTTCACCGTGTGAGCCAGGATTGTCTCAATCTCCTGACCTCGTGATCCACCCGCCTCGGCCTCCCAAAGAGCTGGGATTACAGGCATGAGCCACCATGTCCGGCCGAGTATGCTTAATTTTTAAAAATCCTATCAAATTGCTCTTTTTGTAGACATATCTTTTTTTTAAATTTCGTTGATTTTTGTTTGTTTGTTGGGTTTTATTGCCTTTTCAGTGATGACTTAAAAGCATGATTCATTTATTTTGCATCTTCCTTATTTCCAAATGCATATAAGTTATATTAATGTATCTAAGCTAAAATTCATGTAAATTTGCCCCTGGGTACCACCTTAGTTGCATTCTATCCATTTTGACATATATAGGCTAAATTGTTAAGGCATAAATATTTAGCTATTTCTACACTTCTTTAACCCATCAATTTTTTTTAAACTGGGATGTGTTCTTTATTTTTCCATAAGTTATTGGGGTATTGGGGTACAGGTGGTATTTGGTTACATGAGTAAGTTCTTTAGTGGTTATTTATGAGACTTTGGTGCATGCATCAGTATACATGGCACCATATTTGTAGTCTTTTATCCCTTGACCCCCTTCCACTCTTCCCCCCAAGTCCCCAAAGTCCACTGTATCATTCTTATGCCTTTGAGTCCTCATAGCTTAGCTCCCACATTATCAGTGAGAACATACGATGTTTGGTTTTCCATTCCTGAGTTACATCGCTTAGAATAATAGTCTCTAATCTCATCCAGGTCACTGCAAATGCTGTTAATTCATTCCTTTTTTATGGCTGCATAGTATTCCATCGTCTATATACACCACAGTTTCTTTATCCACTCATTGATTGACGGACATTTGGTTTGCTTCCACGATTTTGCAATTGTGAATTGTGCTGCTAGAAACATGTGTGTACAAGTATCTTTTTCGATTAATGACTTCTTTTCCTCTGAGTAGATACCCAGTAGTGGGATTACTGGATCAAATGGTAGTTCTACTTTTAGTTCTTTAAGGAATCTCTGCACTGTTTTCCATAGTGGCTGTACTAGTTTACATTGCCACCAGTGGTGTAGAAGTGTTCCCTGTTCACAGCATCCACACCAACATCTACTGGTTTTTGATTTTTTTATTATGGCCATCCTTGCAGGAGTAAGGTGGTATCGCATTGTGGTTTTCATTTGCATTTCCCTGATCATTGTGATGTTGAGCATTTTTTCATATGTTTGTTGGCAATTTGTACATCTTCTTTTGAGAATTGTTTATTCACGTCCTTAGCCCACTTTTTGATAGGATTGTTTTTTTCTCACTGACTTGAATTCACTGTAGATTCTGGATATTAGTTGTCAGATGTAGATTGTGAAGATTTTCTCACACTCTGTGGATTGTCTGTTTACTTTGCTGACTGTTACTTTTGCCATGCAACAGCTCTTTAGTTTAATTAGGTCCCAGCTGTTTTTTTTTTTTTTTTATTGCATTTGCTTTTGGGTTCTTGGTCATGAAATCCTTGCCTAAGCCAATGTCAAGAGGGGTTTTTCCAATGTTATCTTCTAGAATTTTTACAGTTTCAGGTCTTAGGTTTAAGTCCTTAATACATCTTGAGTTGATTTTTGTATAAGGTGAGAGCTGAGGATCCAGTTTCGTTTTCTTACATGTGGCTAGCTAATTATCCCAGCAACATTTGTTGAAAAGAGTGTTCTTGCCCCCCTTTATGTTTTTGTTTGCTTTGTTGAAGATCAGTTGGCTGTAAGTGTTTGGGTTTATTTCTGGGTTCTCTATTCTGTTCCATTGGTCTATGTGCCTGTTTTTATACCAGTACCACACTGTTTTGGTGACTATGGCTCTATAATATAGTCTGAAATCAGGTAGTGTGATGCCTCCAGATTTGTTCTTTTTGCTTAGTATTGCTTTGGCTATGTGGGCTCTTTTTTGGTTCCATATGAACTTTATAATTGTTTTTTTCTAATTCTGTGAAGAATGATGGTGGTATTCTGATGGTGATTGCATTGAATTTGTAGATTGCTTTGGCAATATGGTCATTTTCACAATATTGATTCTACCCATCCATGAGCATGGGAAGTGTTTCCATTTGTTTGTGGTGTCTATGATTTCTTTCTGCACTATTTTGTAGTTCTCCTTGTAGAGGTCTTGAGGTCTTTTGACTCCTTTGTTAGGTATATTCCTAAGTATTTTATTTTTTTTTGCAGCTATTGTAAAAAAAAGTTGAGTTCTTGATTTGATTCTCCGCTTGGTTGCTGTTGGTGTATAGAAGAGCTACTGATTTGTGTACATTAATCTTGTATCCGGAAACTATGCTGAATTCTTTTATCAGTTCTAGGAGCTTTCTAGAGGAGTCCTTAGGATTTTCAAGGTAAACAATCATATCATCAGCAAACAGTGACAGTATGACTTCCTCTTTACTGATTTGGATGCCCTTTATTTCTTTCTCTTGTCTGATTGCTCTGGCTAGGACTTCCAGTACTATGTTGAAGAGGAGTGGTGAGAGTGGGCATCCTTGTCTTTTACCCCATGCTCACAGGGAATGCTTTCAACTTTTCCCCATTCAGTATGTTGGCTGTGGGTTTGTTATAGATGGCTTTTATTAAAGTATGTCCCTTGTATGCCAATTTTGCTGAGAGTTTTAATCATAAAGTGATGCTGGGTTTTGTCGAATGCTTTTTCTGCATCTATTGACATGACCATGTGATTTTTGTTTTTAATTCTGTTTATGTGGTGTATCACATTTATTGACTTCTATATGTTAAACCATCCCTGCATCCCTGGTGTGAAACACACTTGATCATGGTGGATTATCTTTTTGATATGATGTTGGATTTGGTTAGCTAGTATTTTGTTGAGGATTTTAGCATCTACATTCATCAAGGATATTGGTCTGTAGTTTTCTTTTTTAGTTATGTCCTTTCCTGGTTTTGGTATTAGGGTGATGCTGGCTTCACAGAATGAATTATGAATTATTAGGGAGGGTTCCTTCTTTCCCTATCTTGTGGAATAGTGTCAAAAGGATTGGTACCAATTTTTCTTTGAATGTCTGGTAGAATTCTGCTGTGAATCCGTCTGGTCCTGGACTTTTTTTTTGTTGTAATTTTTAAATTACCACTTCAATCTTGCTGCTTGTTATTGGTCTGTTCAGGGTATCTAATTCTTCCTGATTTAAGATAGGAGGGTTGCATTTTTCCAGTAATTTATTCATCTCTTCTAGGTTTTCTAGTTTATATGTGTAAAGGTGTTCATAGTAGCCTTGAATGATCTTTTGTATTTCAGTGGTGTCAGTTGTAATAGCTCCTGTTTCATTTTCTAGTGAGGTTATTTGGATTTTCTCTCCTTTTCTTGGTTAATCTTGGTAATGGTCTATCAATTTTATTTATCTTTTCAAAGAACCAGCTTTTTGTTTCATTTATCTTTTGGTCTTTTGTTTGTTTGTTTCAATTTCATTTTGCTCTGCTCTGATCTTGGTTATTTCCTTTGGGTTTGGGTTTGATTGGTTCTTGTTTCCCTAGTTCCTTGAGGTGTGACCTGTTTGTGCTCTTTCAGACTTTTTGATGTAGGCATTTAGGGCTATGAACTTTCCTCTTAGCACCGCCTTTGCTGTGTATCCCAGAGGTTTTGATAGGTTGTGTCATTACTGTCATTAAGTTTGAAGAATTTTTAAATTTCCATCTTGATTTCGTTTTTGACCCAATGCTCATGCAGGAGCAGGTTATTTAATTTCCATGTATTTGCATGGTTTTGAAGGTTCCTTTTGGAGTTGATTTCCAGTTTTATTCCACAGTGGTCTGAGTGAGTGCTTGATATAATTTCAATTTTCTTAAGTTTATTGGGGCTCATTTTATGACCTATCTTATGGTCTATCTTGGAGAAAGTTCCATGAGCTGTTGAATAGAATGTGTATCCTGTGGGTTTTGGATGAAATGTTCTGTATATATCTGTTAAGTCCATTTTTTCCAAGGTATAGTTTAAATCCATTGTTTCTTTGTTGAATTTCCCTCTTGATGACCTGTCTAGTGCTGTCAGTGGAATATTGAAGTCTCCCACTATTATTGTGTTGCTGTCTATCTCATTTCTTGGGTCTATTAGTAATTGTTTTATAAGTTTGGGAGCTCCAGTGTTAGGTGCATGTATGTTTAAGACTATGATATTTTTCTGTCGGACAAAGCCTTTTACCATTATATACTGTCCCTCTTTGTCTCTTTTAACCACTGTTGCTTTAAAGTTTGTTTTGTCTGATATAAGAAGAGCTACCCCTGCTCGCTTTTGGTGTCCATTTGCATTAAATGCCTTTTTCCACTGCTTTAAGTTTATGTGAGTCCTTATGTGTTAGGTGAGTCTCCCAAAGGCAGCAGATGGTTGGTGAGTTCTTATCCATTCTGCGGTTCTGTACCTTTTAAGTGGAGCATTTAGGTCATTTACATTCAATGTTAGTATTGAAATGTGAGGTACCGTTACTTTACTTTCGTAGTGCTCTTTCTTGCCTATGTACTTTGGTTTTGTTTTGTGTTTTTGCTTTTTAACTTGTATTTTTGCATTATGGGTACTGTGTGATTTATGCTTTAAAGAGGTTCTGTTTTGATGTGTTTCCAGGATTTCTTTCAAGATTTACAGCTCCTTTTAGAAGTTCTTGTAGTGGTGATTTGGTAATGGCGAATTATCTCAGCATTTCTTTGTCTGAAAACGGCTTATCTTTCGTTCACATACGATGCTTAGTTTCACTGGATACGAAATTCTTGGCTGATAATTGTTTTGTTTGAGGAGGCTGAAGATAGGTCCCCAATTCCTTCTAGCTTATAGGGTTTCTGCTGAGAAGTCTGCTGTTAATATGGTAGGTTTTCCTTTATAAGTTACCCTGTGCTTCTGTCTCATGGCTCTTGATTCTTTCCTTCATCTTGAGTTTGGATAACCTGATGACAACGTGCCTAGGGAAAGATCTTTTTGTGATGAATTTCACAGGTGTTCTTTGTGCTTCCTGTATTTGGATGTTTAGGTCTCTCACAAGGCTGGGGATATTTTCCTTGATTACTCTCCCGAGTATGTTTTCCAGGCTTTTAGAATTCTCTTCTTCCTCGGATATACCGATTATTCTCAGGTTTGGTTGTTTAACATAATCCCAGACTTTTTGGAGGCTTGTTCATATTTTCTTATTCTTTTTTCTTTGTCTTTGTTGGATTGGGTTAATTCAAAGACCTTGTCTTTGAGCTCTGAATTTCTTTCTTCTACTTGTTCATATCTATTACTGAGACTTTCTAGAGCATTTTGCATTTCTAAAAGTGTGTCCAAAGTTTCCTGAATTTTTGTTTTTTCATTAAGCTATCTATTTTCTTGAGTGTTTCTCCCTTCACTTCTTGTATCATTTTTGGATTTCCTTGCCTTGGGCTTTGCCTTTCTCTGGTCCCTCCCTGATTAGCTTAATAACTAACCTCCTGAATTCTTTTTCAGGTAAATCAGGGAATCTTCTTGGTTTGGATCCATTGCTGGTGAATTAGTATGATTTTTTGGGGGTGTTGAAGAGCCTTGTTTTATCATGTTACCAGGGTTGGTTTTCTGGTTCCTTCTCATTGGGGTAGGCTCTGTCAGAGGGAAGGTCTAGGGATGAAGGCTATCGTTCAGATTCTTTTGTTCCACGAAGTGTTCCCTTGATGTAGTATTCTCTCTCTTTTCCTATGGATGTGGCTTCCTGTGAACCAAATTGCAGTGATTGCTGTCTCTCTTCTGGGTCTAGCCACCCAGCAAGTCTACTCAGCTCTGGGCTGGTAGTAGGGGATGTCTGCACAGAGTCCTGTGATGTGAACCATCTATGGGTCTCTCAGCTGTGGATACCAGCACCTGTTCTGGTGGAGGGTGCAATGGACTCCGTGAGGATCCTTAGTTTTGGTGGTTTAATACCCTATTTTTGTGTTGGTTGGCCTCCTGCCAGGAGGTGGTGCTTTCCAGAAAACATCAGCTGTAGTAGTGTGGAGAGAGACTGGTGGTAGGTGGGGTCCTAGAACTCCCAAGATTATATGCCCTTTGTCTTCCACTACCAGGGTGGACAGGGAAGGACCATCAGGTGGGGGCAGGATTAGGCATGTCTGAGCTCAGACTCTCCTTGGGCGGGTCTTGTTGCGACTGCTGTTGGGGATGGGGGAAGAGATTCCTAGGTCACTTGAGTTGTGTACCTAGGAAGATTATGACTGCCTCTGCTGAGTCATGCAGGTTGTCAGTAAAGTGGGGGAAAGCCGGCAGTCACAGGCCTCACTCAGCTCCCACACAAACTGAAGGGCTGGTCTCACTCCCATGGTCTCACTCCCACCGTGCCCCTCTCACAACTCTGAGTCTGTTTCCAGGCCACAGGCGGGCAGCAGGCTTGCCCCAGGCTATCCGCCTCCCAGCTGCAAGAGAAAAGGGCTTTAGTTTTCCCCCTGCCGGTGAAGTCTGCATGCAGGATTTGCACCCTACCTTGAGTTCTGGTCAGGAGGCTTCTCACCCTGTTCAAATTGTTACAAAGTTCAGCTAGAGAATTCCTTCTCCCTGGGGAGTTTTATCCCCTGCTCCTCTGGCCACCCTCCCAATGGATCCCTGTGGTGCCAGGCAGGAATGGCCTGCTTGGGGACCCAGCAAACTCCCAGGGCCTTTCTGCTGCTTCCTCTACCCCTGTTATTTCGCTTGCCTCTCTAACTTGACTCAGCTCCAGGTAAAGTTGGAAACTTCTCCTGCAAACAGACCTTCAGCTTCTCCAGTGGGGGTGTGTGTTTGGGAGAGGAGGGTCTCCCTTTCCCATTTCTGCAGTTGGGGCACTCCCAATATTTGGGGTTTCTCCCGGGTGCTGCAGGAGCAGTCCGCTTTCTTCAGAGGGTCTGTGGGTCCTCTTGAGATTGCTGATTTTTTCTTGCAGTCAGTCTGGAGCTAACATTTGCAATCAAGCCTCCGCATGTTGCCCGGTCTGGAGCTTCAGTCTAGTCCTGCCTCCCGTCTGCCATGATCCCTTCTGTGATGCCATCAATTTATTTTTTCCCTTCTGTGATGTCATCAATTTATTTTTAAGTGTGTGTGTTGTTTTCTTTTTCTTTTTTTTTTTGAGAGAGTCTTGCTCTGTCACCCAGACTAGAGTGCAATGGCGCAATCTCATCTCATGGCAACCTTTACCTCCCAGGCTCAAGCGGGCCTCCTGCCTCAGTCTCCTGAGTAGCTGGGACTCACAGGCGTGCACCACTACAACTAGTAAATTTTTGTATTTTTTGTAGAGATGAGGTTTCTCCATGTTGCAGTTGTTTTACTTCTATGGGACTGATCCCTCTGCTTTTTAAGATTTTTCCCCAGCTGCACAATCTATATCTTTAGAACTTGATATGCGGCAGCGTTTCATAGATGTGTTATGGAAACAAAGAGTCACTGTTAATCAACACAGCTTCTTGAGAGCAAGAAGCTATTGAAACATCAGTTACTAGAGATTCCCAATGTGCCCAGTCACTGCGATAGATATTATGGTGAAACACATTTCAACACGTATAGTACAATGTGATGGATATGTACAAACATGTTCAAAATACTTATGGAAGGGCAAAGGAACAAGTAACTAGTAACTAACTCATCTGTATGGTATCATAGAAAGTTGTATGTATTAAGTAACATTTGTGTCTTGAAGAAAATGTAAGTCTTTTTTTTCTTTTTTTTTTTTTTTTGAGAAGGAGTCTCGCTCTTTTGCCTAGGCTGGAGTGCAGTGGCGTGATCTCGGCTCACTGCAAGCTCTGCCTCCCAGGTTCTGGCCATTCTCCTGCCTCAGCCTCCCGAGTAGCTGGGATTACAGGCATGAGCCACTGCACCTGGCCAAAGGAAATGTAAGTCTTAAAGTGGCAGAAGTATCCCAGGGAAAAAAGAACAGCATGCATATATGTAAGGAGAGAGGTATGACTTGGAATGGACATGCAGCATGTCCAAGGAACTGCAGGCAATTTGATGTGTCTGTAGTAGCATGCTTAGGGAGTGGTAGTGTGTCATGGGAGACAGACTAGAAAAATAGGCGGAGACCAGATCATAAAGAATTTGTGTATCATACTAACTTGTTTAGGTTGCCAACTAGTGCCACAGATGCAATACTAAAGCATTAAATCAATTTGTTTCCTAATTAACATCTCAAATAAAACTATATGAATAGTAGAGAGAAAATTACAGATTGACCTTACTCACCTTTCAACACTATTGAGATAAGAGGATCCATCATGGCCTCCTACTGCATATAACAGATCATCAAGAACACTGACCCCAACTCCGCATCTCCTTTTGCTCATTGAAGCCACCATTCTCCATTCATTGGTCTGTGGATCATATCGTTCAACACTGGAAATGGCATCTCCACTGCACCAACCACCAACTGGGGAAGTAACAGAAATGGTCAAGAGAATCCTATCCTGAAGCATAAAATGTAACACTCACTACTAACTTCACTGTGACCTAATGCTTAGACTCACCAAATGTCTCTAGTAGTAGGTCAAAATGCAAGTTATGACTTCAACTCATTCCACTGGGATTGCTATAATCTTTAATCAATTCTGTAAATAAGTTAGTATTACGTCTATTTTACAAAGGAAGGCAATGATACCAATTCACATAGGATTATGAGATAATATGTATATATGGATAGAATGGAGAAATTATAGATGGATATGCATAGAATGGAGAAATAAATTATAATTGTTTAATGTTTTTTCACAATTCCATGTGATTATGGGATGAGCTGCACATTGATATATAAATTAATGCATGTGACTCATTTCAACAAAACATCTACTGCACGACATTTTTATTTTTTATTTTTTGAGACAGGATCTTGTTCTGTTCCCCAGGCTGGAGTACAGTGGTGCAATCACAGCTCACTGCAGCCTTGACCTCCTAGGCTCAAGCCATCCTCCTGTCTCAGCCTCCCAAGTAGCTGGGACTACAGACATGCACTACCACACTCAGCCAATTGTTTTTCTTATTTTTTGTAAAGATGGGGCCTCCCTATATTGCCCAGGCTGGTCTCAAACGCCTGGCCTCCAGAAAGCTGTATAGGCATGAGCCACTGTGACCAGCCAACATTTTTGGATTTATATAAAAATAGATATTAAAGGTGTTGAATGAGAAAAAAGAATAGAGCACTCTTTTGGAGTATATCAGTGTGGAATCATGGGTTATGAGTCAAGCTATATGCTGACTTATTATTTGTGTCTTATGACAGTAAATATCATAATTGTCCAAAGGATTTTTCAAATGACAGTTTCTCACCTGGGAAAATACTCAATTTACTAACAGTATATTAAGATCCAAACCTGCAAAGAGTACTTCCCCACATCGGATAGGTTTCCGTGGTCTCGTCCTTGGTCCTTGCATTAGTGGTCGTTCTTGCGGCAATAGGAGGTAGTTTTTAGCCTCATCTACCAAGTCTCTGTAGAAAAAATTCTGCCTTTATTCCAAATATCTAAATTACATTGTTAGTTAAGTCCCAATGTAGTTTAGGAATATATAGGTTGGCAAAGGGAAGCAAGCATAAATCAAACCAAATCATGAATGCCAGCCAATATTAAAATTGGCACAAACATGAAACCAATAATGCCAGTCAAACTGAGTTGTGAATTGATTGGTATTTCCATCATGACTCATGTCTCACTGCAAATTTAGCCTAAAGCTCAACATGCTTACAGCCAACAATAACTTATAGAAAAGTAAAAATTACAATTTGATTACCACACTGCAGAGTTACTACTTTTTAATAAATTTTATTAGATTCTGCAAGATATTAGCAAGGTAGCACATCAGCCAGGGCAATAGTTATTTGCTAGATTAAAGTAATAAAACTGGGTCAAAAATCGGATTGCTGAAAAGAAACACTGTACTGCCACAAATTTGCTATCTGGTAACATATGAATGGTTTACTCTCAACAAGTCTACCGAGACATATTTCCTGTCTTGTTAAGACACTTTAAGAGAAGAGTCTAGTAATTACACATGTAATGACTTTGCAGTGGCTCACGCCTGTAATCCCAGCACTTTGGGAGGCTGAGGGGCGGTGGATCATGAGGTCAAGAGATTGAGACCATCCTGGCCAATATGGTGAAACCCCGTCTCTACTAAAAATACAAAAAGTAGCTGGGTGTGGTGGTACGCGCCTGTAGTCCCAGCTACTCAGGAGGCTGAAGCAGGAGAATCGGTTGAACTTGGGAGGCAGAGGTTGCAGTGAGTCGAGATTGCACCACTGCACTCCAGCCTGGCAACAGAGCGAGACTCCGTCTCAAAAAAAAAAAAAAAAAAGACAAAGACTTTGATCTCCTAATAGCTTGTTAGGTCATTTGAGGGTTCCTACAAATAATACTATAGAGCTATAATATTGAGCAAACCAACACAAAATTAATGGTAGTAACAACACTTACAGCTATGTGCTAGTCCTGGTTTTAAGTGCTTAATAGATATAAACTCATTTAATCTTCACAACAGCCTTATGGAATAGGCACTATTATCATCCTCACTTTATAGAGGAAGAAACTGCAGCAAAAAGAAGTTAGGATATCAGGAAGGGTCTTCTTTTAAATATGACTTCATAAGTACTTTTACTTTCTGCATCAGAATCAGTACAATACAATCTGATTTACTTTTAATGGAGGAGGGCATCTATGTATTATTTCTTCAGATTTCAGCATGTATAATGTACATGGTTTTCCTTTTTGCTACTGCAAATATTTAGGAGAATTAATTGCCATTTGTCTGTGTGTTTTTTTTTTTTTTTTTTGAGACTGAGTTTCACTTTTGTTGCCCAGGCTGGAGAGCAATGGTGTGATCTTGGCTCACCGCAACCTCCACCTCCCAGGTTCAAGCAATTCTCCTGCCTCAGCCTCCTGAATAGCTGGGATTACAGGCATGCACCACCATGTCCAGCTAATTTTTGTATTTTTAGTACAGATGCAGTTTCTCCATGTTGAGGCTGGTCTCGAACTCCTGACCTCAGGTGATACACCCACCTCGGCCTCCCAAAGTGCTGGGATTACAGGCGTGAGCCACTGCGCCCGGCCTGTCTGTGTTTTAAATATAGAATACAAAAATCTAGTTTAACTCTAGTCTATGGTAAACTGAAAAATGAAGAATGATTAATATAAAAAAGATACAATAAAATAAAATAGAAACATCTAAAATCCCCTCCAGCCTCTCCTGTTAAAAGAACAGGCTTTAGTTTATAGAAGAAATGCAAGTGAATCTACATGTCCTACCACCATTCTAGAATCAGGGATCATTCTAAATGTCTTTAATCACCAAGGGAGGTTCAAAGGTCAGTGTAGTTTACAAAGTTCTGAGTATGGATTTTCTCTTTCACTTTTATATTTGGGACATGCTGGGGAAAAATGGTTAACAATCCCAGATGATTTCAGATTTGAACCTAAATCTTACAATCTGTCAAATTGGGAATGTAATTTATTACATTTTGTATATACTTTAAAGACAGCCTAGTAAAATAGGTTGCTTTTTTCCCCCCCTTTGAAAAAGTAGTTAAGAGTTTCTTTCGTCAAAAAACCTCTGGAAACTGCTTCACCTAGTTTTAGTGAAAATCTTTCTACAGCTGTTTTAGAAAGTGGCAGATCTTCAACTCTGTCCACAATTTAGAAAGCAAGGCTGATTCTATTCCCCAACCAGACATATGTGATGGAAGGAAAAAATGTTCATTGACAGAGTCAACAGCATTATTTAATTATCTCAAGGAAAAAAAAAATATTAGCAGAGAATTGACTCTTTAAATTCAAGCCTGCATTAAAATCTTGGAAATCTACCTTTTTATTGCCACTTCTACACCAGTAAGCACCACACATAAAAACCTAATGGAATGAAACACTGGAAGTTCAGTTCTCTCTTCTTCTTTTCCTCCTCTTGACTCTAGCCCAGAAGAAAACCTTGTTAAATTAAAGCCCTGGTTTCAGCTCTGCAAAATACAATATTTAGGAAGCAATACAAATAAGGAAATTAGGAAAAAATAGGAATGCTTAGTTGTTGATTTTTCCCATCCAGGGTCACTCATACCTGCATTCTTCATCACTTTTGATGAGGGGATCAGAGCCTACTGTGCCGACCAGGAACTTGGGACTAAGCAAAGGCAAACGAACATGCTGCAGCACCTATGAGAAAATAAACACCATTATTTTAATTAATTAATTTTGAGATAGGTCTTACTCTGTTGCCTAGGCTGGAGTACAGTGGCATGATCGTAGGTCACTGCAGCCTCAATCTCCTGGGCTCAAGTGATGTGCCTACCTCAGCCTCCAGAGTAGCTGCAACTACAAGTGCATGCCACCATGCCCAACAAATTTTTGTATTTTTTTTTTTGTAGAAACGGGGAATCACCACGCTGCCCAGGCTGGTCTCAAACACCTGAGCTCAAGTGATCTGCCTGCCTTATCCTCCCAAGTGCTGGGATTATGGGCTTGTACCACTGCACCCAGCCAATAAACACTATTAAAGGCATGAGCTCTCATCTATAAGCTATTTAAGAGAATACATGACCCATGGTACCCTACTGTGCTTCCAATTGTTTTGGGATCTCACCGAATACCATAAATAAGGAAGGAAGGAAGGCATAACTACTAAAAACGTTCAGCAAGACATTATAAGCTCTTCTATAGCTGGACTCAAATTAATTCACAATCCAGAAGAATATCTTGTTGAATTGCTAAAGACTATAATCACAATAACAAGAATGGGTCTTAAGTGAACTACTGATCACTCAGTGATGACTGATGCATCATGTCTTTACTCTTGAAAGTGTGGTAGTATTTCCAAGTCATATTGAAGGAAAACTGGTAGGATTTCCAAGCTATAGGAAAAGAAGCATCCTTGCTTTCTTTTGTTCATTTTATACAATTTAAGTTTTGAATTGTGCTATCATTCAAAAGTAGAATTGATCCAAAATACGGGGAAAGCAAAGGAGCAAAAAGCCCACATTAATAAGCAACCAAAATGCTTCTAAATACTTATTTCCTTGATTATTTGGAAACAGATGGACTTTCTTACAGACGAATGTGGAGTGATAACTGTTTTATGTTTGCAAGACAAATACGTATTATCTCATCTAGTACTAAGCAGTTTTTTTTTTTTTTGAGATGGAGTCTCGCTCTGTCGCCAGGCTGGAATACAGTGGCACGATCTCGGCTCACTGCAATCTTCGCCTCCTGGTTTCAAGTGATTCTCCTGCCTCACGCTCCCAAGTAGCTGGGACTACAGGCGCCCGCCACAATGCCTAGCTAATTTTTGTATTTTTAGTAGAGACAGGGTTTCACCATGTTGGCCAGGATGGTCTCGATCTCTTGACCTTGTGATCCACCTGCCTTGGCCTCCCAAAGTGCTGGGATTACAGTCATGAGCCACCATGCCCGGTCAGCAGTTTCTTAGAGAAGAATTTCTATCATTACCTGGGGTAATTGAGGACGTCTTTCCTGAATACTGTATTTGACCCAGGCCATCACTGCATTGAACACTTGTTCTTCACTGCGAACGTTTAGCTCATCACTGGATATTATATCAATGAGTTGATTGGCTGGAAGCAACATGAACTCTTCACTCTCCATTACCTGTTCAAAGTTAGGTAAGAAGAAAAAAAAATCCTGTGATCACATTTATTGTCTCAGTGTTTTTCTTCAGGGTTATGGGACAAAGCTGTATTCTACAATGCGCTGAAGTTTCAAACGATACCAGAGGAAAGGAAAAATTTGAAAAGAGAACAAAGGAAGGTACAGAAGACACCATTAAAATTTAGTAAAAATAATCATTTGTGAGTCAAGCAATTTAAGAAAAATGACTTAAAAAATAAAAGATCAAAATAAAAATTTATATTCAAAATAAGACAAATTAACTATATCAAACTATAACTCCAGATATATAAGGCATATAAAAAGTCAGAAAAAGCTTGCAGAAGATTAGTTGCTGAATAGGCAGTGTCTAGGGCAGAAAAACCAAGGGGTCAGTTTCAAAAAAGAATAAGAGTGTCAGCAATTCTGTAAACAAGAATGAATATAATGAGGAGAGTATTAGACCAGTGAAAAAACTCTGACGATCAAACTCTCTAATATATATGCTAGTGAGAATCTACAAACACCAATAATTTATCTTTACCCAAGGCTAGGCAACTGTCAGAATGGAGATGAAACGGCAACAAGGATATTACCTTGTTGTACAGGCCAGCCACCTATTCCAAGGCCTTGTAATTCCATTCATCAGAATGTAGAGTAAAAGGGACAGGGTGCAACGCAGAGGAAAGAAACAGTCACTCCTACCCTTCACGTGGTTTGTTATATTATTACTCACGAGACTGTACTACATGTGATGTCTATTAGTGCAGGCAGTACCTCTAATGAAGTTGATGGATTCTCTTGGGACAGGGTTATAATCATGCTCATCAAAAAGTCAGAATATTTAGCAGAATATGCAATAGGTCATAAAAATAATTTAAATATTTTATTAAGAATGTTTTCCTTAGCCAAGTGTGGTGGCTCATGCCTGTAATCCTAGCAATTTGGGAGGCTGAGGCAGGAGAACTATTTGAGCTCAGGAATTCGAGACCAGCCTGGGCAACATAGTGAGAACTTATTTCTACAAAAATAAAAAATAAAAAAATTAGCTAAGGCTTGGTGTGGTGGCTCATGCCTGTAACCCCAGCACTTTAGGAGGCTGAGGCAGGCAGATCACTTGAGGTCAGGAGTTTGAGACTAGCCTGGCCAACATGGTGAAACCCTGAGGCAGGAGAATCACTTGAACGCGGGAGACAGAGGTTGCAGTAAGCCAAGATTGCGCCATTTCACTTCAGCCTGGGCAACAGAGTGAGGCTCCATCTCAAAAAAAAAAAAAAAGAAAAAGAAAAATTAGCCGGACATGGTGGTGCGTGCCTGTAGTCCCTTCTACTCCAGTGGCTGAGGTGAATGGATCACTTGAGCCCAGGAGGTCAAGGCTGCAGTACGCCGTAGGTGTACCACCATCACAGCACTCTGGCCTGAGAGACAGGTGAGGCCATATCACCAAGAAAATAAATAAATAAATAAATATTCTCGAGTGCATTAGGAAAAAATACAAATCTCAAAACAGTAAAGGGCCATAAGGCCAGTTATATTTATAGCAGAAATAATAATGAATGCTTCAATTTTTATGGCATAAATCTGCAAACCATCTGAGTGAGAGACTTTCTGAGGTTCAGGAAATTAAATAGTTACCCTTTAAATTTTAGCTGAGGTTGCTTAGGTAATTTAGTAATTAGAATGGTTGCATTTTTTTCTCTGTGGTAGGGCGGCTTAGTTTGGCAAGCAAAAATACAAGACATACTTATACTATAAATTACTTGTTTATCTGGAATTTAAATTTAATTGGGTGCCCTGTATTTTATCTGTTAACCTTGTGTTGAGGGACTATAAAGTCCAGCGCTAAATTTGGGGCTTAGCTCTAGTAAGTGCATTGGTCTTCACAGCATGCAAAAGTTTAGTCATGACTGCATCTTGCTTTCCTCTTATTTTTCTCTGTGATTTCTTCACTTAAGTATGGTATTGTGTATCTTTGTGAAGTGCCTAAACATTTTTTTAAATTTCATCAGAGTATAAACCAAATGTTATATAAATATCAATGATCACCAAGTTTGAAGTTTATGAATAATCTACTAAGGTGTTAACTCATTTAATGGAAACGCAAGATGACATGAAGATATGAAAATTTGGGTGAGAAAATATTTGGCACTAAGAGCAGAGAGTAAAAATAATACTTTTGATAGACATGCCTGGCTAAAATGCTACCTCTCCTTTTCCCCCACCAGTAAAACGATATTAATGATATGCCATTTGGGCAGATCTAGCACTAAAGTCTATCCTTGAATCAAATAACCAAGTTAAGAAAATAATGCTTCACAATATCTACTCTTAAATAAGAGTTTAGAGGCGATCTGAACTCTAAGCCCCACACGATTATGGTAATCAGTTTACTTTTAGTTTCTTCAGATGAATGTAGATGCTATTTGAAGAATGAATAAAGCTGAAAACAAACACGAATGACTAAGCAAAGTCATCTGGAATTGTTCTAACAAGTATATGGTGAACTTAATTGTTGAGTTTAGACAATTTAAAAATGTATGTTTATGAGCAGAGCAACACTGTATGAATTAAGCTAGGTCTAATGAAGTAGGAGAAAATTAAATACAGATTTGATTAAGTTCAAAAATAATTTAAATGAGTCACAAATGTTAAGCTCCAAATGACTTTTTTTGCACCTACATGGAGCCATGCTAGTCCGATAAACAAGGGTAAGATTTCCTTACTGGGATTTCAATATGGTATGTATCAGGTTCACTTTGGAGGAAGGATTAGAACTAGAAGGGATTTCAGAACTTTCTCTACTATCAAGAATATTCTTCAGATATTTGTGAATATCTTAGATCTGAAACGCAACTTATAGTTAGAGCAAGACATTAAAAAAAATTTTAAGTGTATAGCTCAATGAGTTCTGATAAATTATATACTCATGTAAACATGACCACAATCAAGATACAGAATATTACCATAATCCAAGAACGTTCTGAAGCAGAGAATTCTTTTTTTTTTCTGATTTTTTAAATTATACTTTAAGTTTTAGGGTACATGTGCACAATGTGCAGGTTAGTTACATATGTATACACATGCCATGTTGGTGTGCTGCACCCAGTGGGGTCCAAAGCCTAATTTAGCATATTGTTTTGGAGCTCCTCAGTGATGGCAAATCTTTATTTTTGGAAAGTGGATTTGGTATTTGAAAACAGTGGGAAGAAATGAAGAGACAAGTCTGTTATCAAGGCATCTAAAGAAGTTAGATTATTTTCAATGAGAAATTAAATGTGAGTATAAGATAATGATTCTATCAACATTAATTAATAATATAAACCACACTTAAGTCATAGTATTTCCCCTTTTATACTTTGTTGGAATTAATTTACTAATAGTTAAGAATTTTTGTATCTAAGATCATGAGAGATACTGATCTGTAGTTTTCTTTTAGTGTCTGTGGTTTCAATCAGGGCAATTCTGGCCTTATAAAATGAGTTGGTAACTTCATTCTCCTTTTCTGAAAGACTTTGCATAGGATTAGTGTTATTTCTTCTTTACATTTTTGATAAATTCACCATCTGGGACTGGCATTTTCTTTGTGAGAAGGTTTTTAAATTATTAATTCAATTTATTTCATAGATATAGGGTTATTCTGTTTTTCTGTTTCTTCTTAGTTTTTGTAATTTGTGTTTTCTTCAGAGAATTTGCCTATTTCATCTCTGAATTTATAGGTAAAATGTTGTTCATAATATTTCCTCATCATCCTTCTTATGTATAAAGAATTTGTAGTGATATCTTCTCTTTCATTTCTGTTACTGGTAACTTGTGTCTTCTTTCCTTTTTTTTCTTGATCAGTATGGAGATGGAGTTTCATCATTTTTTTTTTTTTAAAGAGCTCTTGGTTTTTATTCTAATCTTTATTATTTTCTTCCTTCTACTGTGGGTTTAATTTGCTCTTTTCTAGTTTGTAAAAGTAACCAGTGGAACAAAAATATAAACTTTCCTATATACCAAAAGAAATTAAAATAAAAAGCAAAGAAGATTCCACATAGAAAAAGAAATACAGTAAATATAACTGAATCAGGTACTATTTATAAAAATATGATAGAGTTGAAAACAAACATATCAGTCAGAGCAATAAATGCAAATGGGCTTAAATTGCCTATTTAAAGGAAAGGATTTCAAATCTGCTCATAAAGCAAAACTCAGTTCCACACTAATTCAAGAAAATTACTTAAAACATCATATTTTGAACAGGCTAAAAGTAATGGGAAGAACAAATATATACAGTCAAATGGAAACAATAAGAAAACGAGTTGAAATCCAGATATCAGACAAACTAGAACTTAGACAACAAATGAATTAAATCTGACAAGGGAGAACACTTTACAAAGCTCAAAGTCACAATTTATCATCAAGACATAAAGTTATGATTATGCATAAGGCAACACAGTAACTACCTATAGATGATATAAAGAGAAATAGACACACTGATAATAAGAGACTTTAACACACAGGTCCAAGGACAAAAAAGGAATATAGAAGAGCCAAGCGACATAATCAATAAGGTATATCTTATGCATACATATCAAATACTATATTATGAGAACAGAAACTAGAAAATACACATTTTTCTCAAGCACACATAAAATAGAAAAATTGATCATATATTAGGTTACCAAGAAAGCAAATTTCATAGAGTAGAATTACTGCAAACACTGATCAAAGTGCACTAAAACTAGCAATTAAAAATGAAATTAAAAAACACAAAAAACCCTTCCATCTAGAAATTAAAAAAAACTATTAATAGCTTTTGAGTTACAGAAATATAAACAGAATTTCTATAAAACAATGATAATGAAGCACTAAAGACTAGAATCAATTAAATATATTAAAACTAGTGATCCGAGAAGAATAGCTTTAAATACTTATAGTAGTTAATACAAAAGAATGAAAATAAATTAAGTCTCAACTCAAACAGCTAGAAAAAGAATAAGCCAAAAGAAAGTACAAGCAAGAAGATAATAAAGGTAAAACCAGAATGAAATACAATCAAGCAAAAAGGTAGATCTAATTAATAAGTAAAAAATCCTCTTTGTTTGAAAAAAGTTAAAATGGATTATTAGTTAACTTATTCAGGAAAGAAACATTAAAAACACACATACAAAATCAAAGTATTAAGGGTAAATAACCACTGCTACAGAAATTTAAAAATTAAAGAGATTACTTTGTATACCTCTATACAGATAAATTTGAAAACCTAGATGAAATTGGTAATTTTCTAGGGAAATACAGTTTACCCAAATTGATGCCTGAAAAGAAAGAAAATTTCATAGAAGAAACAGAAAAACTTAACAATAAATTACTTTACAAAAAAGCACGAAGCCTAGATGATTTCAGAGGGAAATTCTATCAAACTTTTACAGACCATAGTCTGCATAGTACATTTGTTTCAGAGCACAGAACATGAAGAAAACTTCCAACTCATTTTCATGAAGTATAATATTCATACTTAACTTGACAAAGACAGTACAAGGAAATTAAAGACTAATATCATTTATGAATATTGATGTAAAAATACTGAATATTAGCGAATAGATTCTAACACCACCATAATCAAAAGGTGTATGCCAATAATTCAAAGATGTTTTCACTTGTAGGATTCCATTAATGTAAGTTACATTAATGGGTTTAAGGAGAAAGTTCATATGATTATCTCCATAAAAACTGAAAAAGTCTTTGACAAAATTCAACACTGCTCCTAATAAAAAGTATTCAAGAGAATAGGAATTGTTGGACATGAATACTTTTTTTTTTTGGAGACAAAGTCTCACTCTGTTGCCCAGGCTGGAGTGCAGTGGCGCAGTCTCAGCTCACTGCAACCTCCGCCTCCTGGGTTCAAGCAAATACTTTCTAAACATGATAAAATATCTATACCTCAATCCTAAAGCCAGTATATTACTTAATGGGAAAACACCAGAGGCATTCCTACTAATGTCAGAAACAAATAAGTATGTACAATATTTCCATTACCATTTAACATTTTACTAGAGTTATCAAGCAACTAGACAAAAGAAAACAATTAGAAGCATGAACAATTGGAAAGGAAGAAATAAAACTACTGATATGCAGGTGATATAATAGGATTCCAAAAAAACTCTAAAGAATCAATGGTAAATGTAACACAAATAATTAAAAAATTCAGTGAGGCAGCTTTCATATACATTAATGATTACCAGTTAGAAGATATAATGGAGGAGAAAAACCTATTTTTGATAGCAACAAAAAATACTAAGAAGTGAATTTAAAAGGAAATGTAGGCTGGGTGGGGTGGCTCACACCTGTAATCTTAGCACTTTGGGAGGCCAAGGAGGGCGGATCATTTGAGGTCAGGCATTCGAGACCAGCCTGGCCAACATGGTGAAACCTTGTCTCTACTAAAAATACAAAAATTAGCCAGGCCTGGTGGTGCACGCCTGTAATCTCAGCTTCCCGGGAAGCTGAGGCAGGAGAATTGCTTGAACGGAGGTTGCAGTGAGTGGAGGTCACGTCATTGCACTCCACCCTGGGTGACACAGCCAGACTCCGTCTCAAAAAAAAAAAAAAAAAAAGAAAAAAGAAATGTATAAAAGTTAGATGAATAAAACCATAAAACGTTCCCAAGAGATACAAAAATACAATTGAAGAAATAAAATCTTGTTATTGGATAGGACAACTCAACATCATAAAATGACTGTTCTTAAGTTTACTTATAAATTAATATGATCCCAATAAATATGCCAACAAGTTATTTTATTGGAACTAGATAAGGTGACATTAAAGTTCATCTGGAAAAATAAATAGCAAGAAAGCTTGGAAAACAATGAAAAACAAAAGAGTTACATGATGGGGAGGGGTTTACTAGTCCTACCGCATACATACTAAAATTCATTATAAAACTTTAGTAATTAAGCCATAATAAATAGAAAACAGTATCATACTGGTATATGGCCTAGAACAGAAGGTCCAAAACCAAGTACATACAGAAATTTAGTGTATAATAAAGATGCTATCTGAAATCAGTGGGGCAAAGAAAGGCTTTTAAATAAACGGTATTTAGACTAGATGGCCATTTGGAAAAAGATAAAATTAGGTCCATATTTCACACCATACACAAAGATAAACTAAGACCATTTACATGCTAGAAAAAATATGTGTAAATTTCTCTGTAACCTGGGTTTGGGGACACCTTTCAAACTCTGCCTCAAAATCCAGATACCATAAAAGAAAAGACTGATACATTTGACTTTAAAAAAACCAAAAACTTTTGTATTATCAAAAATACAATAAGCAAACTTGAAAGACAAATGCAAACTGGAAAAAAATATTTGTGACATGTATCATGGATAAAAGGCTAACACTGTTAATATATAGAGAACTTTAAAAAATTGAAGAAAAAACCAAAAATCTTAATAGCAAAATGGGCAAAATACATTAAAACACAATTCACAAAAATTATACATATGGCCCTTAAAAATAGTAAAGATGTTCAACTTTAGTTATTTTCAGAGAAGTATACATTAAAATGATACTGAAATTCCCTTCTTATCTGTTAAATTAGCAAAAATTCCAAAGGCTGGCAATACAATCTGTTGGTGAGGCTGTGGACAAACATTTATCCTCATATATTACTGGTTAGAATGATTCAATCCCCATGGAAGAGAAATTGGTGATACTTAAATGAAGTTAAACTTAGGCCTTGCAATCCTATTTCTAGGAATTTATTCTAAAGATAAACTTCCAACAATATTGACATGTTCATATAAGATGTTATTCATTGCAGCATTATTTGTGATGGCAAAATATTTAAAGCTACCTAAATGCTCAAACATTGGAGACTGATTGAACCAACAGTGGTACATCCACACAAGGAGTACAATGCAGCTATGAAAAACAAGGACCATCTAAAACAACTAATATGGAATGAATTCCAGAAAATATTAAAAGGCAAGGTGCAACAAAATATATAGCATGCAAGAAAGACATAGAAATAGGAAAACATACATGTATTTAATTTTCCAAAAGGAAACACAAGACGGATAAACCAGAACCTACCATGCATCAAAATAATAAATAGCAACAAAGGACACTAATCTACTGAATAGAATAAGCCATGAGTCCACAGTGCTAATCAATGAATACGGGTTAAGAAAAATTCTTTCTTATAGCAGAATGTAGACAGAAAATGGAGTTTTTTTTTTTTTAAAATCACCACTTTGCAACCATCATAGTAAGTGTTCAGGAATAAAGGAATATGAAAGTAAAGGAGTAAAGGAATATAAAAGGAGTATAGGAGAATTCAGGAGTAAAGGAATATGATATTGGCAATATACTCTCCAATTACCCAGATAAAAATATTCATAGAGCAAGGAAAGAATGACAAGGTAAATGAGGCAAAATGTTAACAACTGGTGAATCTGGACAAAGCGTACATAAAAGTTTTGTCTTATTCCTGTGATTTCCTATAAATTTGAATATTTTTCAAATAAAGTTTAAATAGTATTTTTCCAATATAAGGCTAAAAAAGTGGTATTTTGTTTTGAAATATGTTTCTTTAATTATAGGTGAGGTTGAGCATCCTTTCATGTTTATTTTCCATTTGACCACCTTTTTTTTTTTTTTTACACATTCCTTATTATACCCTATGCTTATTTTTCCATTGTATTTTTCATGTTTTTTTTTCTGATTAAATTTGGATGAGCTCATGGGAATTACCATTTTTCTGTCATGTATGTTCCAAATAGATTTTCTGAGTTTGACATTGATTTTTTAGTTCATGATGCTTTTTATGTTGGAAAGAACAAAAAATTTTAACTTTTATGCAATCAAACCAATCTTTTTATGGTGTCTGGATTGCATCCTGCGTAGATTCTTCTGTAGTACCAAAATGTTTATAATGTTTTAATGTTTCTTAAGGCCAATGGGCCTAATACTATTAATAACTTTTACTTCAGCATATATATATGCTGAAATATACGTGTATATATACATATTTACATATATACACACATGTATATACATACATGTGTACATATGTATATGTACACATATACATACGATATATGCATATATATACACATACGTGTATATACATACACGTATATACACGTATGTGTATATATCTGCACGTATATATACGTATATATCCTTCTTAAAATAATCTCTTCCTTTGCATCTCACAACCCATGCTTGCTCTTTTCTTCTATCCTCTCTAAATATTCCCTGTTACCATTGCCAGTCACTTATCCCTCAATATTGGAAAAATTTTAGGGCTTTTTTCTTCTCTCTCCCTTTCTCAGATGATCTCATTGGTATTGATTTGTTGACCTTGTTTATGGTGCCAAACTGTTCCATTCTCCAGTACACCTGTAGTACAAATTTCCAGAAGTAGGAAGCTGAGTCAAAATAGTGTGTGTAAAAAGTATGTAACTTTGATAGATACCGCCGTAGTTCCTTTCAAAAGGGTTGTACTAATTTATACTCACACTAGCAATGATCTTATTTCCCACAGCCTTGCCAACAGGGTGTACAAAACTTCTGGATATTTGTAATCTGATAGATAAAAAATGTTACTTTGATGTAGTTTTGTGTTTTAGTTATTTTAAACAAGCATATTTCATATGTTTAAGGGGAATCTGAATTTCTTTTCTGTTTATGGCCCATTTTTCTGTTAGGTCATCGGTTTGTGTTATTGACCAACAGAAGCTCTTGACATAAGGAGATTAATGTCGTCTATGATACAAGTTACAATTTTTTTTATCCAAAATGTGTTTATCGAGATGGTTTCCCACTTATCTTGATTCAGAGTGCTTTTAGTGCTGCTTTCATCTGAAGGAACATCCTTCTTGTAAGCCTTGCTTTTCCTCCTGTAGGCTGGCAGAGGACAGTGGAGCAGCCAACACACAAAACTACAGTTTGTGCATGGCTAAAGACCATGGTGATTTTATAGCATCCTGGGCATTCCACATCCATGAAGTAGGAATTGGGGCTCTGAACCAGGCATTTCTTCTTGTGTTTCCTCTTCTCCTCTTCTGGAGAGGGATGAAGGAGATCCTTTGCAAGAGGCATGTTCTTGTGGGAAGGTCATCACCACCAGAAAGGACGATTTACAGATATTTTTCCCCAGCTTGGCTTTGACTTTTGTCTTGTAATTTTTATTTTGCTTTGTTTTACCATGCAGAAAATTTTGAATTGTATGTAGTCAAATCTATCAATTTTATCTTCTGTCTTTTCTGGGTTAGTCAATTAGAAAGACCTTTTTCACTTCAAGATTATAAAGAAATTGCTCCATATCATTGTGTAATATTTTCATGGTTTTATTTTGTATGTTTAAACGTTTGATCCATTGGAGGTCATCCTGGTGGACAGAAGGGTGGTATTAAAGTATAAAATAGAAAATATGTAAAAAATGGCAGATAGGAGGCAGGACTAACTTGCAGCCCCCAATTGGACAGACAGAACAGTGTGTGGAGATTCACACTGTGAACTTTTACTCCAAGAACCACCACAGGAACATACCAGGAAAACTGAAAATAATTCACAGATCCTTTGATAGAAGTGGCTTGCAGCTGCAAAATCTGAAAGCCAAAAAACTGTGAGTGCCCAAAAGTATGAGAAGGGCAAAGCCCACCTCTGAACACACATCCTCACTGGTGAACCTGAAAATCCAGATTATGGGAGAAGGATATAATCTTACCTACAGCTGAAGTGAATTTACTGACATATAAAAGTAGAAGCAACAGTAGGAAAAGCCCTGTAGGCAGTCCTGGTCCCTAGGGAAGCCATTTCTGACTTTATCTCACAGGGGTCCTTGGGGAGAACAGCCAGTGGAACTGGGGAAGGGCCATAGAAAGAAGGAGATTTCCAGGTAAACTGTGTAATAATTTGACTGAGTGCAAATTTTCCTGGGCAGAATCCGGGGGGGCAAATGAGAAGTGCAGATACGACACGGAAGCCAAAGCCACGGCAGACAGGGAGGGGCAAGGCCTGAAAGTCCTGCCTGCTTTCTCGGCGGGGAGAAATCAACTCCAGAAGGAATCTCAAAACCACGCAAATACATGGAAATTAAATAACCTGCTCCTGAAATGATCTTTGGGTCAACAATGAAATCAAGATGAAAATTAAAAAATTCTTTAAACTGACAATAATAGTGATACAACCTATCAAAACCTGTGGGATACAGCAAAAGCGGTGCTAAGAGGAAAGTTCATAGCATTAAATGCCTACATCAAAATTCTGAAAGAGTACAAATAGACAATCTAAGGTAAAACCTCAAGGAACTAGATAAACAAGAACAAACCAAACCCAAACCCAGCAGAAGAAAAGAAATGATAGGCCGGGCATGGTGGCTCACACTTGTAATCCCAGCACTTTGGGAGGCCGAGGCGGGTGGATCACGAGGTCAGGAGATCAAGACCACGGTGAAACCCCATCTTTACTAAAAATACAAAAAATTGGCCGGGCGTGGTGGCAGGTGCCTGTAGTCCCAGCTACTTGGAGAGGCTGAGGCAGGAGAATGGCGTGAACCCAGAAGGCGGAGCTTGCAGTGAGCCGAAATCGCGCCACTGCACTCCAGCCTGGGCAACAGAGCGAGACTCCATCATTAAAAAAAAAAAAAAAGAAAAAAGAAATGATAAAGATCAGAGCAGAACTAAATGAAATAAAACAGAAAAAATAGTACAAAAGAGAAATGAAAGAAAAGCTGGTTCTTTGAAAAGATATACAAAATGGATAGACCATTATCAAGATTAACCAAGAAAAGAAGAGAGAAGATCCAAATAAGCTCAATTAGAAACAAAATGGGGCTGGGCGTGGTGGCTCACGCCTGTAATCCCAACACTTTGGGACGCCAAGGTGGGCAGATCACCTGAGGTCAGGAGTTCGAGACTAGCCTGCCCAACATGGTGAAACCCTGTCTCTACTAAAAATACAAAAAATTAGCTGGGCGTGGTGGCAGGTGCCTGTAATCCCAGCTGAGGCAGAACAATTGCTTGAACCCGGGAGGCAGAGGTTGCAGTGAGCTGAGATTGCACCACTGCACTCCAGCCTGGGCGACAAGTGTGAAACTCCATCTCAAAAAAAAAAAAAAAAAAAAAAGGGAGATATTACAACCGATACCACAGAAATACAAAAGATAACTCAAGGCTACTATGAACATCCTTATGTGCACAAACTAGAAAACCTGGAGGAGATGGATAAGTTCCTGAAAATATACAACCCTCCTAAATTAAACCAGGAAGAAACAGAAACTCTGAACAGACCAATAACAACAGTGAGATTGAAATGACAATAAAAAAAATTGCTAACAAAAAAAAAGTCCAGGACCAGATGGATTCACAGCTGAAGTCTATCAGACATTTAAAGAAGAATTGGGCCAGGCGTGATGGCTCGTGCCTGTAATCCCAGCACTTTGGGAGGCTGAGGTGGCAGATTGCCTGAGCTCAGGAGTTCAAGACCAGTCTGGGCAAAACGGTGAAGCCCCATCTCCACTAACATACAAAAAATTAGCTGGGCGTGGTGGTGGGTGCCTGTAGTTCCAGATACTCGGGAGGCTAAGGCAGGAGAATCGCTTGAATGTGGGAGGTGGAGGTTGCAGTGAGCTGAGATCGTGCCACTGTACTCCAGCCTGGTCGACAGAGCAAGACTCCATCTCCAAAAAAAAACAAGACTTGGTACCAATCCTATGGACACTATTCCAAAAGACAGAGAAAGAGGGAATCCTCCCTAAATCATTCTATGAAGCCAGTATCACCCTAATACCAAAACCAGGAAAGAACATAACAAAGAAACAAAACTACAGACCAGTATCCCTGATGAACATAGATGCAAAAATCCTCCACAAAATAATAGCTAACTGAATCCAACAGCATATCAAAAAGATAATCCACCATGATCAAGTGGGTTTCATACCAGGGATGAAGGGATAGTTTAACATATGCAAGTCAATAATTGTGATATACCACATAAACAGAATTAAAAATAAAAATCATATGATCATTTCATTAGATACATAAAAAGCATTTGACAAAATCTAGCATCAATTTATGATTGAAATGCTCAGGAAAATCGGCATAGAAGGGACATACCTTAAGGTAATAAAAACCATCTATGACAAACCTGCAGCCAATATTATACTGAACAGGAAAAGTTGAAAGCATTCCCCCTGAGAACTGGAACAAGACAAAGATGCCCACTTTCACCACTTCTATTCAACATAGTACTTTAAGTCCTAGGCAAAGCAATCACACAAGAGAAAGAAATAAAGGGCATCCAGGACCAGGTGCAGTGGCTCATGCCTGTACTCCCAACACTTTGGGACACCGAGGCAGGTGGATTGCCTGAGCTCAGGAGTTTGAGACCAGCCTGGGCAACATGGCAAAACCGTGTCTCTACAGAAAAATACAAAAATTAGCCGGGCATGATGGTGCGCATCTGTAGTCCCAGCTACGTGGGGGGCTGAGGCGGGAGGATCGCTTGTGCCCTGGAGGTCAAAGCTGGGGGACAAAGCAAGACCTCATCTCTTATAACAAACAAACAAATGAAATAAAGAGCATCCAAATTGTTAAAGAGAAAGTCAAACTGTCGCTGTTTGCCGACAATATGATTGTATACCTAGAAAACCCTAAAGACTCATCCAAAAAGCTCCAAGAACTGGTAAATGAATTCAGTAAAGTTTCAGGGTACAAAATTAATGTACACAAACCAGTAGTACTGCTATACACGAAGAGCAACCAAGCTGAGAATCAAATCAAGAACCCAACCCCTTTTATAATAGCTGCAAAAAAAAAAAAAAAGATAAAATACTTAGGAATATATCTCACTACAGAAGTGAAAGGTCTCTACCAAAACACTGCTGAAAGAAATCATAGATGACACAAACAAATGGAAACACATCTCATGCTCATGAATGGGTAGAATCAATATTGTGAAAATGTCTATACAGCCAAGAGAATCTATAAATTCAATGCAATTCCCATAAAAATACCACCATCATTCTTCACAGAACTAGAAAAAACAATCCTAAAATTCATATGGAACCAAAAATGAGCCCACATACCCAAAGGAAGGCTAAGCAAATCTGGAGGCATCACATTACCTAATTTCAAACTATTTTACAAGGCTATAGTCACCAAAACAGCATGATACTGGCATAAAAATAGGTACATAGACCAATGGAAAGAATAGAGAACCCAGAAATAAAGCCAAATAGTTAAAGCCAACTGATCTTTGACAAAGCAAACAAAAACATAATGTGGGGAAAGGACACCCTATTCAGCAAACAGTGCTGGGATAATTGGCAAGCCACATGTAGAAGAATGAAACTGAATCTTCATCTCTCACCTTATACAAAAACCAACTCAAGATGGATCAAAGACTTAAATCTAAGACATGAAACCATAAAAATTCTAGAAGATAACATTGGAGAAACCCTTCTAGACATTGGCTCAGGCAAAGAGTTCATGATCAAGAACCAAAAGCAAATGCAACAAAAACAAAGATAAATAGATGGAACTTAAACTAAAAAGCTTCTGCACAGCAAAAGAAATAATCAGCAGAGTAAATAGACAACCCACGGAGTGGGAGAGAATGTTTGCAAACTACAGATCCAACCACAGACTAATATCCAGAATCTACAAGGAATTCAAACAAATCACCAAGGAAAAAAACAAATAATTCCATCAAAAAGTGGGCTAAAGACCAATAGACAATTCTCAAAAGAAGATATACAAATGGCCAACAAACATATGAAAAAATGCTCAACATCACTAATGATCAGCAAATCAAAACCACAATGTGATACCACTTTACTCCTGCAAGAATGGCCATAATTTAAAAAATAAAAACATAGGCCGGGTGCGGTGGCTCATGCCTGTAATCCCAGCACTTTGGGAGGCCAAGGCGGGCAGATCACCTGAGGTCAGGAGTTTGAGACCAGCCTGGCCAACATGGTGAAACCCCATCTCTACTAAAAATACAAAAATTAGCTTGGTGTGGTGGCAAATCCCTGTAATCCCAGCTACTCGGGAGGCTGAGGTGGGAGAATCGCTTGAACCCGGGAGGCGGAGGTTGCAGTGAGCCGAGATCATGCCACTGCACTCCAGCCTGGGCAACACAGTGAGACTCTGTTTCAAAATTAAAAAAAAAAAAAAGATGTTGGCATGGATGTGGTGAAAAGGGAACACTTTTACATTGCTGGTGGGAATGTGGACTAGTGCAACCACTATGGAAAACAGTATATGGAGATTTCTTAAAGAACCAAAAGTATATCTACCATTTGTTCCAGCAATCCCACTACTGGTTACTGCCCAGAGGAAAAGAAGTCATTATATGAAAAAGACACTTGCATGTGCATGTTTATAGCAGCACAATTCACAACTGCAAAAATACGGAACCAGCCCAAATGCCCATCAATCAACAAGTGGATAAAGAAAATGTGGTATGTATATATACCACAGAATACTACTCAGCCATAAAAAGGAACAATATATTGGCCAGGAACAGTGACTCACGCCTGTAATCCCAGCACTTTGGTAGGCTGAGGCAAGCAGATCACAGATCACTTGAGGTCAGGAATTTGAGACCAGCCTGGCCAACATGGTGAAACCCCATCTCTAATAAAAATACAAAAATTAGCTGGACATGGTGGCATGTACCTATAGTCCCAGCTACTTGGGAGGCTGAGGCAGGAGAATCACTTGAACCCAGGAGGCAGAAGTTGCAGTGAGCTGAGATTGAGCCCCGTTGCACTCCAGCGTGGGCAACAGAGCAAGTGAGACTCCATCTCAAAAAAAAAAAAAAAAAAAAAAGATAGAATGGCATTTGCAGCAATCTGGATGGAGTTGGTTGGAGACCATTATTCTAAGTGATGTAACTCAGGAATGGAAAACCAAAAATGATATGTTCTCACTTATAAGTGGGAGCTAAGCTATGAGGATGCAAAGTCGTAAGAATGACACAATGGACTTTGGGGATTCAGGGGGAAGTGTGGGAGGTGGGTGAGAGATAAAAGACTACACATTGGGTACGGTGTACACTGCTCGGGTGGTGGATGCACCAAAATCTCAGAAATCATCAATGAAGAACTTATTCATATAATCAAACACCACCTGTTCTCCAAAAACTATTAGGGGGAAAAAAACTATGGTCCTGAGCTGACCACTTTACTGCAAAATAAATAAAAATATGATTTTTTAAAAAGTTGTAAAACAGACCATGTTTTGTCTTTGCTTAAAACCCTTTAATGGTTTTCTAGCACTCTTAGGATCAATCTCAAATTCTTTTTTTTTTTTTTTGAGATAGGGTCTGGTCTGGCTCTCTCACCCAGGCTGGAGTGCAGTGGCACGATCTTGGCTCACTGCAACCTCTACCTCCTGGGCTCAAGCCATCCTCCCACCTCAGCCTCCTAAGTAGCTGGGACTAAGGGTGCACGCCACCATGCCCGACTAATTTTTGTATTTTTTGTAGAGACAGGGTTTCGCCATGTTGCCCAGGCTAGTGTTGAACTCCTGAGCTCATGCAATCTGCCCGCCTCAGCCTCCCAAAGTGCTGGGATCACAGGCATGTGCCACTGCACCAGGCCAATCTCAAATTCTTAACATAGTCTATCAACCTCAGTGTGATTTAGCCCTCTTCTTTCTGTGTAATCACTATGTAACATCCTCTACCCCCCTTGGTCTCTGGGTCTCACTGGGTTTTTTTCAGGTCTTCAAACTAGTGATGCTTTTTAATGTCTTGGGATTTTGCACAAGTTGTTCCAGCACCAAAGTTAAATTTCTCTGTAATACACTCTTAAATCATCCAGGACTGCTTCTTTGTAACACCCATTAACTGTAGTTAATTATTTGTATAATTAAGCATTTAATGATTATCTTCCCTGCTAGATTATAAACTCCATGAATACAGAGACTCTAGATTTCTTGTTCACTATTGTACCCTATGCTCCCAAGCACAGTGGCTGAAACATAGTAGCTTTACAAATATTTGTTAAATAAATAAGGGAAAGATAGGTTTAATGAAAATTATTTTGATAACATCTAAACTCATCTTTTCAGATTATTAGTTTACCAAACAACCTATAATCTATAATTTATTCTGAATAATCCACATAATCAGGAAGGAAATATCTTATATAAATCATGATACCAGGTATCCTATCAGGCATAGATCCTCTTGTGAATTACTCTATTTTGGCTTATAAATAAACCTTTTTAAAAATTTTTTTTTAAATACTTTTATGAATACAGTTAGGGAGAATAAATCCCTAAATCTTAACTTGCTGGTAGAACACAAAATTGCCCTCTAAAATAAAAGCCAGGTTTAGGATTTATAATAACTTATTTATTTGCTATTATGAGTTAGAATCAGCAGGAAATACCCAGGCAAGTGTTATTTAGCAGAATGTGAACCCATATTGCTCTCCAACAAATGGGTGCATTGGAACACCAAGTGCAACTCACCTCTTGAAAGTTATGTTGGGTGAACTTGTCTGCTATCCTTAGCAACTCACGACATGAATGTGTGTCAGCAAAAGCCCGAATGCCCAGGCAGTTAGAAGGATCTAATTGTCTCTTTAAGAATTCACAGCAGGCTTCCTGTATTTCTGCCAGCTGGAGGAGGCAAGCAGCTGGCAGAAGAGTCTGAACATTGCCCTCTTCTACTGTTATCTGGGAGGTATACGCAAAGTCAATCAGTAATTCCATAGCCCTCTCGTCAATGTCTCGGATCACTACTTCTGTCTGACGGCTCTCTGCCAATTCTCCTGTAAACATAGCTCGGAAGTAGGGACTACAGGCTGACAAAATGACTCGATGGGCATATATCTTCTTGGCGCCCACAACTAGCACCACATCACATAGCTCCCGGTGCTTTCTCAGAAGGTTAATCACTTCCAAGGTTTGTCGAGGGTGCTTGTCTGAGATATAGGGCATGCGGGCAGGTTGGGGAACCCCTTCTGGCAGTTTGTTGGGGTCTCCAAGGGTGCAGCGGCTTGTTACATCCATTCCAGTCTCTCCTGGTCGAATGTTGGTACACCTATAGGAATGATGGGGGAGAGAGAGAAGATGGCAGTATTATTATAAGCTCTTTTCTCCCCTTAAATGTTTGTAATTCAAGCGATAAGGAAATGTAATTAGCTTGGTGATTTTTTTTTTAAATTTTTTGTAGAGATGATGTCTCACTGTGTTGCCCAGATTGGTCTCAAACTCTTGGGCTCAAGTGATCCTGTTGCCTCCACCTCCCAAAGTGCTGGGATTGTAGGCATAAGCCAACATGCCTGGTCTACATAAACCATTTAAATTGAGCTACTATAGCAATAAAACTTTTAGATCAGGTGGTTATGCTTATCCATTTTAAAAATTAAGCCCAAGTTAACACGCTTCAATTAATAGTTAAATTTCAAATTAAAGACAATATAAAAAGTTTGGACTGACGGCCTGGTGTGGTGGCTCATGTCTGTAATCCCTGGGAGACTGAGGTAAGCTTATCACTTGAGGCCAGGAGTTCGAAACCAGCCTGGTGAATGTGGCAAAACCCTGTCTCTACTAAAATTACAGAAAAATTAGCCGTGTGTGGTGGCACATGCCTGTAATCCCAGCTGCTTGGGTGGCTGAAGCATGAGAATCACTTGAACCCTGGAGGCAGAGGCTGCAGTAAGCCGAGATTGCATCACTGCACTCCAGTCTGGGTGACAGAGACTCTGTCTCAAAAAAAAAAAAAAAAAAAAGTCTGGATTGAAGTTTATCTTTATATAGAAATCTTTTCTTCAAAGTTTATTAAAATTAAAATAGTAAAGAAAATGGCAAGCTAAATGATGATTTAGCAGGACTCCAAAGAGCCTCCAGGTCAAGATTTTGTTAGATTAATTTGGGTCTAATTTCATATCTAGAGATATTAAATATGATAAGCTTCATTTAAAAGTACTACATATGTTGAATTGCTCCTGTCAAATTGGTCTGAATCACTGAGGTTTCGGTATGATTATAAAATAAGTGAATAAGTTCATAAACAGACATTCTTCAATTTATAAATAAGTAGTATTTAAAAGTTGAATCTAAAAGTTTATTTGGAGGTTTGCATTTTTCTATGGTAAGAGTGCTGTAAATGGGGACTAGGTTTAGTTGTAAAATTCAGTGCCTCATAAGAAGCATTAAAAAATGAAATAGAAAGTAACAGCATACATTTCATTTAGTTAAGCATGTTCAATTGTGTGTATGTACACACACAAATTTGTATAGATACGCATCACTGCTTCCCCTCGTAAACTGCAGGTTATATCAAAAAAGCTTAAATGCCACTGGCCTGAGTTTTGAAATCCCAAGACAAAAGGAACAATAGGTACAAGAAGGGAGAAGGAAAAGAATCTCTCTCTTTTTCAGATTATTCTACCATTTGTTGTTGCTGGGTTTTTTTACTTATTGATTTTTTTTAATTTTTGAGATGAGGGTCTCACTAAGTTGCCCACGCTGGTCTTGAACTCCTAGGCTCAAGCAGTCCTCCTGAGTAGCTGGGATTAAAGGCACATGCCATCACACTGGTTTTTTTTTTTTTTGAGACAGAGTCTGGCTCTGTCACGGAGGCTGGGCTGCAGTGGCGCAATCTCGGCTCACTGCAACTTCCGCCTCCTGGGTTCAAGTGATTCTCCTGCCTCAGCCTCCCAAGTAGCTGGGACTACAGGCATGTGCCACCATGTCTGGCTAATTTTTCGTATTTTTAGTAGAGACGGGGTTTCACCGAGTTAGCCAGGATGGTCTTGATCTCCTGACCTCGTGATCCGCCTGCCTCAGCCTCCCAAAGTGCTGGGATTACAGGTATGAGCCACTGTGCCCAGCCGTTATTGGTTTTTATTTTTATTATATTTTTAATTTTTTAAATGTTTTTTTAATTATACTTTAAGTTTTAGGGTACATGTGCACAACGTGCAGGTTTGTTACATATGTATACATGTGCCATGTTGGTGTGCTGCACCCATTAACTCATCATTTAACATTAGGTATATCTCCTAATGCTATCCCTCCCCCCTCCCCCAACACAACAGGCCCTGGTGTGTGATGTTCCCCTTCCTGTATTCATGTATTCTCATTGTTCAATTCCCACCTATAAGTGAGAACATGTGGTGTTTGGTTTTTTGTCCTTGTGATAGTTTACTGAGAATGATGGTTTCCAGCTTCATCCATGTCCATACAAAGGACATGAAATCATCATTTTTTATGGCTGCATAGTATTCCATGGTGTATATGTGCCACATTTCCTTAATTCAGGCTATCACTGTTGGACATTTGGGTTGGTTCCAAGTCTTTGCTATTGTGAATAGTGCCACAATGAACATACGTGTGCATGTGTCTTTATAGCAGCATGATTTATAATCCTTTGGGTATATACCCAGTATTGGGATGGCTGGGTCAAATGGTATTTCTAGTTCTAGATCCCTGAGGAATTGCCACACTGACTTCCACAATGGTTGAACTAGTTTACAGTCCTACCAACAGTGTAAAAGTGTTTCTATTTCTCCACATCCTCTCCAGCACCTGTTGTTTCCTGACTTTTTAATGATTGCCATTCTAACTGGTGTGAGATGATATCTCACTGTGGTTTTGATTTGCATTTCTCTGATGGCCAGTGATGATGAGCATTTTTTCATGTGTCTTTTGGCTGCATAAATGTCTTCTTTTGAGAAGTGTCTGTTCATATCCTCTGCCCACTTTTTGATGGGGTTGTTTTTTTCTTGTAAATTTGTTCGAGTTCATTGTAGATTCTGGATATTAGCCCTTTGTCAGATGAGTAGATTGCAAAAATTTTCTCCCATTCTGTAGGTTGCCTGTTTACTCTGATGGTAGTTTCTTTTGCTGTGCAGAAGCTCTTTAGTTTAATTAGATCCCATTTGTCAATTTTGGCTTTTGCTGCCATTGCTGTTGGTGTTTTAGACATGAAGTCCTTGCCCATGCCTATGTCCTGAATGGTATTGCCTAGGTTTTCTTCTAGGGTTTTTATGGTTTTAGGTCAAATATTTAAGTCTTTAATCCATCTTGAATTAATTTTTGTATAAGGTGTAATGAAGGGATCCAGTTTCAGGTTTCTACATACAGCTAGCCAGTTTTCCCAGCACCATTTATTAAATAGGGAATCCTTTCCCCATTGCTTGTTTTTCTCAGGTTTGTCAAAGATCAGATAGTTGTAGATATGTGGCATTATTTCTGAGGGCTCTGTTCTGTTCCATTGGTCTACATCTCTGTTTTGGTACCAGTACCATGCTGTTTTGGTTACTGTAGCCTTGTAGTATAGTTTGAAGTCAGGTAGCATGATGCCTCCAGCTTTGTTCTTTTGGCTTAGGATTGACTTGGCAATGCGGGCTCTTTTTTGGTTCCATATGAACTTTAAAGTAGTTTTTTCCAATTCTGTGAAGAAAGTCATTGGTAGCTTGATGGGGATGGCACTGAATCTATAAATTACCTTGGGCAGTATGGCCATTTTCATGATATTGATTCTTCCTACCCATGAGCATGGAATGTTCTTCCATTTGTTTGTGTCCTCTTTTATTTCATTGAGCAGTGGTTTGTAGTTCTCCTTGAAGAGATCCTTCACATCCCTTGTAAGTTGGATTCCTAGGTATTTTATTCTCTTTGTAGCAATTGTGAATGGGAGTTCACTCATGATTTGGCTCTCTGTTTGTCTGTTATTGGTGTATAAGAATCCTTGTGATTTTTGCACACTGATTTTGTATCCTGAGACTTTGCTGAAGTTGCTTATCAGCTTAAGGAGATTTGGGGCTGAGATGATGGGGTTTTCTAGACATACAATCATGTCATGTGCAAACAGGGACAATTTGACTTCCTCTTTTCCTAACTGAATATTCTTTATTTCCTTCTCCTGCCTGATTGTCTTGGCCAGAACTTCCAACACTATGTTGAATAGGAGTGGTGAGAGAGGGCATCCCTGTCTTGTGCCAGTTTTCAAAGGGAGTGCTTCCAGTTTTTGCCCATTCAGTATGATATTGGCTGTGGGTTTGTCATAGATCTTATTATTTTGAGATACGTCCCATCAATACCTAATTTATTGAGAGTTTTTAGCATGAAGGTTGTTGAATTTTGTCACAGGCCTTTTCTGCATCTATTGAGATAATCATGTGGTTTTTGTCGTTGGTTCTGTTTATGTAACTGATTATGTTTATTGATTTGTGTATGTTGAACCAGCCTTGCATCCCAGGCATGAAGCCCACTTGATCATGGTGGATAAGCTTCTTGATGTGCTGCTGGATTCGGTTTGCCAGTATTTTATTGAGAAGTTTTGCTTTGATGTTCATCAGGGATATTGGTCTAAAATTCTCTTTTTTGGTTGTGTCTCTGCCAAGCTTTGGTATCAGGATGATGCTGGCCTCGTGAAATGAGTTAGGGAGGATTCCTTCTTTTTCTATTGATTGGAATAGTTTCAGAAGGAACGGAACCAGCTCCTCCTTGTACCTCTGGTAGAATTCGGCTGTGAATCCATCTGGTCCTGGACTTTTTTTGGTTGGTAAGCTATTAATTATTGCCTCAATTTCAGAGCCTGTTATTGGTCTATTCAGAGATTCAACTTCTTCCTGGTTTAGTCTAGGGAGGGTGTATGTGTCCAGGAATTTATCCATTTCTAGATTTTCTAGTTTATTTGCACAGAGGTGTTTATAGTATTCTCTGATGGTAGTTTGTATTTCTGTGGGATCGGTGGTGATATCCCCTTTATCATTTTTTATTGCGTCTATTTGATTCTTCTCTTTTCTTCTTTATTAGTCTTGCTAGCGGTCTATCAATTTTGTTGATCTTTTCAAAAAACCAGCTCCTGGATTCATTGATTTTTTGAAGGGGTTTTTGCATCTCTATTTCCTTCAGTTCTGCTCTGATCTTAGTTATTTCTTGCCTTCTGCTAGCTTTTGAATGTGTTTGCTCTTGCTTCTCTAGTTCTTTTAATTGTGATGTTAGTCTTTCCTGCTTTCTCTTCTGGGCATTTAGTGCTATAAATTTCCCTCTACACACTGCTTTGAATGTGTCCCAGAGATTCTGGTATGTTGTGTCTTTGTTCTCGTTGGTTTCAAAGAACATCTTTATTTCTGCCTACATTTCGTTATGCTCAGTAGTCATTCAGGAGCAGGTTATTCAGTTTCCATGTAGTTGAGCAGTTTTGAGTTGAGTTTCTTAATCCTGAGTTCTAGTTTGATTGCACTGTGGTCTGAGAGACAGTTTGTTATAATTTCTGTTCTTTTACATTTGCTGAGGAGAGCTTTACTTCCAACTATGTGGTCAGTTTTGGAATGGGTGTGGTGTGGTGCTGAAAAGAATGTACATTCTGTTGATTTGGGGTGGAGAGTTATGTAGATGTCTATTAGGTCCACTTGGTGCAGAGCTGAGTTCAAATCCTGGATATCCTTGTTAACTTTCTGTCTCGTTGATCTGTCTAATGTTGACAGTGGGGTGTTAAAGTCTCCCATTATTATTGTGTGGGAGTCTAAGTCTCTTTCTAGGTCTCTAAGGACTTGCTTTATGAATCTGGATGCTCCTGTATTGGGTGCATATATATTTAGGATAGTTAGCTCTTCTTGTTGAATTGATCCCTTTACCATTATGCAATGGCCTTGTCTCTTTTGATCTTTGTTGGTTTAAAGTCTGTTTTATCAGAGACTAGGATTGCAACCCCTGCCTTTGTTTTCCATTTGCTTGGTAGATCTTCCTCCATCCCTTTATTTTGAACCTATGTGTGTCTCTGCACGTGAGATGGGTTTCCTGAATACAGCACACTGATAGGTCTTGACTCTTTATCCAATTTGCCAGTCTGTGTCTTTTAATTGAAGCATGTAGTCCATTTATATTTAAGGTTAATATTGTTATGTGTGGATTTGATCCTGTCATTATGATGTTAGCTGGTTATTTTGCTCGTTAGTTGATGCAGTTTCTTCCTAGCCTTGATGGTATTTACAATTTGGCATGTTTTTGCAGTGGCTGGTACCGGTTGTTCCTTTCCCTGTTTAGTGCCTCCTTCAGGAGCTCTTTTCGGGCAGGTCTGGTGGTGACAAAATCTCTCAGCATTTGCTTGTCTGTAAAGGATCTTATTTCTCCTTCACTTATGAAGCTTAGTTTGGCTGGATATGAAATTCTGGGTTGAAAATTCTTTTCTTTAAGAATGTTGAATATTGGCCCCCACTGTCTTCTGGCTTGTAGAGTTTCTGCCGAGAGATCAGCTGTTAGTCTGATGGGCTTCCCTTTGTGGGTTACCTGACCTTTCTCTCTGGCTGCCCTTAACATTTTTTCCTTCATTTCAACCTTGGTGAATCTGACAATTATGTGTCTTGGAGTTGCTCTTCTCAAGGAGTATCTTTGTGGCGTTCTCTGTATTTCCTGAATTTGAATGTTGGTCTGCCTTGCTCGATTGGGGAAGTTCTCGTGGATAATATCCTGCAGAGTGTTTTCCAACTTGGTTCCATTCTCCCCGTCACTTTCAGGTACACCAATCAGACGTAGATTTGGTCTTTTCACATACTCCGATATTTCTTGGAGGCTTTGCTCGTTTTTTTTTTTCATTCTTTTTTCTCTAAACTTCTCTTCTTGCTTCATTTCATTCATTTGATCTTCCATCACTGATACCCTTTCTTCTAGTTGATTGAATCAGCTACTGAGGCTTCTGCATTTGTCACGTAGTTCTCGTGCGGTGGTTTTCAGCTCCATCAGGTCCTTTAAGGACTTCTCTGCGTGGTTATTGTAGTTAGCCATCCGTCTAATCTTTTTTCAAGGTTTTTAACTTCTTTGCCATGGGTTCGAACTTCCTCCTTTAGCTCAGAGAAGTTTGATAGTCTGAAGCCTTCTTCTCTCAACTCGTCAAAGTCATTCTCCGTCCAGCTTTGTTCCGTTGCTGGTGAGGAGCTGTGTTCCTTTGGAGGAGGAGAGGTGCTCTGATTTTTAGAATTTTCAGTTTTCTGCTCTGTTTTTTCCCCATCTTTGTGGTTTTATCTACCTTTGGTCTTTGATGATGGTGACGTACAGATGGGGTTTTGGTGTGGATGTATTTTCTGTTTGTTAGTTTTCCTTCTAACACTCAGGACCCTCAGCTGCAGGTCTGTTGGAGTTTGCTGGAGGTCCACTCCAGAGGCTGTTTGCCAGGGTATCAGCTGCGGAGGCTGCAGAACAGCGGATATTGGTGAACAACAAATGTTGCTGCCTGATCGTTCCTCTGGAAGTTTTGCCTCAGAGGAGTACCCGTCCGTTGGAGGTGTCAGTCTGCCCCTACTGGGGGGTGCCTCCCAGTTAAGCTACTTGGGGGTCAGGGACCCACTTGAGGAGGCAGTCTGTCCGTTTTCAGATCTCAAGCTGCGTGCTGGGAGAACCACTACTCTCTTCAAAGCTGTCAGACAGGGACATTTAAGTGTGCAGAGGTTTCTGCTGCCTTTTTTTTTTTGGCTATGCCCTGCCCCCAGAGGTGGAGTCTACTGAGGCAGGCAGGCCTCCTTGAACTGCAGTGGGCTCCACCACGTTCGAGCTTCCCAGCCGCTTTATTTACCTACTCAAGCCTGGACAATGGTGGGTGCCCCTCCCCCAGCCTCGCTGCTGCTTTACAGTGTGATCTCAGACTGCTGTGCTAGCAATGAGTGAGGCTCTGTGGGCGTAGGACCCTCTGAGCCAGGCGCGGGATATAATCTCCTGGCGTGCCGTTTGCTAAGACTGTTGGAAAAGCGCAGTATTAAGGTAGGAGTGACCCGATTTTCCAGGTGCCATCTGTCACCTCTTTCCTTGGCTAGGAAAGGGAATTCCCTGACCCCTTGCACTTCCTGGGTGAGGTGATGCCTCGCCCTGCTTTGGCTCACGCTCGGTGTGCTGCACCCACTGTCCTGCACCTACTGTCTGACAATCCCCAGTGAGATGAACCCAGTACCTCAGTTGGAAATGCAGAAATCATTCGTCTTCTGCATCGCTCATGCTGGAAGCTGTAGACTGGAGCTGTTCCTATTCGGCCATCTTGGCTCCTCGTTTTTGGTTTTTAAACAGAGGCTTTAGAGAAGCATGATGGCTGGAGCTAGTATACATAAACTGTAGAAGTCTGTAAGTTGGGCATTTCCTGTACATTTAAGTAGGTGTTGTCTAAACTTGTGTTAAAGGACATATTCTTTAGAAGCTGCAATAATTATTTTCCTCTAAAATGGGTTCTGGACAAAAAGGTGGTGGGGTATCTGTAAATTGCTCAAATTTGATGAACACTGCCTTACAGGATCACAGTATATATGTATGTGTCTATAAGTTTTACAAGTTGGTGTTCTTCACAAGTCCTTAAATATGAAAACAGCCCATTCTTGCTTGTGTGGAGATCTAGATATGGAATAGAATGGATCACTGGATCATCTAGCATAATGCCCTCCTTTTACAGATGAAGAAACTAGTTTGGTTACGTGACTTACTCAAAATCAAGAAGCTTTCAGTAGCAGAGCAGGCCTCTGGATGCTTTAGGGTAAACCACGCATCTCCTGAGGTACTGTGAATATTTAATAACTGTAATTCATGTGAATGCTGGGAGGCAAGGAGAGGGAAGAGTTTCTAGGATGATTTAGCAATTCAAAATGAGGTTTTGTTTTGTTTTTTCTTATGTATTATCCAAATTTCTGTACAACTATTTTTAAAAGCCCAAGAAACTCACCAAATACAGATTTTTTTTTTTTTAGATTCAGTCATCATGAAAAACTTCACCAGTGAAATATCAAGAAGAAGAGTCAAATAACTTGGTAAAAGAAGCCTATAAAATGCATTTCATATTTAAGGGAATGAGCATAACAAAGTGAACTTATATCATCACTTTTCTAGCTGAAATTAACGGGGATGGTCTAAGAAATTTTCAGAATTACCTTTAAGTACTTATAAAATACCTAAAATACTTTTATTATGTTTAAAAAGTCATTCCAGATAATATATAAGATACAAATTTGTATCTTTTCTTTGCGACAGGGTCTTGCTCTGTCACCCAGGCTGGAATACAGCGGTTTGATCACGGCTTACTACAGCCTCGACCTCCTAGGCTCAACTGATCCTCCCACCTCAGCCCCCTAAGTAGCTGGGACTACAGGTGTGAGTCACCATGCCTGGCTTGAAAATTTGTATCTTATATTCATATTTCATATGTAGAAATTCAGGTGCTAAATTACTAGGTAAAAGTCACAAATTACTGACAAATAATTAGAAATAAGATATTTGGATTTTTGTATGATCACATTATATAAACATGCAGAGAAAAGACAATCTATGCCTCTTAATTAAAATAATTATTCTTTTAACAAATATTTACTAATTGCTTTTAATGTACACAAAGCATTTTGCTATAGACTGTGGAAAATTCTAAGTAATATAAAGAAGCAATCTCTAGAGGAGGAGATACATGAATAACTAGTAAGAGGGCAACCAGGACAAAAGATGTGGTTCAAACATAAGAATTTTCGGAGGAGGCTGAGCCTAGTGGCTCATGCCTGTAATCCCAGTACTTTGGGAGGTTGAGGCGGGGGGATCCCTTAAGCCCAGGAGTTTGCCATGCCTAGGCAACATAGTGAGGCCCCATCTCTAAAAAAAAAAAAAAAAATCCCCAAAACATATATATCATGTATGTGTATGTGTATATATATATAAAAGAATTTTTGGAGGTGATACATATGTTTAGAACCTTGATTGCGGTGATATCATGGGTATATACATATGCCCAAACTCATCAAAATGTATACATAAAATATGTACCTCAATTATACCTCAATAAAGCTTAAAAGTCATTCAGAAAGGCAAAATCTATGAAGTATATGTTTAACATCATTCAGAAAGATTCTGGATCTCACAGGTATAGCCTATCAGGTTACTACAAAGGTTGTTGTTGTAAAGTAGGAATATTACACTGGGTTTTCCCAGAGCTTAAGTGAAATATCTCACATCCATGCTCCAGATCGTTATATTTCTGTTTCTGATTCTAAACTCATTAAGCAGTCCTCTGATGGAAAATTCTTCCAAAAGTACCATGCTACTTAAAAGGGGGATGACTCAAGCATTCTGATCACTGAGTTTTAGGTCAGCCTCATGTGAGTCTCTCTCAGATGCTAATTATCTACAACTACTGAGAGAGTCTAATATCTAGCCTGCAAAGGACAGCATCCCTATCAGTCTGCTACTTCCAAAGCTGTAGCACTGACGGGAACTACAGTATAATAAAACACTAAAGTGTAAAAGGAGTCTCCTGAGAAGGACAGAAAAATCTATAAGGACATTCTAGGGAGAAGAAATTGCATGTGCATTGCAAAGATATAGCACAAAAATAAAAAACATGGTTCTTCTTTTCTCCAACAACAACCAATTTTTCCAAAACACTTATACATCTGGTAAAAACATCACTGTTTACGCTTGGCAATTTTAAAGACTAAAACATAAAGCTGAGCAGTTAAAGAATAATTTTTACCATCCATATAAACAATCAAGAATGCTTTTAACCACAGAGCTAAAATGGTGCCTTGTACACAGTAGATGCTGAAAGAATAAATCACATGATTAACAGTGGTACAATCAAGCTTCTTTTTTAAAAAAGTAACAATTAAAGACAGAAGACCAAAAATTCCTGGAATACTGACACTGCATGCTGAAAGTAAAGTGTTATTGTCACAACCTTAGTTACATACATAAAGATGCTACTGTTGAACTGAGATATAAACAATTTTTTATTTCACCTAAGTACAATGTGGGTAAACTAAGCTAATGTCTCCGTTTTTCTTTTAAACATACCATAGTGCCAGGCGCGGTGGCTCACACCTGTAATCCCAGCACTTTGGGAGGCAGAGGTGGCTGGATCACCTGAGGTCAGAAGTTTGAGACCAGCCTGGCCAACATGGTGAGGCTCCATCTCTACTAAAAATACAAAAATTAGCTGGATGTGGTGGCGCATGCCTGTAATCCCAGCTACTTGGGAGGCTGAGGCAGGAGAATTGCTTGAACCTGGGAGGCAGAGGTTGCGGTGAACCAAGATTGTGCCACTGCACTACTCCAGCCTGGGAAACAAAAGCGAAACTCTATGTCAAAAAAAAAAAAAAAATTACCATAGCAAAAAAAAATAATGCTCTTATTACTGCATCAGTATAGTAGAATCTTTTTTTCTTTTTTTTAGAAATAAGGTATTGCTCTGTCACTGAGGATGAAGTGCAGTGGTATGATCACAGCTCACTGCAGCCTCAAACTCCTGGTTGAAGCGATCCTCTCACCTCAGCCTCCTGAGGAGGCTCTCAGGTGCATGCTACCACGCCTGGCTTAATTTTAATTTTTTGGTAGAGACAAAGACTCTCTCTGTTTCCCAGGCTGGTCTAGAACTCCTGGCCTCAAGTGATCCTCCTGCCTCAGCCTCCCAAAGTGCTGGGATCACAAGTGTAGGCCACTGTGCCCCCAGCCATTGGTGTCCATCCATATAATTTTCACTTCAGGAAATATCATTCATCTTTTGCCTTTTTTCCTCAACCATTTAAGAATGTAAAAGCTAGCTGGGCATGGTGGCTCACAGCTGTAATCCCAGCACTTTGGCAGGTTGAGGCAGGAGGATCGTTTGAGCTCAGGAGTTTGAGACCAGCTTGGGCAACAAAATGAGATTCCATCTCTACGAAAAAATTTAAAAATTATCCAGGTGTGGTGACATGTGTGACAAGTGCTTCTTGAAAAGCTTGCAGAACCACAAGCCAAGATAAACTTCTTTTCTTTATAAATTACCAAGTCTCAGGTACTTCTTTATTGCAATGCAAAATGGACTAATACGCTATCTAAATGAACATTTCACCTTTCCTACTTCAAAAATTTTGTTTTACTTTGAAAATTAACAACTTGACCTTAAAAAAGATTCAGTTGCACTGACCCTCATTTATAGTCCTAAATATACTTGAATAGAGACAGCTGGAGATTTGAGTGTATAAACCCTCAAAACAGAAATAACATCTCAAAGTGTCACTTCTACTTAGTAGAAGGGGTCCCAATAGGCACTATATTCCACACCTGATTCCACACCAGAAGGCCAAGCTATTAACCTCTTTATTTGAAACTTGGTTGTGAATGTTTTAGTCCCAAGACATCTCATCACGGCTTATTGGATAAAATGAGCATAAGCCTTGGGTGCCTTGGTCCAGTGATCGAGACCAAGATGGAGCAGGAAGGGTAAATCCTCATGCAAGCATGCTAGTTTCCCTTTATATCAGGATAGCAAAAGCCTTCCTAGAATACCCCTCAACAACTACTGCTGACATCTCATTGGTAGCACTGTGTCACACAGCCCTTCCCATATGCAGAGACAACTAAGAACTCAGAGTATTTAATTTTCTAGTGTCTATAGTAGACGGAAGAAAAGAAGAGATGTGCAAGCTAACCTACAGTGCATGCCACACTAGGGAATAGTCAAATCAAGCAAGTATGTTTTACACTATTTTTAAGCATACACTTTAGACTGAGTAGAACAAATTGAAAATTTCAAAGATACGAGATTGGAAATTTTGTCTTCTGAAATTGAACTGAAGGAGTAGCTCAGCTATCCTTCAATGTGAGTAAAAAACTATCAATAAAAACTCTAGATACTGTTAAATAAAATAAGACCCAAAGCATGTAAAGCTTCTTACTCATTTTAGAGACTTTATGGGGCCTTCCTGCTAGGCCCCATCGTAAACACCCCTGGTACTCACTACAGTTCTGTCCTCAGCATTCTCCTTTTCTGTTCTACCATCACTTATGCCTACAGCTTGAAGAACCTTCTTAGTATTGATGACTCACATTTTTTTTTTTAAATTTCTAGCCCAAATCTCTCTTCTGCCCCAGAGTCATATTCCAATCACATGCTGGATATCTCCACCTGGCTGTTTCCTAAACACAATAATCTTAAAGTATATGAAACAGAATCTATTCTTGGCTTACTGAAACCTGTTCCTCTTCCTGTATTTTTCTTTTTAATCTTATCATGGCGGCATCTGGTTTCCTAAGTTTGGAGTCATTTATAACACTATCTCTTCCTCACTCCATGTTCACCAAATCCTTTTGATTTTACTATTATACAAGCTCTCAATTCCATCTACTTCTCTCAACCCTCACTGCCATAGATATACTTCAGGTTCTCATCATCTTTCATCTAAACTACCACAACTACTTTAAATTCATTTCCTTGCCATAATTTCTTCCCTCTTTCCAATCCATCCCCTATGTGCCTAGAAATCAGTTCAAAGAACAAACGATGTATATAATAATGTCCATTGGCTCTTAAATACCTAAAGGATAAAGTTTGAATTCTTTCCCACTGTTGTAGCCTCAATTTCCATGTTTTCTACTTCCCCTTCTTCCTCAAAATACCCTATACTCCACATATACTCACTGTTCCATGCATGTCAGACAATTCTGGGTCTTGGTACTCTCTCTTATCTTTTTTTTTTTTGCACAAGCTGTTCCTTCCTTTTATGGTGTCCTTAATTAACTCCCTTCTTTAGAAGTAAATTCTTATTCTTCCTAGAAGATCTAGCTCAAATGTTACCATCTCTGTGATGCTTCCTCATCTCCACAGAGCAGTTCCCTCCTCTTAAGTTTACATCTCTATTAAAATTCTGTTAACATTGTTTGTTAATTAATTAATTAATTATATTTTAGAGATGAAGTCTCGCCCTGTCATCCGGGCTGGAGTGCAGTGGCACAGTCACAGCTCACTGCAGCCTTGAACACCTAGGCTCAAGTGATCTTCCTTCCTCCTCCATCTCCCAAAGTGCTGGGATTACAGGTATGAGTCACTGTACCACGCCAATACTGTATCATTATATCTGTTCTCATCACTTGATCTGTATCACACAATATACAGGAATAGAGTGGTACTATATAAAGGTTTGATATATGAATAAACCAATTTCTACAATCAAGCTCAGTTTTCTATTTATATATTTAAGGAAAGTTGGAAGAATTAATTACAAAATATTTGGTATCTCTTAATAAAATGAATGATTGAAAATTAATATCTTGGGAAACAAACATATTGTTGGTAAAGACTATGCATTTGTGTAACTCTAAGGGCAAAAATTTGTCAATGTCCACCAAAATTAAAAAAATGTACATAATCTTTAGGCAATTCTAAATCTAAGAATTTATTCTTTTTTTTTTTTGAGACGGATTCTTATGCTTTCATCAGGCTGGAGTGCAGTGGCACGATTTTGGCTCACTGCAACCTCCACCTGCTGGGTTCAAGTGATTCTCCTGCCTCAGCCTCCTGACTGGCACTGTAGCTGGGACTACAGGCACGCACCACCATGCCCAGCTAATTTTTGTATTTTTAGTAGAGAAGGGGTTTCACCATCTTGGCCAGGATGGTCTCGATCTCTTGACCTTGTGATCTGCCCGCCTCAGCCTCCCAAAGTGCTGGGATTACAGGTGTGAGCCACTGCGCCCAGCCAGAACTTATTCTATACTTACACATCTGGGCAAAAACCACCTACAAGGATATTCATTGCAGACAGAACTGGTTGTAACAGCAAAACAGTTGAAATAAATCTCTCTCAAATGGGACTGGTTAACTAAGGTGCATATAGACAATGGAATACTACATAACTATTAAAAGGAATAAGGTAAGTCTATATGCATTTGTTACAATTTACAAAATAATTTTTCTTTTTTTTTTTGAGACGGAGTCCCGCTGTTTAGCCCAGGCCGGATTGCAGTGGCGCAATCTCGGCTCACTGCAAGCTCCGCCTCCCAGGTTCACGCCATTCTCCTGCCTCAGCCTCCCGAGTAGCTGGGACTACAGGTGCCCGCCACCGCACCCGGCTAATTTTTTGTATTTTTTAGTAGAGACGGGGTTTCACCGTGTTAGCCAAGATGGTCTCGATCTCCTGACCTTGTGATCCGCCTGCCTCGGCCTCCCAAAGTGCTGGGATTACAGGCGTGAGCCACCGCACCCAGCCACAAAATAATTTTTCAAGTGAATAAAGATACAGAAGAATGTGCATGATATACTGACAGTGTCCTTTCAAATGCATTTTCTTATTTTTATTTATTTATTTAAAGAGATGGGGTCTCTCTCTGTTACACGGGCAGGAGTGCAGTGGCATGATCACCACAGCCTCGAACTCCTGGGCTCAAGCAATCCTCCTGCTTCAGCCTCCTAAGTAGCTGGGTAGCTGGGAATACAAGTGTGAACCACTATGCCCTACAACATTTGTGTCTTTTTTTTTTTTTTTTGAGACACTGTCTTGCTCTGTTGCCCAGGTTGGGGTTCAATGGTATGATCACGGCTTAACTGCAATCTCTGCCTCCCAGACTCAAGTGATCCTCTCACCTCAGCCTCCTGAGTAGCTAGAACTTCAGGCATCTGCCACAACACTTGGCTAAATTTTTCTTGTTTCCTTTTTGTAGAGATGGGGTTTTGTCATGTTGCCCAGGCTGGTCTTGAACTCTTGGGCTCAAGGGATCAGCCCACCTCAGCCTCCCAAAGTGCTGGGATTACAGGTGTGAGCCACTGTGCCTAGCCATCTTTTCTTTTTAAAAGCTACTAATGTTAGCCAGGTGTGGTGGCTCACGCCTGTAATCCCAACACTTTGGGAGGCCTAGGCAGGGGGACTGCTTGAGCCCAGGAGTTTGAGACCAACCTGGGCAACATGGCAAAACCCTGTATCTACAAAATAGAAATTAAAAAAGTGAAAAGAGAAGACATCTTATATACATTTGTGTATGAACTACAATGCCTCTAAAAGAATGCATAAGAAACTGCTTACAGTGGTTGCCTTTGGGAACTGGGGTCAGCAATGGGAGAGTTAACTTTTCACTGAATATCCTATTGTATCTTTTAAATTTTGCATTGTGCTATGCAAATGATAGTACATAAATAAATGAGGTAATGAAACTTTACTAATAAAATGCCAATTGATTTCATAAAACTTTATAATCAAAAATTAGAATACCTTTAACAATAATTTTCAGTCTTGTTCATAGATTTTTTTTGTTTTTTGGAGGGGGAAAGTCTGCAGAAACTGTTCAGTCCTATTCAAACAATTATTCAGTAATCGTTAGGTGCTAGTGATGCAAATATAGGAAGACATGAGACTAAAAGAGCTCACAATCTAGTAGACAGAATGAACATGTATTCAAATAGTCTCAATATAAAAAGTTACTTCTCAAAGCTTCTTTAATAGCAACTGAGTATAAACCCAGCATTACAGAGACTGCCTTCTGGGTTAAATCAGCAAAAATGACAGCCCAATAAGAAAAGGATAGGGAAGTGTGACCATGATTGAATGTAGGAAGCAGGTGAAAGTAAGACCAGAGACCAATGTGAGTAGGCTAGGCTCTGGCCAAGTGACAGTGATGAAGAAAGAGCCGTAGCTTAACGATTAACAGCACTAGAATTATCCAGCATGATTCTGAATAGCTGACAGTATTATGTAATAAAGCAAGAAAAAAGGAGCAGGTATGAGTGATTAAGCAAATATTTTATATAGACTACTGATAAACCAAAAACATTCCCACACTCTGCTATTCTTTTAAAAAATAATAAGCTCTTATTTTAGCAATTATATAAGATATGACATTTTATGGTAGCTGGAGATGAGACACAATCAGTGGGTTTTGCAATAATGTTAGAAGTAAAGGGATGAAGTATTTAATATTATGTTGTTAATTTTTTCATGTACATTGTGGTAAAATATTATTCCTACTACAGAGTAAAATATAAATAAGATAATGGTATTTTTCATCTTGATAACATCTTTTCATCTGGAGATCTTAAAGCATTTGCAAATGTTCATTAATCCCCAATATCCTGATCAGATACACTAAAGAAGTAAACTGGGGTACAGAGAAGGTGAACAGCTCAAGGTCAATTGATAAACCAATAACAGATTTGGATAAAGATATACATTCTGGTTCTTGCTCCAAGTTCTGAGTTATAAGTCATATTCCCATTATAAAATGTTTCTTCTCTTAAAAGAACTGCAGAAGTTGTTTATCTTTGATGTTAAATAACAAATGATTAAATAGAGTTCAATAAATAGAAAACAAATGTAAAAACCAAAGAAATAGAACTGGGATGATTTTGTATCATAAAGATTCTAGTCTCATTTGTTAGAACAAAATGAGAAAAAACATTATTAAATTCTAGGGTTGGGAGGGCCTATTTATTGTCTATATTTTCCCAGACATTGTTCTATTTTTCTATGGACTAAGTTATTATGTCTAATACCTATTTTAGTCCTTATACAATCTTCCCTACAATGCAGCTATTTTAATTAACAGAACAAATGTATGATTGAACATCAAGGAAATAACCAAAACCATAATTAGGCATGCAGTACAGTATATTATAAATAATTATGATTCTTACATGGGAACAGAATCCTCTACATTTTATAGGGAACTGAAGATTATAATAAATCCATATAGTATCATAATGAACTTAATGATTATTTACTGTAAAAAACATGAAAAAAGGAAAATTTAAGTGTTTAGCACTACATACAATCCACAGCACTTTTCAGAAACAACTTCTGTATTTTATTCTATTAAAAAGCTATTAATTCTTAATATTACTTTTGATTTATTGTAGAACAAGACTCATTAGTTCCAAGCAGAATTTAGTAAGATTGAAACTCTTTTTTAAAAATTTAAATTATTACATGCTGAATTTTAATCAGTGAAACCAAAGGTTTTCTTCCTAAATGCCTACCTGCGCATTGGCTTTCCTTCCATGCACCATGAAAAGTACCCTTCACCACACTCTAAAGCCGAACCTAAGACAACAGAAAAGCAGGAACTTAATAAAAGCTATTTCTGATCTTTACAGTAACAATCTTTATATAATCATTTCACTCATTTCGTCAGTTATCAAGAGTTTCATATCCTATTATACCACAGGCCTTCTGCAGATGCACAATAACTTAATCTAGTACATTTAAGATTACCATCCTTACTCTGCATGCTAAAACGATTAAAGTAAAGGTGAGGGAAAGTATGCTAAATAGTCCCGACTGTTAGGTCAGTCTTGTTTCTCTTCAAAAAGTGCTTGGAGATATTTAACTGTGATCTCGACATCAAGTATATTTACAGAACAAGCACCAGATACCCACAGCAGTACTAACCTGATAGATCACATAGGGTACACGAGGCTTTAATAACGAATCTGAAGATTGTTAACTTGTCCCGAAGTGACAGGAGGAGGAGGCGTCTGCATTTGCCTTTACAAACAACTCCGCTTCCGACAGTCCAGGGAGCTTGAACAGGGCAGGGAAAGTATGGCTCCAGACTAACACTCTTTACAAGCATTTCCTTCAGTCCCCGATACAATGTTCACTACCCACGTAGCAGGATTTCGCCAGGTCCCGAGGGTTAAATGGGGGCGCACGTACTTTCTTCCTTCCCTGAATTCCAAACACTGTCTGGGGAAGCTGTCCAGGATGCGAAACCCCAGCACCACCAGGCAGGACAAAGCCCGGGGCCTCCTCTGGCTCCCGAGATAGGCTGTCAGCCAGCGAGAGCGCACTCTGGCGCTCCGCGAGGCCCGGCCCCAGCGCCCCAACAGTCTCTTCTCGGCGCCGACTGACAGGCGACCGACCTGACCCCATGGGGCAGCTCAGCAACTTGGGACCACATATCTGCGAAGCGAGCCCTGGGGCGCTGTCCGCTGTCCCCTGCTCTAAGGTGACTGGCTCACTTACCGGCTCTGACACTTTCTTCTCTGCAGCAGCCTCCTCCGTCTACTCCGCCCTCCACTCCTCTCTGCCTCCTCCTCCACCGCCGCTAACGCAGGCAGGATGCCGCTCGTAGAGCTATTTCCTTTCCCTTCACCGGCCCATATCCAGAAGCAGGAAGTAGTCCTATTCTTAAATCGTTCCCGCAGGAACCCACATAATCCGCCAAGGGGTTCCGGTGCGGCTCCGGAAGTAGTCGTGCCCTTTGCTGGGGCATTCAGGTAACCTCAGAGGTTGTTTATCCTCGTGGGGGTTCCTTGTATCCCAAGAGTAACCATTTTTAGAATTCACTGCGGAACTGGCAGTATTTGAATACTGAAGCCTCCTCTTTTCTTCTTTGTTTTCGCCAGCAAAGGCAGTAAAGGGTAGTCACAGAAAGCTAAGAATTTGTATTTCTTTTTAGTTGGTGGGTCTCCTTTTGGCACAATGTTCCTAATTGTGGATTGAATTATTGCATGCACACATGGGTTGGCATGTATCTGTCAGGCCTCTACTATGTGCAAGGTGCAGAAGTTAGATAGACAGACCAGAGATAGACCTTATCCTCCAGATTTCCCACGGTCAAACTTTCAGGACACCAGGATTTTATCCAGGCTCTAAGGCTGTGTTAGTCTGCCCTTTCTACTTAGTATTCACCACCAGACACTTCACCAAACACATCTTCTGTGGATTCACTTTAATGTTAAGGAGGGAAGAGTATATTTTCTTAAAAAAATTTTTTTTCAGTAGCAAGCAGAGCCAAAAAAGTATATTTTTAAAATTATCTTTTCCTCCAGATTTTCCCATAGCACACAGCCACCTGATTTTTACCGTATATTAATATTTAGAAAACAAGTGATACAAGTGTAAGGTGGGGATTACAATTTCAGGAATATCAGAGAAAGACTGTTGCTGATTTCCTGGTAAGTATACTAGGCTAAGTATTAACCAGATTTTCTTTAGCTGTTCTTTATGTAGAATCTACACAGGTGTGTCCAGTTGTTTCTGAGGGGAAAGGATACCTCTTGTTAATTAGCTTGTAGTGGAAAATACATGGCCTTTAGATCCAGATATAGTGGCCCAGTGGATTCTTCTTGCCTGCTGCCCAGATACAGATGATTTATCAAGGTATAGGGATTGCAATGGAGAAAGAGTTTTACACAACATCGAGTGGAAAAATGGAAGAAGTTTTATTATTACTCAAATCAGTTATATTATTACTCAAATCGGCCTCCTGGAGCATTTGGGGGCTAGGTTTCTTTTCAAAGGTAGTCTGGGGAAAGGGGTAGGGGTGGCTAGGCAATGGGTGCTTGCTGCTGACTGGTGCAGTCATAGGGGTATGGGAGATGGTCCTCCTGCCTACTGAGTTGTTTCTGGGTGGAGCCACAGGAACAGTTGGTGGGTCCAGGTGGAGCCATCAGTAGTCAAACATGCAAAAAACTTAAAAATATACCCAAAAAGGCCAATCCTAGATTCTACAATAGTGATGTTATCTGTAGGAGTAATTGGGGAAGTTGCATATCTTGTGACCTCTGGAATAATGGCTGGCAATCACTTATGTCTACACTTAACAGAATTCAGGCTCATCTATCCCCGTTGTCTGGTGGTCTCTCATTAGCTTTACAAAGGCAATTGAGTTTTGGGGAAGGACTGTAATTATTTAAACTATTAAACTAAATGTCTCCCAAAGTTATCTTGGCTTAAGCCCAGGAATAATTAAGGACAGACTGAAAGCTAAAGGCAAGATGGGGTTTGGCTAGATCAGATCTCCTCCACTGCTATAATTTTCTCACTGATAGAATTTTTGCAAAGGGGGTTTCAGTTTGCAAAGGCGATTTCACGGATACACATAGGTACAAATCCTAGACCTGTAACTGACTAGCTTTGTGATCTTATTGAAAATTTTTACTGCATGTGTATATGTGATATATATACATATGCAGTAAAATGATTTCTTTTCCATATTTTAAAACTTTTCATAAATGGTATCAAAGCATATGTATTCTTTTGCAACTTCCATTTTCCACTCAACATTCTGTTTGTAAGATTTGTCCATGTTGATCAATGAAGGTCCAATTCAGTGATTCTCAAAGTGTTGTCCTGGACCAGCAGCATCAACATCACTTGGAAAATGCTAACCCTTGAGCCCCATTACAGACCTATTGAATCAAAAACTGAAGGTGGGCCCCAGTAATCTGTGTTCTAACAAGTTCTCCAGGTGATTATAGTGCATGGTAAAATTTGAGAACTACTGCACTAATTTATTTATTTTCACTGCTTTATAGTATTCTATTATATGAATATACCATAGATTTTTTAAAACATTTTTTTCTGCAGATGGATATTTTGACTATTTCCAGTTTTCTCCATTACAAACAGTGCTACAATGTAAATTCTTGCATATACCTCCTTGTGTACACCTGTAGGTGTTTCTTTGGGGTGTGCACGCAGAAGCAAAATTGCTGGGTTGTATGCTATGCACAGCTTCAACTGTATTAGCACTAGTCAAATTGCTCTCTAAAGTCATTATTCTATTTCAGTAATAATAATACTAGCAAATACTTATGTAGCATGTTATAGTAACTCATCAATACTCACACTAGTCCTCTCGAGGTAGGATCTATTATCATCATTCCAGTTTCACAGATGGCACCAAGATGTTATGTAAGTTGCCCAAAGTCACACAGCTAGTTATGAAGTAGAGCAATAACTTGAAACCATACACAATGGCTCTAGAGTCTGTGCTTTCAGCTACAGTGCTGTGTTGTCTCTCCATTACAAGTGTTTGAGGGTTTTTGTTGGTCTATATTATCATCACAGTTGGTGTTTTCCAACTTTAAATTTGTTTTTGCCAATTGGTTGGGTATAAAATGGTAATTCACTGTGGTTTAAATGTTTATTTCTCTCATTACTGTTCAAACATTTTTCATATGTGAAAGTGGCATTCAGATTTCCCTTCTGTGAATTGCTTATTGTAAAAGATACCTTCAAAGTGACTCCTATTTTTTCCGTAATATGAATTAAACTATTTTTATAATTCATAGTATAGGTATGAAAATGTTACTATATGGTATAAAAATGTTACTAAAAATGCTGCTAACCAAAGACTGATTTTAAAACTCCTGTCCAGGATAAGAGCAGTCCCTCCTATTTTTGTATATCTGTGATTCACTCCCCAACCCACTGCAATCTGGTTTGTGCTTCTGCTACTCTGTTTCTTTTTGAAGTGGAGAAGTTCAGTGTGAATCAACCCTTTTTATTTATGTCAAGACCTAGAGAACTCCATTTAGAGATGTGTTTATGGTAAACCTGGCATTTGCAGTAATTACAGTTTTTCTGCCACCTGAGTAAGACTATGCCCTTCGGGAGCCTGAATTTCTAGTGGAAAATACACATGAAATAGATTTTATTTAGATTGGGTGTGTGAAAGGAAAATATCTTGGGCCCCCAAAATCACTAAGCTAAAGGGAAAAGTCAAGCTGGGAACTGCTTAGGGCAAACTTGCCTCCCATTCTATTCAAAGTCACCCCTCTGCTCACTGAGATAAATGCATATCTGATTGCCTCCTTTGGAAAGACTAACAGAAACTTAAAAGAATGCAACAATTTGTCTCTTATCTACCTATGACCTGGAAGCCTTCTCCCTGCTTTGAGTTGTCCCACCTTTCCAAACGGAACCAAAGTTCATCTTACATATGTTGATTGATGTTTCATGTCTCCCTAAAATGTGTAAAACCAAACTGTGGTCTGATCACCTTGGGCACATGTCATCAGGATCTCCTGAGGCTGTGTCACAGGTGCATCCTCAACCTTGGCAAAATAAACTTTCTAAATTAACTGAGACCTGTCTCAGATTTTCGGGGTTCACAGGTATGAGGTAGTGACAACAGCCAAATAATTCTTTTCAGGGGTTGCTGAGCTTACCTTATAGTTTTTCAATCAAAAATTATATCTTGTTTCCAATGTATAAAATACAGTGGTTGGACCTAAGGTTTAGTTGTAGGTGAGACCCACAGGGCCCATTGTTTGTGGAATTTTCATTCTTCTTCTTTTTTTTTCTTTTTAAGTAGGGTCTCAATCTGTTACCCAGGCTGGAGTGCAGTAGTGCAATCACAGCTCACTGTTGCCTCTGCTTCCTGGGCTCAAGTGATCCTCTCCCCTTGTTACAGTAGGTGGCTAGCCAGGCATGTGCAAGGCAGGAGAGGGCTTCTCCCGCACCTCACCAGGAATGTCAGGTGACCATCGGGTGATGGTCAGGCAGTTGTCACGCTGCCTCTCTAATATAATAATTGGTTGCAAACAGCACCAGGGAAAGGCAGTTTCCCAGTAGATAAAAACACCTGAAACTGGTGGCAGCGTCTCAATAAGATCTCAGGAATTGGGTGAGTGGGCTCCAGCATGTGCATTAAAGGGCAAAATGGCAGAGTTTAGCTGGTATATGACCTTCCAGGGGCATTCCACCAGAATGGGAAGAACGCCTCAAGTGAGCATGTGTACAACTCCAGTAAACACACTCTGCATGCTCCCCTCCCAGGCACTAGCAGGCCATTGCACATGCGGACAACCCACCCCAAGGGAAGAATCAGGGCAGAAGGGATGCAAGACCCCAGAAGCATGCCAGCATATAAAATGCTAAGTCAGAAGGTCAAACTTCACACTTGTTTTCAAGTTGCCTGCTTGGACCTGTTCCACATGTACTTTCCTTCCTTTGACTCCTGCTCTAAAACTTGCCTCCATCTCTTCTGCTTCATGCCCCTCAGTCAAATTCTTTCTTCTGAGGAGGCAAGAATTGAGGCTGCTGCAGACCCATATGGATTCACCACCGGTAACAACCTCAGCCTCTTCAGTAGCTGGGACCACAGGAGTGTTCCACAATGCCCAGCTATTTTGTTTGTTTGTTTGTTTTGTAGAGACGAGTTCTCACTATGTAGCCCAGGCTGGTCTTGAACTCTTGGGCTCAAGTGATCCTCTCACCTTGGCCTCCCAAAGTGCTGGGATTAGAGACATAAGCCACCACACCCAGCGAATTTTTATTCTTGAGGAGACAGACAGTATAAAATTGAACCATGAATTACATAATTAGTTGTTTAATTACGATTGCGGTAATTGAAAGTGATCTACTGGGTGCTAAGAAAACACCTAGTAGGGTGGCTTATGCCTATAATCCCAGCTCTTTGGGAGACCCAGGCAGAAGTATTGCTTGAGCCCAGAAGTTTGAAACCAGCTTGGGCAACATAGGCAGACTTTGTCTCTACAAACAAATTAAAAATTAGCTGGGCATGGTGTCACATGCCTCTAGTCCCAGCTACTGGGGAGGCTGAGGTGGGAGGATCACTTGAGCTCAGGAGGTTGAAGCTGCAGTGAGCTGTGATTGTGCCATTACACTTCAGCCTGGGCAACAGAGTAAGGCCCTGTCTAAAAGAAAAAAAAAAAGAAAACATCTAGTAGGGTGCCCAGATATGGTCTAGAGGGTAACAGAAAGTGTGGTGTGCAGCCTTTAAGATGGCCCTAAGTCTTCTATGCCTCTTGGTGTTCATGCCCTCATGTAATCCCCTCCTTTGAGTGTGGGCTGAACCTAGTGACTAACAAATGGAATATATCAAAAGTCATGGAATTGTACTTCTAATATTAGGTTATTAAAGGACTGTGGCTTCTGTCTCAGATGTCATCTCTCCCTAGCTTTTTCTGAGGGAAGTAAGCTACCATATTGTGAGCTGCCCTGTGAGAAGCCTTGTATGGCAAGGAACTGAGAGAGGCTTCTGGCCATCAGAGAGGAACTGAAGGTCTCAGTCCGATAGCCCATGAAAAGCTGAATCCTGCCATTAGCAACATGAGTGAGCTTGGAAGTGAATCTTTTCCCAGTTGAACCTCTAGATAAAACTGCAGACTTTGCTGACAACTTGACTAAAACCCCATGAGTTGAAAGGGAAGGAGGAATGTTCCAGGGAAAGACACTAAAGCCAGAGAGGCAAGGACAGGTTGGCCAGGGTGCACTTGGGAGAGTGGCATGACACAAAGCTGGTGAAATTAGAAAGTATTTTGGAAAGTTCAGGAACAGAGCAGGAAGAATATGCACAAGTAAGACAATGACAAAGCATTTTCCTAGTTTTCTTGATGCTGCTATAGAATTCTAGGGTGCTTACAGGGTGGTACAGCAGAGAGCACTACGATGGGAGCTAGAAGACCGGGGTCCCAGTGCTAATCCTGTAATCTGAAGCCATCACTTGGTCATTCTTGTTCTCAGTTTTCTCATCTATAAGATGGAATCTAAATCCTTTACAATTTCTCAGTCTAGAGTTATTAGTTATGTGAAACCTATATGGGGAAAACTATAAAACATTCCTGAAATAAGCAAAAGTAGATTTGAGCAGATAGAAAGTCATTCCACATTATTGGATAAGTTGACTCAATTTCATAAAGATAACAGTGCCCCATAAAGTAATTTATAAATTTAATGCAATCCAGTGTCTTTGTTTGTTTGTGCTTCTGTAGCAAAATACCTTAGACTGGGTAATTTACAAAGAACAGAATTTATTTTCCCATAGTTCTGGAGGCTGGGAGGCCCCAGATCAAGGCACCAGCATTGTCAATGTCTGACAAGGGCTGCTGTCTGCTTCCAAGATGTTGTCCTGCTGCTACCTCCTCTGGAGGGGATGAATGCTGTTTCCACACATGGCAGAAAGGCAAGAGAATGTTCCTTCAAACCTGAGCCATAAGGGAGCTAATCCCATTCGTGAGTGTGGAGCCCTCATGGCTTAATCACCTCCCAAAAGCCATATGTCTTAATAATGTCACATTTAGGATTACATTTCAACATGAAATTTGGAGAGTACACCATCCATAAGTCAAACCATAGCACCAAATAAAATCAACATCAGAGTTTTTACAGAACTAGATAAGTTGATTATAAAGTTAATATGGAAGAAAAGACAAATGAGAATAACCAGAAATACTCTTACTCTAAAAATAGAAATAGCTGAGAGAAGGGTTAACCCTAAGAGATATTATTAAAACATGTTCTAAAACCTCTATAATTAAAACTGTGGTTTGGGCATATAAACAGATAAATGCAGCAGGGTAAGAAATCCAGAAATAGACCTTAGAACATAAGGAAATTTAGTATGTGATCTCAAATCAGTGGGGCAATAGGCACTGTTTAATAAATGATGCTGGTACAACTATGGAAACGTAAGAAATTGGATTTATTTCCTTATATAATGAGTTAGACTTCACTGCAGTCTCAACAAAGTCCTCTGAAGACCCTATGGGAAGATCTGAGCCTGGGATGGTCCTTTATATTTGTCACGAGTTGGAGTTAGAAGGCTGGTTCTTTATACCCCACATCAATCAAATGTATTTGAAAGCTTAAGGTAATAATGAAAGCGTAAAAATAATATAAGAAAATATGGGTGAATTTCCTTATTAAGAGTGGAGAGCCTGGGCGTGGTGGCTCATGCCTGTAATCCCAGCACTTTGGAAGGCCAAGGTGGGCTGATCACTTGAGGTCAGCAGTTCAAGACCAGGCTGGCCAGCATGGTGAAACCCTGTCTCTACTAAAAATGCAAAAATTAGCTGGGCATGGTGGCGGGCACCTGTAATCCCAGCTACTTGGAAGGCTGAGGCAGGAGAATCACTTGAACCTGGAAGGTGGATGTTATGGTGAGCTGAGATCGCACCACTGCACTTCAGCCTGGGTGATAGAGCAAGGCTTTGTCTAAAAAAAAAAAAGGAGAAACACTTCCCTGAATATGACTCAAAATCTAGAAGCAAAAAGATTGATTAATTTGACTGCATAAAAAAAATTTCCATGGGACAAAGATAAATGTAGTAAAAAAAAATGACAATTAGGAAAAACACATTTGCAATATATTAATATATCATAAAGCGTTCATAATGTAATATATAAATGACTCCTAAAAATAGAGAAAAAAACAAATAACATAAATGGGCAAAATATATGAACAGCCAGTTTACAGAAAAAGAAAATGCCCTTAATCATTTAAATATATTATGAATATATCATGAGCAATCTTGCTCATAATAAGATAAATGCAAATTGTGTCTATTTTGAGACCCATTTACCACCTATAAAGTAGGCAAAAATCTGAAATGGCACAACCTGTTTTTCTGACACAACTGTGGGGAAGAATGCACTCATTTGTGACCAGTGTGTGCAAAATGATAAAACTTCTATGGAGGGGGATTTGGCAAGATCTAGCAAAATGACATTTGCATTGACCTTTTTCCATTATCCTGAGGAAACACTTGCAAAAATAAAATAAGTTATGCACAAGGTTATTCACTGCAGGATACTTTGTAATAACAAAAATTAGAAAGAATCTAAAAGACTCTTATTAGGGGGCTGATTAAATAAACAATGGGATATCTACATAATGAGGACTATGCAGTTATAAAAAGAAATGACAAAGGGCTGGGTGGGGTGGCTCATGCCTATAATCCCAGCACTTTGGGAGGCCGAGGTGGGCAGATCACCTGAGGTCAGGAGTTCGAGACCAGCCTGGCCAATATGGTGAAACCCCGTCTCTACTAAAAATACAAAAATTAGCCATGCATGGTCGTGGGCACCTGTAATCCCAGCTACTTGGGAGGCTGAGGCAGGAGAATTGCTTGAACCTGGGAGGCGGAGGTTGCAGTGAGCTGAGATCGTGCCACTGCTCTCCAGCCTGGGTGACAGAGTGAGACTTGGTCTCAAAAAAAAATTAAAAGCAAAACAAAACAAGGAGGATCTTTTTTTTTTTTTTTTTTGAGACGGAATCTTGCTCTGTTGTCCAGGCTGGAGTACAGTAGCACAATCTCAGCTCATCGCAACCTCCACCACCCAGGTTCAAGCAATTCTCCTACCTCAGCCTCCTGAGTAGCTGGGATTACAGGCGCACGCCACCATGCCAGCTAATTTTTGTATTTTTAGTAGAGATAGGGTTTCACCATATTGGTCAGGCTGGTCTCGAACTCCTGACCTTGTGATCCACCCGCCTCGGCCTCCCAAAGTGCTGGGATTACAGGCGTGAGCCACTGCGCCCAGCCGGAAGATCTCTTAATGGCATACTCTTCAGGCATGTTGTTAAGTAATGAAAACCAAGTGAACAGTGTTTATAGCATGCTAACTTTGATTAAGAAATGGGTAGAAATATAGTGTGAGTGTATATAAGTGTATATGTATTTATAGTTTAAAATTTTACATATATATATAAATTGAAAGATAAATGGATAATTAATAAAAATGGTTACCTACAGGGGAAAGGAGAGACCAGGGTAGGAAAGGTTAGGGATGGCAGCCAGATTTTGAAAGTATTAGGCTTTATATTTTTATTTATTAAATGTTCTTAATAATTAAAAAATTCACTTAAGCAAAATCTATTTTTATTTATTTAATTTTTTTTAACACAGAGTCTCACTTTATCACCCAGGCTACAGTGCAGTGGTGCAAACACAGCGCACTGCTGCCTCAGCCTCCTGGGCTCAAGGAGTTCTCCTGCCTCAGCCCCACAAATAGTTGGGACTACGGGCGCATGCCACCACACCTGGCTAATTTTTTTTTTTTTTTTCTATAGAGACAGAGTTTCACCGTGGTACCCAGGCTGGTCTCGATCTCCTGAGCTCAAGCAATCCACCTGCCTAGGCTCCCAAAGTGCTGGGATTGCAGGTATGAGCCACCATGCTCGGCCGTCTATTTTTATTTAAATAAAATTTTATTATTTACTTAATATTTATTTTTATTTTACTAAAAGGCATTTATTTTAATATCTTTAAAATTTTTAAAGAAAATTTAATCAAAAGAGAAAAAAGCCATCCCTAAATATTGAAGAATAAATGGACCTAACTATGTCAAGTTGGTGGCACATAGTTAATGCTGTAATGTACCACCCAGACATCCTTCAGGAATGAGGGACACAATCCACCGGATGCTAGAAGTGCTGTTGACAGAGAGAGCTCTGCTGTCAGTCCTTTTTGGGAGGCACTTTGACTGAAAAAGAGTGGCCTGACCAAGGTCTCACTCCCTCTCTGGGACAGCCTGCATTCAATCACTGGTCAATGCTGGGATGTAAAGGCACAGCTCTGTTGCCCCTACTTGGGATAACTCTGAAGGATCATCCCAGCGTCAGAGCTTCCCAGAGGGGCTGCAGAGGCCTTTGTTGAAACTACAGTACAGCCCAGCTTCTCCCTCTGCCCTGCTTCTGTCCCTTTCTTTTCACAAGTATTGGTCCCAAAAGCACTCTCTAATAAATTACATACTAAACTCCATCTCAGAATATGCTTCCAGAGGAGTCCAACTGCAACAGTTAGTGTCAGGAGTGGTTCAAGAAAGCAGTCACTATAATGGGATTTTGGTATTGGACCACCTGCTTCCAGGCTAGCAATGAGAATATCAACACTTGTGGTAGAAAGAAGCACAGACAGTCCTTGGCACAACTGAAGTGCAATTGTTCAAACTTCACTGCTGCTGAACTGTATCTTCTGGTGGATGGAAACACCCTAGTAGGTTCAGTGGATCAGATGTTTGAGATGTATGGGGGAAATATGAGTGGGCTGATGTTAAGCTTATTTGATATTTTGAAGAAATGTAATGAAAGGTTGAAAGTGATTAATTTGACAATTAAAAACTAAGCATGAAAGCCAAAGGGCCTCCTCATTAAGAAATAAAGAGGCTCTTATCTGCAACTGGAAAGCAGGAAAAGCTGAGGGCTAGGTCCAGGACTTAATTGTAAGAGTTGCAGGACCTCAAGGAAGATTAAATTCTTACTACTGGCAAGTTGGCTCTGCCTAGAACAGGGTGCTAGTTGGGAAAGAGTGGGATCTTGACACATGGGATGGGGACATCTATGTTCATGCACCCCCAAATCTTTAATTCCCAAATTTCCCTGAACCCTCTGAGCCTAGAGAAGTGGCCCTCTCCTCCCTAGGGCTAGTGCTCCTTCCTTGCTTGAAGTTGAAAAGGCCTCCCCACCGCGGGACATGAGCCCTTTCAAGATCAGCCCCACTTTCCTGCCTTGCCACTAAGGCAATAACCAGATTAAGTTACAACATAACCCTGCTAGGGACATGCTTGACCCATAATGGAGGAAAAGGACTGCATTAGTTTGTAGGGCAGCTGTGCTAAGTGGCTTTAACAACTGAAATCTATTTTCTTGCAGTTCTGGAGGCTAGAAGTCTGAGATCAAAGTGTCAGCATCATCAGACCATCACTGTTACATAAGTACTTTCCCTTCTCTCACACCTGTGGTTGCGTGGGCTTGCCTTATGACCAACTGAAAGAGTGGGAAAAAGCTTGAGCTTGGTTCATGACTGGGTTGGATCAGGACACTGGTGCAAGCCATAAAATGGACAGTAGCTGCACTGCAGAGGTGAGAGGAAATTCTCCAAATGGGCAAGAACATTGGGAAACCTACGTTTGTGTGGAAAGAAAAATGGTTCAAGGTTAGAATTTACATAGACACACAAACTGCAATGAATGGCTTGGCTGGAAGGTGAAATATTTGGGGACAGGGGAAAAGGAGACCTGAGGTAGAGGCATGTGAATGGATGTATAAGAATGGACACAGATATCGGGCGCGGTGATTGACACCTGTAAGCCCAGCACTTTGGGAGGCTGAGGTGGGTGGATCACCTGAGGTCAGGAGTTCGAGACCAGCCTGGCCAACACGGTGAAACCCTGTCTCTTCTAAAAATACAAAAAAATTAGCCAGGTGTGGTGGCAGGCGCCTGTAGTCCCAGCTACTCGGGAGGCTGAGGCAGGAGAATGGTGTGAACCCGGGAGGTGGAGCTTGCAGTGACCCGAGATCGTGTCACTGCACTCCAGCCTGGGCGACAGAGCAAGACTCCGTCTCAAAAAAAAAAAAAATTAGCTGGGTATAGTGGAGTGGTATGCGCCTGTAACCCCAGCTACTTGGGAGGCTGAGGCATGAGAATCGCTTGAACCCAGGAGGTGGAGGTTGCAGGTAGCCAAGATCATGCTACTGTACTCTAGCCTGGACAACAGAATGAGACTTCATCTCAAAAAAATGAAATAAGAAGAATGGACACAGAGGGGCATGGTGGTTCATGCTTGTAATCCCAGTGCTTTGGGAGTCCAGGTTGGGAGGATCACTTGAGGCCAGGAATTCCAGACAAGCCTGGGCAGCATAGCAAGATCCTGTCTGTAAAAGAAATAAAAAAATTAGCCAGGCATGGTGGTGGTGCATGTCTATTGTCCTAATGACTTCAGGAGGCTGAAGTGGGAAGATCACATGAGCCCAGAAGTTCAAGGTTATAGTGAGCTGTGATTGCACCACTGCATTTCAGCCTCGGCAAGAAAGTGAGACCCTATCTCAAAAAAAAAAAAAAAAAAAAAAGAGGACACAGAATGACAGCCAGCAGACTGCCAGCAAGCCAGCAGACTGCCAGCAATAAAGATCAGTGCAGAGCCCCTGACATCATGGCACTTACCCCCTACCTTCCTCCTTCCTCCTTCTCCTTCTTCCTTGGCTTCTATGTTGCCACATTCACCTAAAGCTGTTTATTCTCTAATGATTTTTCCCTATCTTCCTTTGCCTTCTCCCTAAATGTAGTTGTTCCCCAAGGCTCTGCCTTTAGCCCTCTTTTCTTCTCCTTATAAACACTCACCTTGGGTGGCTTTGGAGCCCATCCTCTTTGAAGGTTTTAGCTACCCCCTATATGATGATACTCTGAAATCTATTTTTATATCTCAGTCATATCTGCTGAACTTTGAATTCAAATATATGTTGGCTGGAGGTACATTGATACTTCTACCTCTAGTTGTCTAAGCCTGCATTCATCATCCTGATTTTAACCCTGATCTTCAAAATCTTCTAATTAGAAAATCATAGGCTACCTAGTCACCCAAGATAGAAGCCAGAGAGCCACTCTTGGCTTCTCTCTGTGCCTGCTGTCTCATCCCCCTCCAAGATCATGTTGCTGTCTGATCTTTTCCAATCCAGGTAACCACATCTCTTGCCTCTGCCCCAACCATACACTTTTCTGCTATTTCAAACACTTACGTGTTCACCAGTGTACTTTGTAACTTATTTTGTGCCTTCATGCCCTTTTATGTTTCTTTTGAATGCCATTACCACTCCTTTGCCTGTTGAATTTCTAGTTATCTTTGATTTTTAATTTTCACTCTATCTTATATTATTATTGTGAGCTTCGAATCATAAAATGATGATTTTTAAGTCACTAACAAAAATTAAAATTTTTAATTTAATTCTAATTTTTAAATTTTTATTTATTTATTTATTATACTCTAAGTTCTAGGGTACATGTGCACAATGTGCAGGTTTGTTACATAGGCATGTGCCATGTTGGTTTGCTGCACCCATTAACTTGTCATTTACATTAGGTATTTCTCCTAATGCTATCCCTCCCCCATCTCCCGACCTCACGACAGGCCCCGGTGTGTGGTGTACCCTGCCCTGTGTCCAGGTGTTCTTATTGTTCAATTCCTAACTATGAGTGAGAACATGTCATGTTTGGTTTTCTGTCCTTGTGATAGTTTGCTGAGAATGATGGTTTCCAGCTTCATCCGTGTCCCTATAAAGGATATGAACTCATCCTTTTTTATGGCTGCATAGTATTCCATGGTATATATGTGCCACATTTTCTTAATCCAGTCTATCATTGGTGGACATTTGGGTTGGTTCCAAGTCTTTACTATTGTGAATAGTGCCGCAGTAAACATACGTATACATGTGTCTTTATAGTAGCATGATTTATACTCCTTTGGGTGTATACCCAGTAATGGGATCCCTGGGTCAAATGGTATTTCTAGTTCTAGATCCTTGAGGAATTGCCACACTGTCTTCCACAATGGTTGAACTAGTTTATACTCCCACCAACAGTGTAAAAGTGTTCCAATTTCTCCACACCCTCTCCAGCATCTGTTGTTTCCTGACTTTTTAATGATTGCCATTCTAACTGGTGTGAGATGGTATCTCATTGTGGGTTTGATTTGCATTTCTCTGATGGCCAGTGATGATGAGCATTTTTTCATGTGTCTGCTGGCTGCAGAAATGTCTTCTTTTGAAAAGTGTCTGCTCATATCCTTTGCCCACTTTTTGATGGGGTTGCTTTTTTCTTGTAAATTTGTATAAGTTCTTTGTAGATTCTGGATATTAGCCCTTTGTCAGATGGGTAGATTGCAAAAATTTTCTCCCATCCTGTAGGTTGCCTGTTCACTCTGATGGTAGTTTCTTTTGCTGTGCAGAAGCTCTTTAGTTTAATTAGATCCTATTTGTCTATTTTGGCTTTTGTTGCCATTGCTTTTGGTGTTTTAGTCATGAAGTCCTTACCCATGCCTATGTCCTGAATGGTATTGCCTAGGTTTTCTTCTTGGGTTTTTGTGGTTTTAGGTCTAACATTTAAGTCTTAAATCCATCTTGAATTAATTTTTGTATAAGGTGTAAGGAAGGGATCCAGTTTCAGGTTTCTACATATGGCTAGCCAGTTTTCCCAGCACCATTTATTAAATAGGGACTCCTTTCCCCATTTCTTGTTTTTGTCAGGTTGTCCAAAGATCAGATGGTTGTAGATATGTGGCATTATTTCTGATGCCTCTGTTCTGTTCCATTGGTCTATATCTCTGTTTTGGTACCAGTCCCATGCTGTTTTGGTTACTGTAGCCTTGTAGAATAGTTTGAAGTCAGGTAGCATGATGCCTCCAGCTTTGTTCTTTTGGCTTAGGACTGTCTTGGCAATGCAAGCTCTTTTTTGATTCCATATGAACTTTAAAGTAGTTTTTTCCAATTCTGTGAAGAAAGTCATTGGTAACTTGATGGGGATGGCATTGAGTCTATAAATTACCTTGGGCAGTATGGCCATTTTCACAATATTGATTCTTCCTACCCATGAGCATGGAATGTTCTTCCATTTGTTTGTGTCCTCTTTTATTTTGTTGAGCAGTGGTTTGTAGTTCTCCTTGAAGAGGTCCTTCACATTCCTTGTAAGTTAGATTCCTAGGCATTTTATTCTCTTTGTAGCAATTGTGAATGGGAAGTCACACGTGATTTGGCTCTCTGTTTCTCTGTTATTGGTGTATAGGAATGCTTGTGATTTTTACACATTGATTTTGTATCCTGAGACTTTGCTGAAGTTGCTTATCAGCTTAAGGAGATTTTGGGCTGAGATGATGCGGTTTTCTAAATATACAATCATGTCATCTGCAAACAGGGACAATTTGACTTCCTCTTTTCCTAATTGAATACCCTTTATTTCTTTCTCTTGCCTGATTGCCCTGGTCAGAACTTCCAACACTATGTGGAATAGGAGGGGTGAGAGAGGGCGTCCCTGTCTTATGCCAGTTTTCAAAGGGAATGCTTCCAGTTTTTGCCCATTCAGTATGATATTGGCTGTGCGTTTGTCATAAATAGCTCTTATTATTTTGAGATACATCCCATCAATACCTAATTTATTGAGAGTTTTTAGCATGAAGGGTTGTTGAATTTTGTCAGGCCTTTTCTGCATCTATTGAGATAATCATGTGGTTTTTGTCTTTGGTTCTGTTTATGTGATGGATTACATTTATTGATTTGTGTATGTGGAACCAGCCTTGCATCCCAGGGTTGAAGCCAACTTGATCTTGGTGGATAAGGTTTTTGATGTGCTGCTGGATTCAGTTTGCCAGTATTTTATTGAGGATTTTTGCTTTGATGTTCATCAGGGATATTGGTCTAAAATTCTCTTTTTTTGTTGTATCTCTGCCAGACTTTGGTATCAAGATGATGCTGGCCTCATAAAATGAGTTAGGGAGGATTCTCTCTTTTTCTATTGATTGGAATAGTTTCAGAAGGAATTGTACCAGTTCCTCTTTGTACCTCTGGTAGAATTCAGCTGTGAATCCATGTGGTCCTGGACTTTTTTTGGTTGGTAGGCTATTAATTATTGCCACAATTTCAGATCCTGTTATTGTTCTATTCAGTGATTCAACTTCCTCCTGGTTTAGTGTAGGGAGGGTGTATGTGTCCAGGAATTTATCCATTTCTTCTAGATTTTCTAGTTTATTTGTGTAGAGGTGTTTATAGTATTCTCTGATGGTAGTTTGTATTTCTGTGGGATCGGTGGTGATATCCTTTTTATCATTTTTTATTGCATCTATTTGATTGTTCTTTCTTTTCTTCTTTATTAGTCTTGCTATCACTCTATCAATTTTGTTGATCTTTAAAAAAAAAACAGCTCCTGGATTCATTGATTTTTTTGAAGGGTTTTTTGTGTCTCTATCTTCTTCAGTTCTGCTCTGACCTTAGTTATTTCTTGCCTTCTGCTAGCTTTGGAATCTGTTTGCTCTTGCTTCTCTAGTTCTTTTAATTTTGATGTTAGGGTGTTGATTTCAGATCATTCCTGCTTTCTCTTGTGGGCATTTATTGCTATAAATTTCCCTTTACACACTGCTTTAAATGTGTCCTGGAGATTCTGGTACATTGTGTCTTTGTTCTCATTGGTTTCAAAGAACATCTTTATTTCTGCCTTCATTTCGTTATTTACCCAGTAGTCATTCAGGAGCAGATTGTTCAGTTTCCATGTAGTTGTGTGGTTTTGAGTGACTCTTAATCCTGCATTCTAATTTAATTGCGCTGTGGTCTGAGAGACAGTTTGTTGTGATTTGTGTTCTTTTACATTTGCTGAGGAGTGCTTTACTTCCAACTATGTGGTCAATTTTGGAATAAGTACAATGTGGTGCTGAGAAGAATGTATATTCTGTTGATTTGGGGTGGAGAGTTCTGTAGATGTCTATTAGGTCTGATTGGTGCAGAGCTGAGTTCAAGTCCTGGATATCCTTGTGTCTAACCTCCTGTCATGTTGATCTGTCTAATATTGACAGTGGGGTGTTAATGTCTCCCATTATTATTGTGTGGGAATCTAAGTCTCTTTGTAGGTCTCTAAAGACTTGCTTTATGAATCTGGGTGCTCCTGTATTGGGTGCAGATATATATGTATAGAATAGTTAGCTCTTCTTGTTGAATTGATCCCTTTACCATTATGTAATGGCCTTGTCTCTTTTGATCTTTATTGGTTTTAAGTCTATTTTATCGGAGACTAGGATTGCAACTCCTGCTTTTTTTTTTTCTTTCCATTTTCTTGGTAAATTTTCCTCCATCCCTTTATTTTGAGCCTATATGTGTGTCTGTACTTGAGATGGGTCTCCTGAGTACAGCACACTGATGGGTCTTGACTCTTTATCCAATTTGCTAGTCTGTGTCTTTTAATTGGGGCATTTAGCCCATTTACATTTAAGGTTAATATTGTTATGTGTGAATTTGATCCTGTCATTATGACGTTAGCTGGTTATTTTGCCCGTTAGTTGATGCAGTGTCTTCCTAGCATCGATGGTCTTTACCATTTTGCGTATTTTTGCAGTAGCTGATACCGGTTGTTCCTTTCCATGTTTAGTGCTTCCTTCAGGAGCTCTTGTAAGGCAGGCCTGGTGGTGACAAAATCTCTCAGCATTTGCTTGTCTGTAAAGGATTTTATTTCTCCTTCACTTATGAAGCTTAGTTTGGCTGGATGTGAAATTCTGGGTTGAACATTCTTTTCTTTAAGAATGTTGAATATTGGCCCCCACTCTCTTCTGGCTTATAGAGTTTCTGCTGAGAGAGCCGCTGTTAGCCTGATGGGCTTCCCTTTGTGGGTAACCCAACCTTTCTCTCTGGCTGCCCTTAACATTTTTTCCTTCATTTCAACCTTGGTGAATCTGACAATTATGTGTCTTGGGGTTGCCCTTCTCGAGGAGTACCTTTGTGGTGTTCTCTGAATTTCCTGAATTTGAATGTTGGCCTGCCTTGCTAGGTTGGTGAAGTTCTCCTGGATAATATCCTGAAGAATGTTTTCTAGCTTGGTTCCATTCTCCTGTCACTTTCAGGTACACCAATCAAATGTAGATTTGGTCTTTTCACATAGTCCCATATTTCTTGGAGGCTTTGTTCATTGTTTTTACTCTTTTTTCTCTAAACTTCTCTTCTTGCTTCATTTCATTAATTTGATCTTCAATTGCTGAAACCCTTTCTTCCACTTGATCGAATTGGCTACTGAAGCTTATGCATGCATCACATAGTTCTCCTGCCATGGTTTTCAGCTCTATCAGGTCATTTAAGATCTTCTCTACACTGTTTATTCTAGTTAGCCATTCATCTAATCTTTTTTCAAGGTTTTTAGCTTCCTTGTTGTGGGTTTGAACATGCTCCTTTAGCTTAGAGAAGTTTATTATTACCGACCTTCTGAAGCCTAGTTCTGTCAACTCATCAAAGTCATCCTCTATTTGAATAGAAAAAACTATTCTTAAATTCATATGAAACCAAAAAAGAGCCCTAATAGCAAAAGCAATCCTAAGCAAAAAGAACAAAGCTGGATGCATCACATTACTCAACTTCAAACTATACTACAAGGCTACAGTAACCGAAACAGCATGGTATTGGTCAAAAACAGACCCATAGACCAATGGAACAGAATAGAGAACCCAGAAATAAAGCCACACACCTACAACCACCTGATCTTTGACAAAATCAGCAAAAACAAACAATGAGAAAAGGGCTCCCTATTCAGTAAATGGTACTGGGATAACTGGCTAGCCCTAAGCAGATGATTGAATCTGGAATCCTATGTTTCACCATAGACAAAAATTTACTCAAGATGGATTAAAGGCTTAAATGTGAGACCTAAAACTATAAAAATCCTAGAAGAAAGGAAATGTCATTCTGGACACTGGCCTTGGCAAATAATTTATGACTAAGTCCTCAAAAGCAATTGTAACAAGAACAAAAATTGACATGTGGGACCTATCAGGGGAACCACCCCCAATATTTCACGTCGGTTCTTTTCTGTTTCCCTAAGTATCAGCCAGTCTGAGAAATACAGGGAAAGAGTACAAAAGAGAGAAATTTTAAAGCTGGGTGTCCGGGGGAGACATCACATGTTGGCAGTTTCCTTCATGCCCCCTGAGCCATAAAACCAGCAAGTTTTTATTACTGATTTTCAAAGGGGAGGGAGTGTACGAATAGGGTGTGGGTCACAGAGATCACATGCTTCACAAGGCAATAAAATATCACAAGGCAAATGGGGGCAGAGTACCAGGGTGAAATTAAAATTGGTAATGAAGTTTTGGGCATGCATTGTCATGGATAACATCTTATCAGGAGACAGGGTTTAAGAGCAGATAACCGGTCTGGCTAAAATTTACTGGGTGGGAATTTCCTTGTCCTAATAGGCCTGGGAGTGCTATGGAAGACTGGGGCTTATACGCTGTTGGTGGGAATGTCAACTAGTTCAGCCAGTGTGGAAAGAAGTTGGAGACTTCTCAAAGGACCTAAAACAGAACTGCCATTCAACCCAGCAATCCTACTACTGGGTATATACCCAAAGGATCATAAAACATTCTGCCAAAAAGACACACACACTCATATGCTTATCGCAGCACTAGTCACAATAGCAGAGACATGGAATCAACATAGGTGCCCATCATTGATGGATTGGATGAAGAAAATATAGTACATATACACCACGGAATACTATGGCACCATAAGAAAGAGTGATATCATGTCCTTTGCAGCAACGTGGATGCGGTCCAAGCCAATATCCTAAGTGAATTAACACAGGAACAGAAAACCAAATACTGCATGTTCTCACTTATAAGGGGGAGCTGAACATTGAATACACATGGACATAAAGATGGCAACAATAAACACTGGGGAATACTAGAGGAGGGAAGGAGGGATGGGAGCAAGGGCTGAAAAACTACCTATTGGGTACTGTGTTCACTACCTGGGTGACAGGATCACTCATACACCAAGCCTCAGCATCATGTTATATACCCACCTAACAAACCTGCACATGTACTCCTGAATCTAAAATAAAAATTAAAATATACTTAAAAAAGAAAGCATTTAAAATACCATACATTGCTTAGGAATACACATTAACGTGACAAAATTATAATAGCATGATTGAAGAATATACACATGATATAAGGATGATAGTGATTTTGTTAACATAGGTAGGAAGGGCCAGAGAACTGAAAATGACAATAAAATTTCTCAATTTTACCAGTAATATTTCATTCATATTATTAAAATGATTTGAAAAATATTACAACTAATAAATGTCTTTTAAATTCAGATGTTCAGTTATATTAGAATCTGTTGTTTTCTGTGTAATTGAAAAATTTCCTAATAAAAATAATACAAGAGAAGTAGACAATTCATTGGACATCTAGAACTCCCTCCTTAAATTCCATGGTTATGGAAAACCAAATACTGCAGGTTCGCACTTGTAAGTGGGAGCTAAGCTGTGGGTACACAAAGGCATACAAAATGGTATAATGGACATTGGAGACCCTGAAGGGGGAAGAGTGGGTAGGAGGTGAGGGATGCAAAACTGTGTATTGGGTACAATGTACACTATTCAAGTGACAAGTATCCTAAAATTCCAGATTCACCACTATACAATTCATCCATGTAACCAAAAACCACACATACCTCTAAAGCTATTGAAATAATAATAATAATAATAATAATAATAATAATAATAATAAACTTCTTAAGTTTCATGGTTAAAAGTCAAGAAAACACTACCTTCCATCTGGTTTATAAAAATTGAAATTCTGGCCAGGCACAGTGATTCACGCTTGTAATCCCAGCACTTTGGGAGACTGAGGCGGGTGGATCATCTGAGGTCAGGAATTTGAGACCAACTGACCAATATGGTGAAACCCTGTCTCTACTAAAACTACAAAAGTTAGCTTGGTGTCCGTGGCATGCACCTGTAGTCCCAGCTACTTGGGAGGCTGAGGCAGGAGAATTGCTTGAACCCGGGAGGCGGAGGTTGCAGTGAGCCAAGATCATGCCACTGCACTCCAGCCTGGGTGACAGAGTGAGACTCTGTCTCAAAAAGAAAAAAAAAATTGAAATCCTACGTATTGAGCACCTAGTCTACACTTGGCCCTTGAAATTATTGTCTGCTATACATAGCTACCTCTGAGAAATAGTGCCTTAGACAGTGCTATTTCCCTGGGATACTCCTCCTTTCCCGCTCCAACCATAACTTATTTGCCAATGGGCAGAAATCTAACCCAGTGGCAGCCCTTTTCTAGCCAGCAACCTATGGCATAGATGCCTTCACTCAAAGCAGATAAGTTAAACCAGCCAGATTGCTCTTCCAGTAATTTGGTATTAAAAATAAAAGTTACTGATGGGCAGTGGACTGTGAGGTTTTATAGATGTGGGGGCTAAGGAAATTTATGCCTAGCAGACCAGTAATCAGAAGAAATCAATGAGCAAAGAAAAAGCTAGAGAACAGAGTCCTTCTGAGGACTGGGTGCACTTAACCTCTTATTTTGGAATTCTGTGACATCTCTTTATATCCATATAATTGGTCCTACTTCACTCTCTCTTTATTTGAACTGCATTTGGTAGTTCTATTTTCTTGGATATGTTTTTATTCTATGTTGTCCACATCCTTTAGATAGAAGAAAGTATATCATTACATAGGTGAAAATGAGATGTTGATGGTTGATGGTCTCACAACTAATGAGCATTGAAGCCATGATTTAATCTGGCTTTAAAGCTGTGTTCTGGATTAAATGCAAGTGGTTATGCATTTGCCAGCATGAATATGCATGCATATTTATCCATGTCTATAACCAGTGCTTGTTTTCCATCTGGATGAATAGGGAGATAGATGGATAGAGAGATAGAAAGAATAACAAAGAATAACATAACAAAATAGAATAGTGCTACAAATGGGGAAATTAACAAGAAATTCTTTTTTTTTTTGAGGTGGAGTCTTGCTGTTGTCACCTGGGCTGAAGTGCAATGGCATGATCTCAGCTCACTGCAACCTCTCAGGTTCCAGCTATTCTCCTGCCTCAGCCTCCCAAGTAGCTGAGATTACAGGCACTTGCCACCATGCCTGGCTAATTTTTGTATTTTTAGTAGAGATGGAGTTTCACCATTGTTGGCCAGGCTGGTGTCAAGCTCCTGACCTCTGTTGATCCACCCCCCCGGCCCCCCATCCCTTGGCCTCCCAAAGTACTGGGATTACAGGTGTGAGCCACCATGACCGGCCAAGAAATTCATATTTTTAACGTTAAAATATAAGAACAGAACCACAAAGCCAGGGCTGTCACTATCATGTTGTATTGTCTTGCCTGGGTTGGATTAGGGTGAACGTGGTTTCACACAGATGAACAAGGAGAAGAGTGATGCTGCCTGGTGAAATAATCACTGATTCCCCAGAAAACCTGAGAGAAAGAGCTCAGGTGGGTAATGCCCTGTTTAACCCTCATGTTCCAGGCCCTGACTCATTTGCCACTTCTTAACTTTCACTAGAAGCACATGTTAAACACTCAGATATAGTGGTAATGATTTTTTATTCATGTTTTAGTAAAAGCATTGCTTCTCACTGTTTATGTTTTTGAAATGAAGCAGCATCAGTTCTCAGAAACACAGCCTTCTGATTGTCAGCATCATCTTCCCTGTGTCAAAGTGTGAAAGGAAAATATCTTGGGCCCCCAAAATCACTAAGCTAAAGGGAAAAGTCAAGCTGGGAACTGCTTAGGGCAAATCTGCCTCCCATTCTATTCAAAGTCACCCCTCTGCTCACTGAGATAAATGCATATCTCATTGCCTCCTTTGGAGAGATTAATCAGAAACTCAAAAGAATGCAACAATTTGTCTCTTACCTACCTATGACCTGGAAGCTCCCTCCCCACTTTGAGTTGTCCCACCTTTCCAGACGGAACCAATGTTCATCTTACATATGTTGATTAATGTCTCATGTCTCCCTAAAATGTATAAAACCAAACTGTGCTCTGACCACTGTTAGATATGAATTCTAAATTTATTTTCAAAGAATTAATATGTCAGTATGTTCAATTCTTTGCCTTCTACTTTTAAACTTCCTTTTAAACTTTCTACTTTTAAACTTCACTTCCTTGTAAAGCAACTTTTTTCGACTACCTACTCCACCCTAACTCATTCTGATCATCTGCTCCACCCTAACTCATTCCAATCAGCTGCTCCACACTAACTCATTCTGATTACCTGCTACCTGCTCGACCCTGACTTCTGCCAAAGCACTCACCCCATCATTCTCTTTAAATTAGCCAATCAGTATTAGTTTAGCCCATGCAGTCTAATCCTCGCCAATAGGGGAATAACACAGCAGCAGGGGCCATGTGCGTCAAGGATAAGAACTCCTTCCCCTCCCTTGTCCAAGTGTGCGCTCACCATTGCTCCATCTGTAAGGGTGCACACTTCATTTTTGTTTTGTTTTGTTTTTTGAGACGGAGTCTCTCTCTGTCGCCCAGGCTGGAGTGCAGTGGCGTGATCTCAGCTCACTGCAAGCTCTGTCTTCCGGGTTCTTGCCATTCTCCTGCCTCAGCCTCCCAAGTAGCTGGGACTACAAGGCACCCACCACCAAGCCTGGCTAATTTTTTTGTATTTTTAGTAGAGACGGGGTTTCACCGTGTTAGCCAGGATGGTCTCGATCTCCTGACCTCGTGATCCACCCATCTTGGCCTCCCAAAGTGCTGGGATTACAGGCGTGAGCCACCAGGGCACATCTTTCTACAGAAGTACCTGGCCTTGCTGAGAGTTAAAAATAAAATTTTATATTTGAGTGCTATTTCTTTTGCAGCACTGAAACTTTATATGTAACAATTTGGGGGCTCGCCTGTGATTACATTTCCCTCTGGGGACGGTCTCTGGTTCACTCTCGTGAGGAGGTGTGCCCCGCCCCCTTCTGGCGGCCTCAGGGGTGAGAAATCAAGACCCACCCAGTGCGAGGAATAACCTGAGCTCTCAGCAACACAGAAAAAACCAAACCAAAACAAAAAACTGGCCAGCAACCTAGCTTAAAGGATCCTCACATACTGCAGCAATGACTCTGGGCATGGACCAAGGAAGGAGAAGCCGTGGGAGCCAGTAAAGTATTTCCCTGGTGGTCAGGACCAAGGTAAGAAAGCCGTGGGGGGTGGGGCAGTGAAGTACTCCTTGGTTGGGGTGGCTTAGAGGTTAAAAAGAGGTGAGACATCCCCACTGGGGGGGATTGAACCTCACACAAACCTCCATAGTAGAAAAGGTGAGAAATTTCCCATGGAGGAAATTGAGCCTCACCCCAAAAGGCAAGAAATTTCCAGTGGGGAAATTGAGCCCCACCCCAAAAGGCAAAAATCCCAGTGGGGAAATTGAGGCTTACCCCAAAAGGTGAGAAATTTCCAGTAGGGGAAATTGAACCTTGAACCTTACCCCAAAACCATCAAGATGGGAAATACCCCAAGCAAGACAGGGAGTAAGGGGGATAAAGATGGTAACGAAGATATTCCACTGTATAGCCCCCTAGGTCTCATGCGAAAACACTGGAAAGATAATGAGAGGACTAAACATAGGAAAAAGCAACAAATGTTAAAATATTGCTGTTTTATTTGGACTCAGGGACCCATCCTCAATACCTCAATCTTCTGGCCAAAGTTTGGGTAGAATGAGTATGTAATGTGTCAGTTTCTAATCTGATATGTTAATGATAAAAGTCCAGTATCTCAAGAAGAACTAGGCTATGCCCTTTGTTGGAGGCAAGGACCTGCCCTCCTTTTTCCCTTAAAAACAAATAGGGAAGAACCAAATCTGGCACCTCAAAATGAAAAGTCAGAGGAGCCAGCTCTCATGCCTAAAGATTCCAGCACGTGGGATCCCCTAGAGTATCTTCCCCCACTCAGTGTCCCCGATCTTTCCCCTCAAACAGCCACTGCTGCCTCAGATCCCATTCCAAATTCCCCCTCTACTCACATTATCCCTCCTCCTTATAACCCTGACTCTTGGGAATTACTGTGCCACCAGCCTGTTCCCTCCCAACCTAAAGACCCCTCTCTAAAAGGACTCCAGCATGAGGTAGAACAATGTAAAAAAGATATTTAGAATTTCCCAGTTCCTTCTGTACCTAAGAGGTCAGCCCCGACCCTCTTCCCTTTGAAAGAGGTACCACAAGGGAGGTCGGGGGGGGGGGGGGCGGGGGGCAGGCATTGGCTTTGTAAGTCTGAAATTTTAAAAAGGAGCTTAAACTGCCACTAGATGACCCTTATGGAGTGGCAGACCAAATTGACCAATTCTTAGGACCTCAGTTATACACTTGGGTCGAGTTACTGTCCATCTTGGGCATCCTCTTTTCAGAGGAAGAAAGGAGTATGATTTGTAGGGCTGCTATGGTAGTTCAGGAATGTGAGCACCCTCCTGATGAAAACATTCCTACCACAGGCCAGAAATTCTCCACCCGAGACCCCCAGTGGGACAATAACAACGCAGATCACCGGGAAAATATGCAGAATGTAAGGGAGATAATAATAAAAGGAATTTGGGAATAAGTACCCTGAACTCGAAATCTTTCTAAAGCACTTGATATACAACAGGAAAAGGACGAAGGGCCTATGAGATTCCTAGACAGACTGAGGGAGCAAATGAGGCAATGTGCAGGCCTCAATTTGGATGATCCCCTTGGGCAAGGAATGTTGAAACTCCAATTTGTCACTAAAAGTTGGCCAGATATTTCAAAAAAGTTACAAAAATAGACAATTGGGAAGACCGTCCTCTAAGTGAGCTTCTCAGGGAAGCTCAGAAAGTATACATGAAAAGGGATGAAGAAAAAGAGAAAAAAAAAGACAAAACTTATGTTTTCCACCTTCCAACAGATGGCTCCAAACCCAGGTACGTCTAGACAGAGCTTCCAGGGAGCCAGAAACTATAAAGGGTCCGAACCCTCTTTTAAATGACCCCAGCCTCTATCTGGAGGACCAAGGTCCTCATCTACCAGGCCCCCTAAAGAGTATGGGGGAGCAGGGTTAAAGAATCCCAGAACTAAGAGGGAGGAAGGACAAGATAGGTGCTATAGATGTGGAAAAACAGGCCACTTCAAGAGAGGATGTCCTGAACTAAGAAAGGAGAAAGAAGCCCTTCCACTCATGACTTTAGAGGAAGAGTAGGGGGGTCAGGGGCTCTGTCTTTTTTATATTGAGTCCCAGCAGGAGCCCTTGATAAATTTGGAGGTGGGCCCTAAACATGAGCTTATCACCTTTTTAGTCGATTCAGGCGCTGCTTGCTCCTCTGTTTGTTCCCCCCAACCCCCCGTCTAATGTTGTCTCCTCCTCAGAGGAACTTTTAGTTTCCGAGGTAAAAGGGGAAGGAGAGGGGAGAACAGCATAAGCAGCTGGCACAGGCAGGGAAAGACCAGCAGAAAGGGGAGAGAGAGAGAGACAGAGAGGAAAGAGGCAGAAAGAGAGAGAGAGACAGAGAGGAAAGAGGCAGAAAGAGAGAGAGGAAAGAGGCAGAAAGAGAGAGAGGAAAGAGGCAGAAAGAGAGAGAGGAAAGAGGCAGAAAGAGAGAGAGGAAAGAGGCAGAAAGAGAGAGAGGAAAGAGGCAGAAAGAGAGAGAGGAAAGAGGCAGAAAGAGGAAGAGGCGGAGAGAGAGAGAGAGGAAGAGGCAGAGAGAGAGAGAGGAAGCGGCAGAGAGAGAGAGAGGAAGAGGCAGAGAGGGAGAGAGAGGGAGAGAGAGGAAGAGGCAAAGAGGAAGAGGCAGAGAGAGGAAGAGGCAGAGAGAGAGAGGAAGAGGTAGAGAGAGGAAGAGGTAGAGGAAGAGGCAGAGAGAGAGAGGAAGAGGCAGAGAGAGAGGAAGAGGCAGAGAGAGGAAGAGGCAGAGAGAGAGAGGAAGAGGCAGAGAGAGAGAGAGGGAGTCAGAGAGAGAAAGAGGGAGTCAGAGAGAGAAAGAGAGACAGAAAGTCAGAGAGAAAGAAAGATGTAGTAAAGAAAAAACAGTGTACCCTATTCCTTTAAAAACCAGGGTAAATTAAAAACCCATAATTGGTAATTGAAGGTCTTCTCTGTGACCCTGTAACACTCCAATACCACCTTGTTGTCAGTGTAAACAAGGGCATAGCCCGAAAGCACTGAGGACACTGACAACCCGTACCCTTCCTATCAAAAATCCTTAACCCAATAACCCGTAGATGGCCCAAATACATTCAATCTGTAGCGACAACTGCTTTGCTAACAGAAGAAAGTATGAGGCAATTCTGTTAAAAAAAAAAAAAAAAAAAGATTCAACATTAACCACTAAAAATTCCCTTAACCCAGCAGGTTTCCTAGCAGGGGATCTAAATCTTAATTACTACACAAAGGTCCGACCAGACCTAGGAGGAACTCCCTTCAGGACAGGATGATAGATGTTTCCTCCCAGGTGATTGAGGGAAGAAGACACAATCGGTATTCAGTAAGTGATAAGGAAACTCTTGTAGAAGCAGAGTTAGGAAAATTACCTAATAATTGGTCTGCTCAAATGTGCGAGCTGTTTGCACTCAGCCAAGCCTCAAAATACAGAACCAGGAAGGAACCATCTGTACAAATTCTAAGTTAATTTGGACTAAAAACAAGGTCGTATTAATAATAAAGAATAATTGAAATCCCAAACTTACAAGGTTTTCAGCAAAAGTAAAGTTTGCTAAAAGTTAACATGTATTATCCTAACTTCTAATCTTGTGGCCTTAGACAGTCTAGTCCACAGACATGAAGGAAGTTTGCTTTGGAAAAGAATAGTTATCTTCAGAGAAGAAAAAAGGGGTGGGGGGGGGGTAGAATTTATATAAAAAGGGATGTTATATGGTAAATTCTTGTCCTAAAATAAATTAACTGGTTGTTTAAATAAAAGGGATGTTTGTGACAAGTCAGAAAGTTGAGGCGTGTCAAAGAATTGTCTGTGAAAGTCAGGAAAAAAAATTATAAAAGGGAATTTATGCAAGAAATGTTGTATAATTTAAAAGTAATTAGGCCTCCTGAATGTAAAACTATTGAAGAAACAGTTTATGTGCAAGGTGTGTAAGGAAAGTAAAATATACTTTTGGTAAAAGGATTATAAGGATGCATAAGAATGTGGATTTTTACCTACATTAAAAGGTTAAAAAGTATATATTTTGTTTTAAAGGTTTAAGCAAGTTTTAAAACATTAATTGTAAAGGAAATTCTGTGTGTAAACATATTGGCTAAAGTTAAGGGGGTGTCATCCAGTTTTTCTGTGAACTGGACATTAAAAGCACAACAGGTTTTTCTTAAAGCACTAACCTGCTCTGTAACAAAAATTATAAAAGGTTAAAAAAAGTCTATAAAAATCTTACCTTCTGGTCAGACATTAAAAATTGGATAAATATGTCTACAAGGTTGTATTAAAATTAAGTTTAACATTAATAACACACTAATATAAAGGTGAAATTTAGCTTATCTGGTATAAAAATCATACAGGAAGCATTGTCAAATATAAAATGGCATTTGGCTTTCTTTGGTCTAAAAACTAATAAAAATAGGTGCTAAAGGAAATTTCTCAGTAAGAAGGCACCAAGGACTATAAAGTCCACTGCTGATGTCTCCACATTTAAAACAAAAGGTCAATTTCTTAGAAATTATATACTTGGTTTATCCTTCACTTTCCTTTCCCTCAAAACTAAGTCTTTTAGCACAGGTACCACCCCAAGATTTTTTGGTAAACCAGCACCAGCCTGAGGATCATGTTCTCATCAAAGGGTGGAAAGAAGGAAAACTCAAACCAGCATAGGAATGACTCTAACTTGTGCTGCTAACCACCAAGACTGCTGTTCGTACAGCAGGAAGGGGATGGACTCATCACACCCAAGTCAAGAAAGCACCATCCCCTCTAGAGTCGTGGGCCATAGTCCCAGGGGAAAACCCTACCAAACTAAAGCTAAGAAAAATTTAACTTTAAATTTTCATCTATCCTATTACTCTTTCTTCTTATCTCATTCTATTGCTGACCATCTAGTTATTAACATAACCAAGTCAATTTTGCCTCGAACTATTGCATTTAATGTTTGCCTTGTTATGCCCTGTAGGGATTTGCCAAGTCAAAGATGGCTCCCTACTTCAGAAAAGTACCTCTGTCCCTCCTGACTCTCCTCAGGCTGGACATTAGTGAATTGGGACCATTTAATCCGGGGAGATTTCAATAAAGACCCCAGTGTCAATCAGGAGTCTTGCTCCCTGATGTAGAGCTTTTATGCTGTAGTTGGTCCAACATTCTGTGGACCACTAAAGAGCAAGAATGGACTGCCCCAACCGGTTTTTGTAATTTCCTAAAACCATACATTCATTTTATTAAAGGAACAGCCCTCCCCCGCTAACTGTCAGCTAAACCAGTGTAATTCTATACAGGTCATTATCTGAAATCCTCAAAGTTCTTCCCCTTTTCTAAGCCGGTTCCCTTCTTTAAGCTGGTTTTATGGTATGGGGGCTGAGGTTTCAGGGACAAACCCTATTAGATTCTTTGAAATGCATTTATTTGATCCCCCACCCCCTGCAACTTCCTCTAAGCCTTCTTCCAAAACCTCTCACAATGGAAAAATTGCTCCTCCTCCATCTAACAACAAGACCAAGATAGCTATAGCTATCATAGGAGTTAGACTTAAAACAAACTTTGGCAATTAGGATACCAAGATGCAAATGCCTGGTTGGAATGGATCAAATATTCCCTCCACACATTAAACAAAAGCAATTGTTATGCTTGTGTGCATGGTAGGCCAGAGGCCCAGATTGTCCCCTTACCACTAGGGTGGTCCTCCAGTTGACCAGGCATGGGCTTTATGGTAGCTCTTTTCCAGGATTCTACAGCCTGGAGTAATAAGTCATGCCAAGCTCTCTCTCTGCTATATCCTGAAGTCCGGCACCCTGTGGGTCAGCCCCCGAGGGCATCCAGCTTCCATCTCCCAATACAAAGTTCACTTTGTGTCTCTCATGACAGGGAGGAAACTTAGTATTCCTTGGAGACCTGAAGGGATGCAGTGAGCTTAAGAATTTTCAAGAGCTTATCAATCAGTCAGCCCTTGTTCATCCCCGAGTGGATGTGTGGTGGTATTGTGGTGGATCTTTACTGGACACTCTCCCAAATAACTGGAGTGGCACTTGTGCTTTAGTCCAATTGGCTATCCCTTTCACTCTGGCATTTTATCAACCAGAGGAAGGAAAAATAAAACATCGTAAAGCAAGAGAAGCCTCTTATAGGTCTTTTGACTCTCACATCTATTTAGACACAATTAAAGTCCCACAGGGAATACCAGATCAATTTAAAGCCCAAAATCAAATAGCTGCAGGATTCAAGTCAATATTTTGGTAGGTGACAATTAATAAAAATGTAGATTGGATAAACTACATCTACAACCAACGGTGATCTATTAACTACACTAGAGATGCTGTTAAAGGAATACCTGAACAATTAGGGGCTACTAGCCAGATGGCTTGGGAAAATAGGATAGCCTTAAACATGATATTAGCAGAAAGCGGAGGAGTTTGCCTCATGATTAAAACTCAATGTTGCACCTTCATCCCAAACAACATCACCCTTAATGGAAGTATAACAAAGGCATTGCAAGGTCTAACTTCTCTGTCCAATGAGTTAGCCAACAACTCAGGGGTAAATGATCACTTTTACAGAATGGCTAGAAAAGTGGTTTGGTAAATGGAAAAGAATAATAGCCTCAATTCTTACTTCCCTCACAGCTGTAATGGGTGTACTTATTCTTGTCAGGTGCTATGTCACACCATGCATCTGTGGGTTGGTGCAGAGGCTCATTGAAACAGCACTTAATTAAAATATCCCTTAACTATCCTCTACCTTACCCAGAGAAGCTTCTTCTTTTGGAAAATCAAGCAAAGCAACTAAGGCAAGACATGTTAAAAAAAAGTTTGAAAAGACAGCTGTAAGGAAATACAAGGGGAGGGGTTGTTAGGTATGAGTTCTAAATTTCTTTTCAAATAATTAATATGTCAGTATGTTCAATCCTTTGCCTTCTACTTTTAAATTTAACTTCCTCATAAAGCAACCTTTTTTGATTACCTACTCCACCCTGTCTCATTCTGATTACCTACTCCACCCTAACTCATTCGGATCAGCTGCTCCACCCTAACTCATTCCGATCAGCTGCTCCACCCTAACTCATTCTGATTACCTGCTACCTGCTCTGCCCTGACTTCTGCCAAAGCACTCACCCCATCATTCTCTTTAAATTAGCCAATTGGAATTAGTTTAGCCCATGCGGTCTAACCCTAGCCAATAGGGGAATGACACAGCAGGAAGGGCCACATGTGTCAGGGATAAGAACCCTTCCCCTCCCTTGTTCAAGTGTGCGCTCACCATTGCTCCATCTGTAAGGGCACACCCTTCTATAGAAGTACCTGGTCTTGCTGAGAATTCAAAAGAAAATTTTATATTTGAGTGCTGTTTCTTCTGCAGCACTGAAACTTTATATATAACACCGCCCTGGGCACGTGTCATCAGGACCTCCTGAGGCTGTGTCACAGGTGCATCCTCAACCTTTTCAAAATAAACTTTCTAAATTAACTGAGACCTGTCTCAGATTTTTGGGGTTCACATCTTGGTAACCACAAAGGGATTCTGACTGGAGGTGCTGCTGACCTTTGACAAATCAATGCTTGGTACCAGCATGAGCTATCTTAATGGTTCAAATGGATAGGACAATTTGCTGAGGCCTGGAAACACCCCCTCCAGAGAATCTCTGATCTCCCCAAATTTGTTCGAGATCTAAAGTTTATTTTGCTATACAACTCTTTTTGTTGTTGTTGTTGTTGTTGTTTTGGAGTTTTACTTGCTTTCAGCACAAGGAAGGCAAGTTTTTTTCTGCTTCCATGATGATGGAGATAGGTAACTCCTTTATGGAGTTTGAGCTCACTTCCAACAGGGAAGATGAATTTTTTTTTCCTGCTGTTAGGATGGTAGAGAGCAGCCTTCAGCCTGAGACCCATCTTTAGGTAAGTAACTGTAAGTAACTTGGCTAAAGTTAAGATTAACAACCAGCTGGTCTTAATTTCACCTTACCATTAGAGTGCTCAGTAATCATATAAGTTGTGTGATCATTTGTTTTGCCTAACTGTTTTTTGTTGTTTGTTTCTGTTTTTGTTGTTTTGGTCTTTTTCTCATTGGGTTTGATCAACTCCATCTGAACTTGATCAAATCCGAAGGGAAGTTCCAAATTATGGGGAACAAGGCCTCTGTAGTGGCTAAATTCCCACACAAAAAAAGCTGGTGTGGTGAGGGGAGAAAAATGGCCCGAAAAAGAAAAAAAAAGAGAGAGGCAAGATTTTTTATTTTGACTACTAAAAGGGCCTTATTTACATAACAAGCCTACCTTTTTGCTAGCCAGGCCAAACTGAAAGAGCAATGGCTGTACTTCTGAAATAGCAGCAATTTGTCCTAGTTGAAATATGGTAACGAGATTTAAAAAGACTTTTTTTAAAAGGAGCTCAATAGTTAAAGTCAGCTTAATTAGAAGCTAACATCCAAGATGTGTGTGTGTGTGTGTGTGTGTGTGTGTGTGTGTGTGTATTTAAAAGGCCTTCGTGGTTTTTTCCCTCTCCTAGAACCTCGTCCTTTTTCTTTTTATTTGAGCAAAAGCTTTTTTTTCTTCTCAGTTGGCTAAATTCTTTTTTCTTCATTTACTTCTGCTGCCTCTCCTTTCTCTTGCACCCTCTGCTGCATAAGAGACCTAAAATAGTTTATGATAGCCTGGAGTTCCTTAAAGAAAATGAAGGTGCCAGACTCCTTTTGGGGGAGAAACCTGTTTTTCCTTATGGAACTCCAAGAGTGTAAACAGACAAGTTTGTCTCAACCCTTAAACTGCTTGCTTTTGTATTATGTTACCTGATTTGCTGACTTAAGTAGTTATTGCAACAGAGTTTACTCTTGGGTTTTTAAAGAAGAATGTAGTTTAGACATTTAGAAATGTCTTTGTTTAAAAAAAATTTTTTTAAGTACACTGTAAAAAGATCATGTGGTCTAGCCTCATAATAATTCTCCCTTTTTGGAAACCCAGGATTCAGTGTAGGCTCAGCCCAGAGCTCAGAGATGCAGTTAAAAGATAAGTAGTCCCTATTTAAATAAAATTGGTCTCCTTATACAATCTATGATAGGTTTTTATAATTTTATGTTTGATTTGACATAGCCATTTTTTTTTTTTTTTTGAGACAGAGTCTCACTCTGTTGCCAGGCTGGAGTGCAGTGGTACGATCTTGGCTCACTACTATCTCTGCTTCCTGGGTTCAAGTGATTCTCCTGCCTCAGCCTCCCAAGTAGCTGGGACTATAGGTGCGTGCCACCATGCCCAGCTAATTTTTGTATTTTTAGTAGAGACGGGGTTTCACCATGTTGGCCAGGATGGTCTTGATCTCTTGACCTCGTGATCCTCCCACCTCAGCCTCCCAAAGTGCTAGGATTACAGGTATGAGCCACCATGCCTGGCCTTGACATCCATCTTTAATCTTCCATTAGCATACCAGACTTTTCCTCTCCTTACCTTCTGATGTAAATTTTTCTATTTGATTTTCACCTTTATTTCCTTTAGTATGCAAATTTAAGGCTATGTAGCTGACAACTGCCTAGGATTGTGAAACAGGTTATCAAGAATCTGAGAAAGACAGGAAAAACAAAAGGTTTTTATGAATCTATAAGATGTACTTCTATCGGCATGCCTAATACGTCTATGTATTTATGTGTCGTGTACACAATGTTTCACTACTGAAAATATACAAAAGAGCTCTAATCGGCTTAAGAAAATAAAAGCAGTTAAATAAAATACTTTATCAAGAAAAAAGAAAAGACTAGTCAAATGCTTTAAGTTACATAACTTCAGTAAAATCTTAAATAAGCTAGCTTTAAAATTATTCATAAAGTAATATTAGAAATGTCTATCATGTTGTCTAAGGGAAATTATAATGGTTTTTCTAGAGATTGAGTTTGATATAAAAAACACACATACACTAAATAACTGAATAGAACAGTAAAATTTTCTTAAGGGATTGATTTAATAAATTATATGATATTCTAATTTTTTTAAAACCCAAAGTTCAACTTTTATCACATCTCACCTTTTTTTTAAAAAAATTATACTTTAACTTCTGGGGTACACGTGCAGAATGTGGAGGTTTGTTACATAGGTATATATGTGCCATGGTGGTTTGCTGTACCCATCAACCCGTCATCTACATTAGGTATTTCTCCTAATGCTATCCCTTCCCTATCTCCCCCACCCCGCCTCCCCCCCACCCACCATCAGGCCCTGGTGTGTGATGTTGCCCTCCCTGTGTCCATGTGTTCTCATTGTTCAACTCTCACTTATGAATGAGAACATGAGGTGTTTGGTTTTCTGTTTTTGTGTTAGCTGAGAATGATGGTTTCCAGCTTCATGCATGTCCCTGCAAAGAACGTGAATTCATCCTTTTTTTATGGCTGCATAGTATTCCATGGTGTATATGTGCCGTATTTTCTTTTCCAGTCTATTAGTGGTGGGCATTTGGGTTGGTTTCAAGCCTTTGTTATTGTGAACAGTGCTGTAGTAAACATACATATGCATGTGCCTTTATTTTTTATTTATTATATTTCAAGTTCTGGGGTACATGTGCAGAATGTGCAGTTTCATTACATAGTTATACACATGCCATAGTGGTTTGCTGCACCCATCAACCTGTCACCCCCAAACAAGCCCCAGTGTATGATGTTCCCCTCTCTGTGTCCATGTGTTCTCATTGTTCAACTCCCACTTATGAGTGAGAGCACGCGGTGTTTGGTTTTCTGTTCTTGTGTTAGTTTGCTGAGAATGATGGTTTCCAGCTTCATCCATGTCCCTGCCAAGGACGTGGACTCATCCTTTTTTATGACTGCATAGTATTCCATGGTGTATGTGAGCCACATTTTCTTTATCCAGTCTATCAGTGATGGACGTTGGAGTTGGTTCCAAGTCTTTGCTATTGTGAATAGTGCCACAATAAACACACGTGTGCATGTGTCTTTATAGTAGAATGATTTATAATCCTTTGGTTGTATACCCAGTAATGGGATTGCTGGGTCAAATGACATTTCTAGTTCTAGATCCTTGAGGAATTGCCACACTGTCTTCCGCAATGGTTGAACTAATTTGCACTCCCACCAACAGTGTAAAAGCATTCTTATTTCTCCACATCCTCTCCAGCATCTGTTGCTTCCTGACTTTTTAATGATCGCCATTCTAACTGGTGCGAGACAGTATCTCCTTTTGGTTTTGATTTGCAGTTCCCTAATGACCAGTGATGATGAGCATTTTTTCATATGTTTGCTGGCTGCATAAATGTCTTCTTTTGAAAAGTGTCTGTTCATATCCTTCACCCACTGATGGGGTTGTTTTGCTTTTTTCTTGTAAATTTAAGTTCTTTGTAGGTTCTGGATATCAGCCCTTTGTCAGATGGACAGATTGCAAAAATTTTCTCCCATTCTGTAAGTTGCCTGTTCACTCTGATGATAGTTTCTTTTGCTGTGCAGAAGCTCTTTAGTTTAATTAGATCCCATTTGTCTATTTTGGCTTTCGTTGCCATTGCTTTTGGTGTTTTAGTCATGAAGTCTTTGTCCATGCCCATGTCCTGAATGGTATTGCCTAGGTTTTCTTCTAGGGTTTTTATGGTTTTAGTCTTACATTTAAGTCTTAATCCATCTTGAGTTAATTTTTGCATAAGGTGTAAGGAAGGGATCCAGTTTCAGCTTTCTGCATATGGCTAGCCAGTTTTCCCAACACCGTTTATTAAATAAGGGATCCTTTCCCCATTTCTTGTTTTTGTCAGGTTTGTCAAAGATCAGATGGTTGTAGATGTGTGGTGTTATTTCTGAGGCCTCTGTTCTGTTCCATTGGTCTATATATCTGTTCTGGTACCAGTACCATGCTGTTTTGCTTACTGTAGCCTTGTAGTATAGTTTGAAGTCAGGTAGCATGATGCTTCCAGCTTTGTTCTTTTTGCTTAGGACTGTCTTGGCTATGTGGGCTGTTTTTTGGTTCCATATGAACTTTAAAGTAGTTTTTTCCAATTCTGTGAAGAAAGTCAATGGTAGCTTGATGGGGATAGCATTGAATCTATAAATTACTTTGGGCAGTATGGCCATTTTCACGATATTGATTCTTTCTATCTATGAGCATGGAATGTTTTTCCATTTGTTTGTGTCCTCTTATTTTGTTGAGCAGTGGTTTGTAGTTCTCCTTGAAGAGGTCCTTCACACCTGTTGTAATTTTGATTCCTACGTATTTTATTTTCTTTGTAGCAATAGTGAATGCAAGTTCACTCATGATTTGGCTCTCTGTTATTGATGTATAGAAATGCTTGTGATTTTTGCACATTGACTTTGTATCCTGAGACTTTGCTGAAGTTGCTTATCAGGTTAAGGAGATTTGGGGCTGATATAGTTGGGTTTTCTAAATATACAATCATGTCATCTGCAAACAGAGACAATTTGACTCCCTCTTTTTCTAATTGAATACACTTTATTTCTTTCTCTTGCCTGATTGCCCTGGCCAGAACTTCCAATACTATGTTGAAATGGTGTGTGCCAGTTTTGTCTTGCACCAGTTTTCAAAGGGAATGCTTCCAGTTTTTGACCATTCAGTATGATATTGGCTGTAGGTTTGTCATAAATAGCTCTTATTATTTTGAGATACCTTCCATCAACACCTAGTTTATTGAGAGTTTTTAGCATAAAGTGCTGTTGAATTTTGTTGCATGCCATTTTTATCTCTATTGAGATAATCATGTGGGTTTTGTCATTGGTTCTGTTTATGTGATGGATTCTGTTTAATGATTTGCGTATGTTGAACCAGGCTTGCATCCCAGGGATAAAGCTGACTTGATCATGGTAGATAAGCTTTCTGATGTGCTGCTTCATTCGCTTTGCCAGTACTTTATTGAGGATTTTTGCATCGATGTTCATCAGGGATATTGGCCTAAAATTTTCTTTTTTTGTTTTGTCTCTGCCAGGTTTTTGTATCAGGATGATGCTCATAAAATGAGTTAGGGAGGATTCTATTTTCTATTGTTTGGAATAGTTTCAGAAGGAATGGTACCAGTTCCTCTTTGTACGTCTGGTAGTATTTGACTGTGAATCTGTGTTGTCCTGGACTTTTTTTGGTTTCACCATTTTTGTTTTTTTCTCCCCCTTTAAAAGGTATGAAATAATAAAGCTCTCTTTCAACTCATGTTCAGCTCAGTTAAGTTATTTTTCCCCACAGTTCTGTTTGTTGTGGCCTGGTGCTAACAATATTTTCTTAAAGGTCTAAAGGAAATGTTTTCTTCCAACATAATATCCTGTACACTGCAGAAGGTCTTTTCTTTTGCCTTTTGGTAACTGGCCTCACAGATTTTACGTCTTATTGAAATAATTCCTATGCCATTATTATTAAGTTTTACTTTGCTTAGGAAAAAAACCTGATAATTGTTTTTTTTTAAAATTAAGGTTATTACATCCGTGTATCTTTCTGTATGTGCTTTTAAAGTACTTGTAACACTAAGTTACAGGGATTTGACTCCTGGGTCTAAAATGGACACAAAGCCCTGCTAAGTCTTAAACACTGACAGCAGTTAAATCCTCATCTTCAGGCCCCATAGAGGATGCCAATCAAAATAAACTGCATTCCTGAGACAGAGGGCCAGAAATTAACACCATTCAACTCCTCAAGGTCCAGGGACTATTGAGGAAGAGGTGGGTGTGTGAGATTGTAAGGGCCCATTTTAAGACATAAAATAAGTACAGTTTCTCTATAAATTAACCATTAATATCAATGGCACACTGATGCAAGACCAGCATATGAGCCCCTGTGTCAGATTAATATGGTTTGTTTTTTAAGCATTAACCAAAACATTAATAAAGATTATAAAAGGCTTATGGAAGTTATAGCTTATGATCAAGATTAAAATTTTATATATTTATAAAAATTTGAAAAACAAATTTAATTGACTTCATGTTGTTTTTATTAGGGTTTATTGTTTGGAAAATTGTTTCCTCTCTCAAAATAAAAGTTTTGCACCTTTTTTTTTTTAAAATCCTTCAGTTATCACTTTGGTTAAATGAATGACTTATTTTACAATGACCTGTGATCCTATTTTGTAATATCAAGTGTTTTAAAGTTTTGATATTTGACAAACTTTCCAAAATCAAATTATAAATTATGTCTTTTTCTGACCTAATTAATCCTTTAAGATATTCCCGGTTCCTTAAAGTCCAAAAATGACATATTTGGCTTATTTGGTATAAAAATTATATAGGAAGCATTGTCAAACATGAAATGGTGTTTGGTTTTCTTTGGGCTGTATTTGTATAAAGATGTTATTGGCATGTGTTCAAAAATTATGGGAAACTCCTATAATTCTTTTTTTTTTTTTTTTTTTGAGATGGAGTCTCACCCTGTCACCCAGGTGGAAAACTCCTATAATTCTAATATGAATTAGTGTATGTTATCAGTAATAATTATAATTTTTATGGTAAATTATTGTGTGCCATAAGGTAACAAATTTCCTTGTCAATTGTATCTTTATGGCTGCCCTAAAACTTTTTGTCATCCATGAATGATTGTTGTCTTATTTTGGTCCTCTTTAAAAGGTGGTTTTATAATCAGCTATAAACTCTAACAGGTGCCCTTGAATGCAGGTTTCTGATTACTTTGGAGATTGTAACATTTGAACAGAGGAAAAACTTTCAGGACTCATGAAGAGCTGAAATGTTTATGACTATCAAGCAGAACAGGAATTAACCGCAGGGACTAAACTAATAGAAGTTTAAAGTAATCTTTTTAACTTTTTGTTTAAAACGTTGCTGATCCTTTGTTTTTCAGAGTCAAGAAAACTTTTAAGCTATTTACAGCTTTTAACAGTTAAGTGTACTCCTATGAACAAAAGTTGGAGCATATGTGTTTCTGTCTACCTGATTTCTACAGAATTTGGAAACTATTTGTGAGTATTCTTATGACAATACAATTATTTGCATAAGTGCAATAAGAATCTTTCTTCATTTTTAACAGGACACAATTGGAGAAACTGGTTATTTTACCAAGGCTTTGACTAAAATGGTGTGCTTTCATTTAAGGAATCAAACTTGACTTATGGAGCCAATAAAAGCCCCTTGGAAAAATTGGCCTCGTACCTTTTTCTACACAGTCCCTTTACAGGGTTCCTGACCTGTGGTAGGTAAAGAATGTCACTTTCTGACAGACCCAAGAGCCCCAAGTTTATCTTGGAACATTGAGAGGAGAGGAATTCACAACTCATAGGTATTTGATGGTACAAATCCATGGCTGGGCTTGGCTTTAAAAAAGTCATATCTGAGATTCCTTCTATGGACTAAAGTTCCATCAAAGCCAATTTAAATGCCTATGTAAAATAAAATTATTCTTGATACATTGTATACAAATAATCAGGTGAAGTGTAATAAAGCAAATCAGTCTTACCATGATTTGTCTTTAATAAAAATGGGAAACTGGATAAAGAAAAATTATGTTTAAAAAACTATAGTACACCCGTTGTTAGATTCTAGTCTTGCCTATTGTTTTTCAATTTTTATTATTTTCTACAGTTTGGACTGAATTCTAATTCTATTTTTTCTTTTTTCTTTTTGAGACAGAGTCTCCCTCTGTTCCCCAGGCTGGAGTGTAGTCACATGATCTTGGCTCACAGCAACCTCTACCCCCTGGGTTCAAGCAATTCTCCTGCCTCAGCCTCCTAAGTAGCTGGGATTACAGGCACCTGCCAGCATGCCTAGCTAGTTTTTTGTATGTTTAGTAGATACGGGGTTTTGCCATGTTGGCCAAGCTGGTCTCAGACTCCTGACCTCAGGTGATCCACCTGCCTCGGCCTCCCAAAGTGCTGGGATTACAGACATGAGCCACCGTGACTGGCCTGAATTCTAATTTTTCTTGGCTACATGCCTGCAAAATAATGTTTTCAATTTTTTTTCCTTCTTTTTTCTCCATTTTTCCTAATTTGGAGTCACTGAAAACTAAGCTATACTTTTTTTTAAAGCCCTGCGAACTGAAGCTAAATAACTTAAACTTTAGAGGAAAATAATAGCAACCTATTTACGTACATAAGCCACTTTCATACCTGCCTACTAATATATGGACTTCAGAGCAATATGGCCTATATTGATTTTCCAGGATCGTTCTTTTGTTTGTTGTTGTTTTTCCTCCTTCCTTCCCTTATTTTCTCTTCATAGGACATAAGACTTTACAACCTTCTAAAAATGAGCTTTCCTAATAACTTGGGACCTACCAGTCTAGGAATAAACCATCCTAGCCATAAGAGATCAGACAAAACCTGAGACCAGAGACTCATTTCTTTTAATATGCTTTCTCCAAAAAATTTTTAAAAAGTGGGGAAATGTGAAAAGAAAATGTCTTGGGTCCCTAAAATCACTAAGCTAAAGGGAAAAGTCAAGCTGGGAACTGCTTAGGGCAAATCTGCCTCCCATTCTATTCAAAGTCACCCCTCTGCTCACTGAGATAAATGCATATCTGATTGCCTCCTTTGGAGAGACTAATCAGAATGCAACCATTTGTCTCTTATGTATCTGTGACCTGGAAGCACCCCCTACTTCTAACCCCCCTGCTTCGAGTTGTCCCACCTTTCCAGACTGAACCAATGTTCATCTCACATATGCTGATTAATGTCTCATGTCTTCTTAAAACGTATAAAACCAAACTGCTCTAACCACCTTGGGGACTGCTCTAACCACCTTGGGCACATGTTATCAGGACCTCCTGAGGCTGTGTCATGGGCGTGCATCCTCAACTTTGGCAAAATAAACTTTCCAAATCAACTGATACCTGTCTCAGATTTTTGAGGTTCACAAAAGCATGGTGAATGTGGAAAAAAAAAAAGCCAAAAATATCCCCATCCCAAAAGAACCATGAAGGTGGGCCGAGTGCAGTGGCTCGTGCCTGTAATCCCAGCCCTTTGGGAGGCTGAGGCAGGAGGATCACTTAAGGCTAAGAGTTGGAAACCAGCCTGGGCAACATGGCAAAACCCTGTCTCTACAAAAAATACAAAAAAAAATTAGCTGGGCATGGTGGTGGGTGCCTGTAGTCCCAGCTATTTGGGAGGCTGAGGTGGCAGGATCACCTAAGCCTGGGGAGAATGAGGCTACAGTGGGCCGTGATCACACCACTGCACTCCAGCCTGGGTGACAGAGTAAGATGCTATATCTAGAAAAAGAAAAGAAAGGTTCCCTCACAGAAAATGGGAGTTCACTAACCAGAAAAGGAGGGACCAGCAGGTGAAAACCATGGGTGTTCACTATTTCATTCTCCTCAACTGTAGAGATTAGCTACATGGAGAAATAATTCTTTAGTTACACACCAGGGGAGTGGCTTTAATATTATCTAATTATTGCCAGAAAGACTCAAGGCAAATTATTTTGAAATAAAGTTGTTATTTTTGGCAGATTTTCTCTAATATTTAATTAGCATATAGCTAACAAGTAGCAGTCCTCTGGTGTTTTAAACCAGACTGACCTAGGTACAAATCCTGGTTTGGCCCTATTAGCTGTGTGGTCTTAGGTAGGTGACTCAACCTTCTGAAGTGTCGGTTTCAAGAATAATATCACTTTCTTATAGCAACTTATAGAGTTGCTATAAGGATTAGAGATAATTTATATGAATCACTTAACACAGTACTCAGCATATAATAGGCTTTCAAACAACAAGATGTAGCACATTAAGTTACCTTGGAGTAAATTTTTCAACTAGTTGATCCAGGTTTTTCATCAGAAATTGACATTGTACAACGGACATGACTCAGTCTATGAAGTATAGAAATATGGCAGGGTGTGGTGGTTCATGCCTGTAATCCTAGCACTTTGGGAAGCCAAGGCGGGTGGATCACCTGATATCATGAGTTCGAGACCAGCCTGCCCAACATGGTGTAACCCCATCTCTACTAAAAAATTACAAAAATTAGCAAGGCGTGGTGATGTGTGCCTGTAATCCCAGCTACTTGGGAGGCTGAGGCCGGAGAATCACTTGAACCCAAGAGGCGGAGGTTGCAGTGAGCCGAGATGACACCACTGCACTCCAGCCTGGGTGACAGAAGAAGACTCCATCTCAAAAAAAAAAAAAAAAAGTATAGAAATGTAGTTTTTTATACAATAATTTCTATTCTGAGGGCCTATTCTCTTATGTTGGAAAAAACTAGTTTCAATAGTTTTGGAAACCTCTCACCTACCATAATTTTCTGGAGGGGATCTAATTTCTGGGGGGTTTGAATAGTGCTTAATCATTTGCTGCTTAAGCTGTCTGTTCACCAGGCCTTCACTGTCTTATCTGGACCTCCATCATTAATACCCACAGGTTATTGCTGAGATGTGTCTTACACATGGGCACTCGGCCCCTTCAAATCCAGTGGCTCTTTCCAATACTCTCAGGTCAAGCTTGCAGGGGGTGTGGCTAAGAGAGGGTGTCATGGGAGTCTTTCTGCTGCATCTAGGCCACACTCTTGCCATGAATCTCCTGTCTGTTTCTAACCTGGTCTGCCTAGGTGCATCACGCAGCTGTTTCTGACCTGGAGTTCAAGTGGAGCTCACGGCATCTTTGCTTTTAGGTCTCAAACCTATTGTGTCTTACTACCTTTCTAATATTAGCATTCAGAGCACTAAAAAATAATCTTTAAAAGTTCTATTTAATTTTTAGTTGTTTAATTCCACTTCAGACATTCAAGAAACAGTTCTATTTGGGAATTCTTCATATCCCCTGAAGATTAATGAAAAACAGAATCATGTACAGTTTTGTACAGTTATGCATCATAAGTCATCTTCCATCCAGATATTAAAAAACAAAGACTATGAAAAATAGCATGTTAAAACTGAAATGCCTAAAATTAGCCTTGCTCTTCATCACCTTCAGTAAGAAATGATTGTTGAGTAGAGCAAATGTGTTGTATAGTGACTGCAGGAGCAAGCTTCCAACTGACAGATTATTGTTCCTCTCTATAATGTAAAACTCTAAAATTTTGATTACCACAACTTATTTGAACATGAAAAATTAATAATTACATTTGAAAAAATTCAAATTTATTCTTGTATTTCAAAAGTTCAGATTTATGATGGTGTTACTGGTGGTGAATCTGTATGGGTCTGCAGCCGCCTTAATTCTTGCCTCAGAAGAAAGAATCTGAGGGGCATTAGGCAGAAGAAGAGACCGAGGCAAGTTTTAGAGCAGGAGTGTAAGTTTATTAAAAAGCTTTTGGGCAGGAATGAAAGGAAGTAATGTACACTTGGAAAGGGCCAAGTGGGTGACTTTGAGAGATCAAGTCCAGTTTGACTTTTGACTTAGGGTTTCTTTTTTTTTTTTTTTTGAGACGGAGTCTTGCTCTGTCACCCATGCTGGAGGGCAGTGGTGCGATCTCGGCTCACTGTAACCTCCGCCTCCCGGGTTTACGTGATTCTCCTGCCTCATCCTCCCAAGGAGCTGGGACTACAGGCGCATACCACCACGCCTGGCTAATTTTTTTTTTTTTTTTGGTATTTTTTAGTAGAGACGGGGTTTCACTGTGTTAGCCAGGATGGTCTTGGTCTCCTGACTTCATGATCCGCCCGCCTTGGCCTCCCAAAATGCTGGGATTACAGGCATGAGCCACCGTGCCCGGCCTTAGGGTTTTATATGGTGGCATACTTCTAGGGTCTTGCGTCCCTTCTCCCCTGATTCTTCTCTTGGGATGGGCTATCCACATGTGCAGTGGCCTGCTAGCACTTGGGAGAGGAGCACGTGCAGTGTGTTTACTGCAGTTCTATGCATGACACTTGAGGCATTCTTCTCTTACCAATTGAATGTACCCAAGAAGGTCATATACCAGTTAAACTCCACCATTTTGACTCTTAATGTGTATCCTTGAGCCCACTCACCTGTAAGAAGTACTTTTTAAGTGGTCCATTTTTCAGAAAACAGGCCCCGGCAAATCCAGGCAGCTCCCTTGCAGATGTGACAAGCCGCATGCTACAGACATCTGGGAAGAGTGATAAGACTCACAGAAGTCAGAGGGGAGGGAGAAAAAAAAATAGGGGGTGGGGTGGCTAATCCATAAAAGGAAAGAAAGTTTTGTCATTGGGAAATCAAAACTTAAAGTGGGGAAGGAGACAAGATGTAACCTTATAAGGGGATAATGAAACTTAGGCAACGTTGGGGAAGACTGTAACCCCATAGTACTCAGCCTATGAGGAACCAGGGTAGGGACTTGCACACTAGGTGATAAATTCCTTGTTGAAACTGCACTGGGTGTTCCTGCTCACCAGACACCCGATCTTGCAAGACCGTTATTAAAAAGTGTCTCTTTTGCTGTTCTTCATGCCTCTAAGTCCATTCTTTGGGTTTGGACAGGTGAGTGTGTTTCTCACATCACCTAACTCCTGAGCTCTTATGGGGAAGCTGCTGATAACCAGTTTCAGATGTTTTCTATCTATTCGGAGAGTGCCTTTTCCTGGCATTGGCTGCAACCAATTATTATTTTAGAGAGACAGTTAACAACTGCCTATCACCTGATGGTCGCCTGACATTCCTGGTGGGGGATAGGGGAGCCTGCTCTGCTCATGCCTGACTACCTACTGTAACAATGGTGAAATTTTGCTTGGGCCTTAGGTCAAATATTCATTTCAGAACTAGGCTATTCGAACTTCAGCACAGATGTTCAGAGCCCCTCTAAAACATTCACTTACTCCTTAGTGGACTCTTGGTAGAAACAGTAAAGAAATGAATATTTTCCTTCACACCTGCCTTCAGCACAAAAACTTCCCTGTTTTCACTGTGTGATTCATGTGAACATTGATATAATTGCTAGGTATGCCTGGCCCTTCCCTGCTGGTTTCTTTCGAACCCCTTGTCCCTCCACCTCCATCGCTTCCCCCCTTTTAAAGTTGTGTTTTGCATCTTGAATTTCTGAATCAAGAGGGATATAGTCTCCAAGTTTCTTCTGCTCCTAAGGTAGTTGGCACTTGTGAGGTCGCCTGAAACACTCCTTGCTGGTGACAATGACCATAAACCATGGGAGAAAGATATCCAATAACTAGAAAATTAAGCAAGGGGTTATTCATACAATCTTTTGTAGTTTTTAGAATGCAACCTCATATTTCCAGAAAATTCTTTCGTTTAAAAGCCAAAGACAGGCCAACAACCAATATGCACAACTTATTTTTAAACTGTAAAACAAATACCTTATTACAGAAAATTTACAAAACAAAGAAAAAACCGACACGCCACCCAGAGACTGAAATTATAGATAATTCCTGGCTGTTTTCCACTCTGGCTTCCTGCGCCTTTGCAACCAAGAATAACCTTCCCGCGCTGCCGGAACCGCGGCGCAGGAGGAGGCGCTGCCTCGCGTGTTGCGCCGTTGCTATGGTAACCGAGGAGGCCGGGGCCCGGGTGTGGTGAGTCTAGGGGTCCTGGCGCTGTGGGCCGGGGTGGGCACTTGGGGAGGAGTGCGATGGGGTAGACGGACATCTTCCCTCCAGGCTGCTCGGGCAGGGCTGGAGGGGAGTGGGCTTCAATCTCAGCGTCCTCACACTGCTTCTGTCCAGAGCTTTGCGCACCGGTCTCCTACCCCGCCGGCAGCCGCAAGGGATCGCAGAAGGTCCCTAGGGAATTCAGGCCGAAGAGCAAACTCTGGTGCCCTGAAGTGTCCGTTGCCCCCTCGCGGGACCTCCTGGATCACCTGGCGGCGCTGCCACTTTCTGTATCCTGTTCCTCAGGCCTTCTCTTTGTTTAACTCTGTGTGCCCAGGGTTGCCCTTGGGGTCCTTCTCCTTGAGCTGGGACTTGATTAAGCGACTACTTTTTTTTTTTTTTTGAAGAAAAAAATCAGTTGGCTTAAAAGGCACATTAGGATCTACTCCTCTATCACAACTTCAGGCTGCGTCGCCTGCCTCCTTGCCCTTTGTTTATGCTCTTCCCGTTACCTGGATTGTCCTTTTTTCCTCCTTTTAAGACTCCTACTCTTCACTATCGAGGTTTCACCTCTTCTGGGAAAACTTTCTGAGACCGCCACCCAGAATTGAATGTAGATGTCCACGGTTTTACTTTCAAAGCACTCTACCTACCTCCATTGAATCCCTGATCTCACTCTGTCATTGCTGATTTACTTGTGTCTTCCCTACCAAAATGTGAGAGCCTATGGGGTAGGTGCTATGACCTATGTGATTTTCTATTGTGGGTGGCTCGAAAGCAATCACATTCTATAGTTAAAAAGAAAAGTTTATAGATTTTTCTACACTTATTTAGTAAGGCAGACCAGGTGCTATCCTCATTTCAGAAAAGTCACATAATTAGTAACAGAATCAAGACTAAAGCAATGCCATTCTGCCTTCATAGTTCCAGCCTTCCCTCTTCCCTCCAATGCTCATATTCTCTGTGAAACTTCAGTTATATGTAGCAAGGTTACAATTTTGATGTATGTTATTACTTTTGTGGGCAAAGAAAATGTAATTTATTTTTGTATATGACTGATCTGGTTCCTTTCATGAGCATTTACTTATTGATTATTAGGAAAGAATCTAAATGTCCGATTGGTTTTAAAGTTTAGCTCAATCTAGAATTGATTTCTTTGGCTAGTGTTTAATTTCTCTTATATACAAATATTTAGGTTATCAGGTATCTTCTTGGATTCTTTCCTTGAGATGGTGCCCTGGCTATGTGGATGGCTCACGGAATCAGTTATGGGGACGGGTCAGGGTCCCTTTGCCTTCCCTTGGCTCTGGGGGGTGATGTTCCTGGTATACCGAGTGCTCCCTGCCCTATGGCTTTCTTGGTTTTAACCTTTGGCTTATATACCTTGTGAACAGGTATCTCCTGGTTTTGTCAGGACTCGGTTGAGCTCCCTGGCTCACTCAATTGCGCTGAGTTCCTGCTGTGACTTCCCTTCAGCCCTGACTGGAGTGGTTTGCACCACAGCCCTCCCTCCCTGCAAAGCCTCCTTGCCCTGCTATAGCAATTGAGTAGGGCAAGCATCCTGCAAGACTTTCCTATTTCTAGGTCTCATGTATATCCTAAGGCAGTGCTCTCAAACTTTGTTGTCTCAGGACTCCATTTTACTCTTAAGAAATGATCCCGAAGAGCTTTCCTTTATGTGAGTTATGTCTTTTAATATAGTATTACATATGTTGTAAGAATTAGAAATTAAACTGAGGATTTAAAAAATGTTTATTAATTCCTTAAAAAATAAATTCACATGTAACATAATTATATATTTCTCATAAAAATATTTTCCAGAACAAAAGAATTAGTTAGAAAGTGGCATTATTTTACATTTCTGCAAATGTCTTTAATTTCTGGCTTAATGGGAGACAGATTCTTATGTCTGCTTCTGCAGTCTATCCGTTGCAATATGTTGTTTTGAAATATGTAAAGAAAATTCCTCCTTACATAGATATATAGTTGGAAAAGGGAAGAGTATTTTAATAGCTTTTTCAGATAATTGTGCACATTTTTGTGACTGCACCAAAACTCTGCAAGTGGTAGTTTCTTTTTCTTTCTTTTTTTTTTTAAGATGGGGTCTCATTCTGTTGTGCCAGGCTGGAGTGCAGTGGGGTGATCTTAGCTCACTGCAACCTCTGCCTCCTGGGTTCCAGTGATTCTCCTGCCTCAGCCTCCTGAGTGGCTGGGACTACAGGCGCCTGCCACTATGCCCGACTAATTTTTTTGTGTGTTTTTAGTAGAGACGGGGTTTCACCATATTGGCCAGGCTGGTCTTGAACTCCTGACCTTGTGATCCGCCCACCTCAGCCTCCCAGTATGCTGTGATTACAGGTGTGAGCCACTGCTCCTGGCCACAAGTGGTAGTTTCTTAAAGGCTGGTTGCAGTGTGGAATCTGAAGCCATGTCAATGAACGTTTCATACTGTGTTACATTAAAATCTATTGATCTGTCTTATACTTTGGATCTTTTACCCATGCTTGATATTGTAACATAATGGAAAATGGCAGGGGGAGTGAAGCTGATTTTGTAAAGAAGAAAAGCAGTCATTCAAATCAAGCAAAATGTTGCTTCATTTAGTTATACCAGTTTTCCAAATGTTAACATGTTTCATGCTGTAATATTTTTAAAAGCCCACTTTCATTAATATCATCTCTGATCTCATCATAAAAGTATTGGGAAGTCGTTGGCCAACACATGGCCAGTATGAGTTTTCTAAAATGCAAATTGCAGCTGGGCACGGTGGCTCACACTTGTAATCTCAGCATTTTGGGAGGCTGAGGTGGGAGGATCACTTGAGGTTGAGACCAGCATGGGCAACATAGCCAGACCCCCTGTCTCTACAGAAAAATTAAAAAATTAGCCTGGTGTGATGGCACACATCTATAGTCACAGCTACTCAGAAGGCTGAGTTGGGAGGATTGCTTGAGCCCAGGAGTTCAGGCTGTAGTGAGTCGTGATGGCATCACTGCACTTCAGCTTGGGTGACAGAGTGAGATCTTGTCTAAAAAAAAAATTTTTTTTAAATGCTATTTGTGTTAGAGTTCTTCAGAGAAACAGAATCAATACAATATATATAGTCCTCTGTATCTGCGGATTAAACCAGCCTTGGATCTAAAATTTTTTGAAAAAACATGGATGGTTGTGTTTGTACTAAACGTATACAGACTTTTTCTCTTGTCATTATTCCCTAAGCAATACAGTATAACAACTATTTACATAGCATTTACATCGTATTAGGTATTATAAGTAATCTAGATTTAACATATATGGGAAGATGTGTGTAGGTTATATGCAAATACTACACCATTTTATATAAGGCACTTGAACATCCATGGATTTTGGTATCTACAGGGGTGGAGGGTTCCTGAATCAATCCCCCCATGAATACTGAGGGACAACTGTATATATGAATAAATATAGAATAATTTATTATAAGGAATTGGTTCATGTGATTATGGAGGCTGAGAAATGTCAAGATCTGCATTCAGCAAGCTGGAGATCCAGGAGAGCCATTTGTGTAGTTCCAATCCAGGTCTGAGGGCCTGAGAAACAGGAAAGCTGATAGTATAAGTTCTAGTCCCAGCCTGAGCCTGAAGGTAGATGCCCAGCTTGAAATTAGGCAGAGTGAATTCTCCCTTACTTAATCTTTTGTTGTATTCAGGCCTAGTTATTTTTCATAAACTATTTTTTCGTTAACAAGTAATGTGTTTAAGATGAATTAATACGTACTTTATTTGTGGTTTTTTTGTTGTTGTTTTTTGGAGACAGGGTCTTGCTCAGTCATCCAGGCTGGAGTGCAGTGGCGTGATCATAGCTCACTGCAACCTCTGCCTCCTGAGCTCAAGCGATTCTCTCACCTCCACCTCCCAAGTAGCTGGGACCACAGGCATGTGCCCCCATGCTCAGCTATTTTTTTTTCTGTATTTTTTGTAGAGATGGGGTTTCGCTGTGTTGCCCAAGCTGGTCTCGAACTCCTGAACTCAAGTGATCCACTCACCTCAGTCCCCCAAACTGCTGGGATTACAGGTGTGAGCCACTGTACCTGGCCTCAGTTTTAATTTCCAATATAAATATTAATTTAGATATAACTCATATAAACAAAAATTCCCTGGGGTTCTCAATTTTTAAGACTGTAAAGAGCCCTGAGATCAAAGAATTTGAGAACCACTGCCCTAATTATGTTGGTTCTGGGCTGATATAGAAATTAAGCTCCATTCAAGGGTATAACAAGAGTAGCTTTGAATATTCTGGACCAAATCATAGTTCAAGATTTGATCTAGTTTGTCTTCATATCTTTGAATTAACCTGGGATCAGACTGATCTCTAAATGTGGAATAATATGTTGGTAATCAAGTGTCTGGTGGTGGTAGGGTAGAAAATTATTTATTCATACCTTGCATAGGAATAAACTATGGCATATTAAAAAAGAAGAAGAGCTGGGTGTGGTGGCATGGGCCTATAGTCCTAGCTACTTGGGAGGTGGAGGCAGGAGGATTGTGAGCCCAGCTACTTAGGATCCAGGGCAGGAGGATAGCTTGAGCCCAGGAGTTCAAGACCAGCCTGTGCAATGTAGCAAGACCTAGTTTTTTGTTGTTGTTGTTGTTGTTTATTTTTTTAAAAAAGAAAATAAGTAGCATTACCATCTTTTCTTTTGCTTCATGGATGATTTTGCTGGAGGTTTGATGATGACCTAATAATGATGATGGTAGCTTCTATTTACTAAATGTTCCCCATGTGCTTGGCATGTACATCACCTAATTTATTTTAATTCTTAGAACAATCATAGACTAGGCTCTAGTGTTATTCCTACAAAAGAGTATGTAAATTGCCCAGTATTATGCAGCTAATAAATTGAGGGATTGGATTGTGAACCCAAGTCTCTCTGACTCCAAAACCCATTGCTCTTGGCTATGAAAAAAAGCACTGGGAATTGCAAGCTTGACTTTAAGAGTTATTGAATATATATGACTTGTTAAGAATTGTGGTAAGTCTGAAAGTAACACAAAGAAATGTAAGGCTTGATTCCTGCACCCAGCAAGTTTACAACCTAATTGGATAGATTACGTACTTGAAACAATTAGGAAATAATATAATATCATATTTGGTAAGTTGTATTGTATAGACTATACATAATGACCTTTGGAGTTCAGAATATTGAAAGGCCAGTGTACACTCAAGAGAGGAATTAGGGAAAGGCTTAGGAAGAAAGTGGGCTTATAGCTTGGCCTAAATAGGATTTGGGTAGTTGGAATGTAGGAGATGTAAAGCTATTCTAGGTCTTATAGCAGGAATACCTGTGAAACAAAAATAGGAATTTCTCAGTATCTTCAAGGTCTCATGGCTGGGACCCTGGTGTTCCAGTGAAAGGCATTCCAAACACATCCTGCCTCTATTCTCTAAGGTTTGAATATGGATATCTTTAGCAGAAATGTTTCAAAAGATTACAACTACTATTAATAGAGTGACAAAATTATTGTCTAATAATAACAGACACTTTTGAGAGTGAAAGTAGATGCTATTAAAAATTATACCAGGAAAACAGCTATAACGGGAAATGTCCTGCATACATTGGGACATATGTCACCCAAGCTATTAACCATAAACACAAGCTGTTTAACTTCTGTTAGAGTCCTTCTTGTTGATTTCCTGGTATAGTCTCCATAGTGCTTATTCAAGACTCATGTTTTTACACACTGTGGGTTGTATCCCATTTAGTGGGTCATACAGTCAGTTTAGTAGGTGGCACCCAGCTTTAAAAAAATAGAATGCGACAAAAAACAGTGATATGTTACCTGTAGTAAAGAGAAACATTGCTTTGTTTTAAAAAGAAATATATATGTACAAATATAGCCATATATGCCATGTATCCAGGATAAAATTGTCCATTGTTACTGAACAATAAATTATGTGGATACTCTATTGATAGTAGTTACATATATTTACATATAAAATTAAAATGTCATAAACTAATTTACGTATAACAGAAATAATTTATACAAGATATAAAATAATATATACGTATTTGAAGAGAACAACCACCTCATGGTCTAAATTATCCTTTCAGGCTCCAGCTATTATGCTTGAAATCCAGTGGGAAGGAATTAAGCATTCCTGGAATTTGCAGTCTATATATCTGATTACATCTTATCGCTTACTATTTGGACATGTGGCCACACCAATATTACAAGAGAGATTGGAAAATAGTCTTATTCCACCATAAAGATCAGTTTAGAAAAAAGCCTTGTTAAAAGAAAAGAGGGTGGGGTTCTATTCCAAAAGAAGAGAGGGTGGGGTTCTATTCCAAAAGAAAAGGAGATGAGATTTTGGGGAAGACAACTAGTAATTACTGGGAGGCTGAAAATGAGGAAACCAAGGGAACTGTGGAGGATCAGACCACAAGAACCACAGTATGTTCTCATAGCAGGCAGTTTGATCAGCATACTATTTCTGTCACTTGCGATGAGTGCCCTTCAACTAGCCTCATTTCCTTGTGTCCCTTGTTCAAGATTCAAGATCGCAGGATAGATCCCCTGATGGGCTGAGCTTAAATAATGTGCCTGCCCCCAGGCTTGTGCTGAGAGAGAGAAAAGAAGAATCCTGCTTCTTAGTCTTCCGGTGTGGGAAGTTAGCTATATCTTTTATTAGAATTCTCTGAAACTGAGATAGGAGTGCTTTAAAGAAGGTGTGTGTGTGTGTGTGTGTGTGTGTGTGTGTGTGTGTTGGAAGGGTGGGGAGTTGGATGTCAGACACTGAAGAATTATAAGTTTCCACTGTAATTCTTCTGTAAAATGAAAGAGTTGAACTAAACCATCTCAAATACAAGACATGCACCAAATCTTATGGTTGAGTCATTGTTGATTGGGTAACTCAACTCCCATTTCCAATCCCTGTCTACCTTGCTTGCCTCTATCACAGAGGCTGGAAAATCAAGAAACTTGCTTTTTTTCCTCCCTCTCCTCTTAAAGATGGGGTAGCCACACCGCATTGTACAGTCTGGCCTTTGAGATATAACTGGAAGTTTGTTGGGACTTGTTAGAAAAGATTTTTGTTTTGCTTTCCCCTTAAGAGGGATTGGAAGGATTGATATCACTGGTATCCTCTAGGTGATTTCCCCATTCTTCCTGCCATCAATTAAGATGAGATTTCAGGAGTTATAACATGAGGCAAGAGTTGTGAAGATGAAAGTCTTACACACTAAGTATGATGGAGTGATAGAAAGAGGTTGGATCTATATTTTTGAGCTGCTGAACCATCTCCATCTTTAAATTTCTCATTATGTGTGAAAAGAATCTCCTACTTTTAAATAGTCAGTCTTACTTGGCTTTTGTATTATTTACAGCCAAAGAATTCCTAACAGCTTACAAGCATTATACACATTTACAGAAGGAAGGGATTAATGTAGGGTAGTAATAGAGAAGTTTCTAATATTCTACCAATTTAAAATGCATATCACAATGATCTTTCGACTATTATCCTATTTATTTTCTTTACTTCACCATAGCAGTAAATGACAATTTTCTTTTCTTTCAGCACTCTTTAGGACTGTTATTTCTTAAGAACAGGGTCAGAAAACTATGGCCTGTGGACCACCACCTGTTTTGTAAATAAGGTTTTCTTCAAACACAGCCACACCCATTCATTTGTGTATTGTCTGTAACTACTTTCAAGCAACAACTGCAGAGTTGAGTCGTTAGAATAGAGACAGAGGGTCCACAAGCCTAAAATATCTGCTCCCTGGCCTTTTACCCCTGCTTTGGAATGCTGTTCCATTTTCCTGTGGCCTTCATAGTCTTTGTCATTCTCTGCAGTCCTACTTCAGTATCACCTTGAATGTTCTTTTTCAAGTTTTTTCTCTTCACTTCCCTGTTATTTCCTAGTGTTTCACCATGTTTATTTCCTTGGAAACACTTATAACAATCTAAAATTATCACTTTTTTTATTTTTTATTGCCTGTTTCCAATCAGAATATATGCTTCATGATAGGAGGGATCTTTCCTACCTTGTTGAATCCTCAGGATCTAGCATAGTGCCTGGCATAGAGGAAGGAATCCAGTAAACACTGAATTATATGAGTGAATAATTAAAGCCCCAATTCACACTAATTTAGATTTCTGTAATAACTGTCTAATTGATTTTTCTTTTTTGCCTCTAGTCTCTTACTCCTCTAATCTATGTCACTCAGGCTTGTCGGATCAATCTCCTTGAAACCTACTTAGTTCCTAGCACTAAAACCTTCAGCTAACTGTCCTTAATTGCTCCTTGCTCTACCAGTTGTCTACAGAATCAAGTTCAGACTTGCTGATGCAATCCCAGCCTCTTTTTAAGAGCAGACTTCTTGCTTATTTTGAATGGCCTATACTTAACCAAATTGGCCAACATGCTCATTCCCAAAAATACCTGTGATCTTTGCTTTGGTGCTTTAACTTAGTTATTCCATCTGGAATTTCCTTCTTTCTGACTTCTGAATGACAGTCTTGCCCATTCTTGATGGCTCAGCTTAAATGTTAATATTCTTTACTAAACATATAATTCCCTTTATCACATTTCCCACATCTTGTCTTCTCCCACTACCCTTCACCCCTGGTAAACATGATCTTGAATCTGTGTTCAATGTTGCTTTTTGTCTTTTTTTTCTGTGTAGTGTTACTGCATCTACTTGTATTCCTAAAAAGTCTGTTTAATTGCTTTTCACTTGACAAAAATACATCTTGAGATATATATATATAATCTTTTGGATTTACATTTTTCATGTGATATATTGGTAAGATTCATTTATATTGTTCTGTGTCTTACTTACTGCTGTGTGACAAATGAGCCCTAAGCTTGTTAGGTTAAAAACAACACTCATTCATTATCTCAGTTTCTGTGGGTCAGGAATCTAGGCACAGGTTAGCTGGATCCTCTACTTCAGGATTTCTCATGAGGCTATAATCAAGGTGTTGCCTGAGGCCATAGTCACCTCAAGGTTAACTGGGCCAGATCTACTTCCAAGCTCACTCAGTGGTTGCTGGCAGAATTAAGTTCCTTATGGAATTGGATTAAGAGCTTTGATTCTTACTGGCTGTTGAACAGAGATCACCCTCAGTTCCTTGAAAGGTGGCCTTCTCCATCACAGCGCATGAGAAGAGCCAGGGAGAGAATATCAGCAAGACAAAATCACAGTCTGTTGTAACTGAATTACAGAATTTACATCCCCTCATTATTGCTGTACTCTCTTCATTAGAAGCCAGTCACTAGGTCCAGCCCACATTCAAGGTAAGGAAATTACACGAAGGTATGAATACCAGGAGGCAGGGGTGGGACATTGGGAGCCTTGTCAGAACTTGCCTACCATATGGCATATCATTGTAATTTATTTCTTTTAACAGTTATATACCATTTTGTGTGAATATACCAGTTTATGCTCATCTTCTTGGACATTGGTTTTCCCTTCTGGGTTTTTTGCTGTTGTGAACAGTGATGCCACAAACATTCTTGTACGTAATGAAGGGACTCTGGTACTCTTCTCTGAATCTTTCCCAGTTTAATACTGTGTTCTGACAGACTGAAGCACCATTAAGACATCCTTAGTTAGATCCTTTTGTAATTCATAGGTGTGATTATTGGGTTTTCATGCTCATGTGTGAGAGGTACCTCCTTCAAACCTTGTTACAACACGGGCACATTTCCTGTCTGTTGTGAAAAAAAAAGAAACATCTTGAATAATTTTATCTGGAATTAATCTTATTGCTTCTAAACTCCCATAGCATTTCTCCCATAGCATTATTACTACTTGTCACCTTTTATTACACTTATTTTGTGCACTTCATATTTTTTCCTTTGAAATAGTAACTTGTTGAAGGTAGGAAATAAATTTGATTCTGGTTTTCACAATTTACACAGTGCTTTCAGTATGTGTTACTGACTGAATGAATTCTGTTTAAATGTCGTTGCCTAATTTTTAATCATAATCTGGCTCCAGTAACCCAATTATATTTCTCACTTCTCTCATACAAGGACCCTTATTTAGGCAAGTGGGTCTCTTAGACATTCTTTTTCAATCTCTTCCTAATGAATTTAGATCATATGATCTCTTTCTTCTCCTGTTTCTATTGAATTTATTATTTATTTCACACATTTAACATTTTAGTATATACTTGAGCTATGTTATATGTACCTACTCATAATAGGTACACAATAAACTTTATTGATGGAATTGCTGAAGTATCTTACTTTATAGTTATTTTCAAATAGTTAAGTATTTTTATACCATCTATATTGTCAGTTGACTGAGCAAATAAATAAACAAATACTGATGTGTTTGAGTAGATTTTTATCACTTTTTTATTTTTTTGGTCATAGGTATTTTTGGAGTTAATGGAGTCAGAAGGACCTCCAGAGTCAGAGAGTTCAGAATTTTTCTCACAGCAAGAAGAGGAAAATGAAGAAGAAGAAGCCCAAGAACCAGAGGAAACAGGCCCTAAGAACCCCCTTTTACAACCTGCTCTCACAGGGGATGTAGAGGGTTTGCAGAAGATATTTGAGGATCCTGAGAATCCTCATCATGAACAGGCCATGCAGCTTCTCTTAGAAGAAGACATCGTTGGGAGAAATTTGTTGTATGCAGCTTGCATGGCTGGGCAAAGTGACGTGATTAGAGCTTTGGCAAAATATGGTGTGAATCTGAATGAAAAAACCACCAGAGGTATTTTGTCTTTTTTCTCTCATCAGTATTACTTATGACTACCTAAAGATGCAATGTAATATCTTTAAGGTTAGATATATTTGATGTGCCTGTTTTATACTTTACATATATGTGTATATACATCTATATGGGTGTATGTATGTGTATACATGTAAATGTATCAATGTTGATATTACATAGTATAGTATTTTAGAACATAGACTTTACTATTTATTAGCTGTGTGACTTGGCAAGTTACCTGATCTTTTTGTGTATCTGTTTTTCCATCTGCAAAATGGGGATAATAATTATATTTTCCTTATAGGGTATAATGAGGATTAAATAGGATAAAATAAATATTTTAGTGCTTGGCATATCGTAAATTGATATATAGTAAATGTGTAATAATTTACTGTTATCTCTTTCCTTTGAAGATTTATTAATTTTTTAGCAATCATTATCTAAGTCGCTTTTTAAATTCAGTAATTATTTTTTCAGATTGCAAATATAATACGTGGTCATGGTAGAAAATAAAAAAAAGATCATCAGCATGATCTTCAGCAAAGAAAGGATATACATTCTCTTCATGCTCACATGGAACATTTAAAAAATATTGATCATATGTTGAGCCATAAAGGAAGTCTTAACAACTATCAAAGTATCTATAGCATATAGTCTTTGATCAGTGACTACAACAAAATAAAATTAAAAAGTAGTAACAAAAAGGTAACTGAAAACTGAAAACAAGAACACACTTCATTTATTTTTTATTTTCATTTTTATTTTTTGAGACAGGGTCTCACTCTGTCGCCCAGGCTGGAGTGTAATGGCATGATCTCAGCTCACTGCAACCTCCGCCTCCCAGGTTCAAGTGATTCTCACACCTTAGCTTCCTGAGTAGCTGGGACTACAGGCATGGGTCACCACGCCTGGCTAATTTTTGTATTTTTTGGTAGAGACGGGGTTTCACCATGTTGGCCAGGCTGGTCTCGATCTCCTGACCTCCAGTGACCCACCTGTCTTGGCCTCCCAAAGTGCTGGGATTACAGGTGTGAGCTATGCATCCAGCCAAGAACACACTTTAAATCATCTATTGGTCACAGAAGATATAATGAAAATTATGAAATGTTTAAGTGACAACAGCATCACTCTATGTCTGAACCCATGGGATACAACTAAAATTAAAATTCTAGTATAATACATATATTAGAATATAAGAAACATAAAAAATTTAGTAAACAAAGCATTTGACTGAAGAAATTAGAAAAAGAACAACTGAGTAACCAAAGAAAATAAAAGAAAAATAATTGAATAAATTAATGACATTGAAAATAAAGAAATAGGCCAGAGGCCAGGTGCAGAGGCTCACACTTAAAATCTCAGCACTTTGGGAGGCCGAGGCAAGAGGATTGCTTGAGGTCAGGAGTTCAAGAACAGCCTGGGTGACATGATAAGACCCTGTTGCTGAAAAAAAAAAAAAAAAAAAGAAGAAGAAGAAAGAAAATAGAAAACAGAATAGATGGAAAGGAAAGGATTGATAATACCAAAATTGGGTTCACTGAAAATGAGTTGAAAAACATTTGATTATACACATACACATACACAGACACACACATATTTGTTGTTCTCTTTTTTTTTTTTCTTGAGACAGAGTCTTGTTCTGTCACCCAGGCTGGAGTGCAGTGGCACAATGTTGGCTCACTACAGCCTCCACCTCCTGGGTTCAAGCAATTCTCCTGCCTCAGCCTCCCGAGTAGCTGGGATTACAGGCATGCACCAACATGCCTGGCTAATTTTCGTATTTTTTAGTGGAGAGGGGGTTTTGCCACGTTGGCCAGGCTGGTCTCAAAATCCTGACCCCAGGTGATCCACCTGCCTTGGCCTTCCAAAGTGCTGGGATTATAGGTGTGAGTCACCGCGCCCAGCCGAGCTTTAATACTATTAATCAGAGAGAGACAGCACAAATAATATTTGGAATTGAAAACATAGAATATTAACACAGAAAAAAACCTAAGATGTAAAAAAAATCATTAGAGCCAGGTGTGGTGGCTCACACCTGTAATCCCAGCACTATGGGAGGCCAAGGTGGGAGCATAGCTTGAGCCCAGGAGTTTGAGACAAGCCTCCCTACCTCCTGGGCTCAAGCAATGCTCTTCCTTCGGCCTCCCAAAGTGCTGGGATTACAGGCATGAGCCACTGCATCTGGCTCGTGATGAAAGCTCTTAGGGAAATAGGAATAGAAGAAACTTTCCTTAAGGCTGTCTATCAAAAACCCAAAGCGAACTTACCCAACATTGGATTTTTCAGAAGCATTCTTTATAATCAGAAATAAGACTAAGATATTTGTTATTATGGCTTCCATTTATCATTATAATAGAGGTTCCAGCAAGAGCAGTAAGAAGGGTAAGAGAAATAACACAGTATTGTGCTAGAGCCAGCTTTTATGAGCTCTGAAGAACTGATTGTTAAATTTTCAGAGTTTCTGTGAATTGGTTGACGTCATGTTGATAGCTGTTGAAACTGGCCATGTCGGGCCATACATCACAGTAATTGGCTAATGATACAAATCAGGGCTTTTTTCTCCAGATAACTAGTTATACATTTACCAGCACACTACTGGATATAAAGATTAGAGTATAAGAAACAAAACTCTGATTATTCATAGGTACATAGACTTAAATTCAAGGGAATCTACTATTAGTGCTAAGAGAGTTTAGGAAGAATATGAACATAAGACCAATATCCCAATCAGCAACTTTCTATATACCATGAACAACAAGAAAATGTGATACAAATAAAGATCTTATTCATAACAAAATGATAAAGAAACTAGGAATAAGTCTGACAAAAGAATGGTTTAAGACATGGGTCCATTACAAGATGGCCAAATAGGAACAGCTCCAGTCTGCAGATCCCAGCATGATCGACGCAGAAGACGGGTGATTTCTGCATTTCCGACTGAGGTACCTGGTTCATCTCATTGGGACTGGTTGGACATTGGGTGCAGCCCGTGGAGGGTGAGCCAAAGCAGGGCAGGGCATCGCCTCACATGGGAAGCACAAGGGGTCAGGGGATTTCCCTTTCCTAGCCAAGGGAAGCCATGATACACTGTACCTGGAAAAACGGGACATTCCTGCCTAAATACTGTGCTTTTACAACAGTCTTAGCAAATGGCACACCAGGAGATTATATCCCGTGCCTGGCTTGGCGGGTCCCATGCCCACAGAACCTTGCTCACTGCTAGCACATCAGTCTGAGATTGACCTGTGAGGCAGCAGCGTGGCAGGGGGAGGGGCATCTGCCATTGCTGAGGCTTGAGTAGGTAAACAAAGCAGCCAGGGAAGCTCGAACTGGGTGGAGCCCACCACAGCTCAGCAAGGCCTGCTGCCTCTGTTGACTCCACCTCTGGGGTCAGGGCATAGCTGAACAAAAGGCAGCAGAAACTTCTGCAGAATTAAATGTCCCGTCTGACAGGTCTGAAGAGAGCAGTGGTTCTCCCAGCATGGCGTCTGAGCTCTGAGAACGGACACACTGCCTCCTGATCCCCATGTAGCCTAACTGGGAGACACCTCCCAGTAGGGGCCGACTGACACCTCATACAGGTGGGTGCCCCTCTGGGACGAAGCTTCCAGAGGAAGGATCAGGCAGCAATATTTGCTGTTCTGCAATATTTGCTGTTCTGCAGCCTCTGCTGGTGATACCCAAGCAAACAGGTCTGGAGTGGACCTCCAGCAAACTCCAACAGACCTGCAGCTGAGGGACCTGACTGTTAGAAGGAAAACTAACAAACAGAAAGGAATAGTATCAACATCAACAAAAAGGACATCCACAGCAAAACCCCATCTGTAGGTCACCAACGTCAAACACCAAAGGTAGATAAAACCACAAATATGGGGAGAAACCGAGCAGAAAAGCTGAAAATTCTAAAAACAAGAGCACCTCTTCTCCAAAGGATCACAGCTCTTCACCAGCAACGGAACAAAGCTGGACGGAGAATGACTTTGATGAGTTGACAGAAGTTGGCTTCAGAAGGTCAGTAAAAACAAACTTCTCTGAGCTAAAGAAGGATGTTTGAACCCATCGCAAGGAAGCTAAAAACCTTGAAAGAAGATTAGACGAATGGCTAACTAGAATAAACAGTGTAGAGAAGACATTAAATGACCTGATGGAGCTGAAAATCATGGCAGGAGAACTATGTGATGCATGCACAAGCTTCAGTAGCCAATTCGATCAAGTGGAAGAAAGGTTATCAGCGATTGAAGATCAAATTAATGAAATAAAGTGAGAGGACAAAATTAGAGAAAAAGAGTAAAAAGAAATGAACAAAGCCTCTAAGAAATATGGGATTATGTGGAGAGACCAAATCTACATTTGATTGGTGTACCCGAAAGTGATGGGGAGAATGGAAACAAGTTGGAAAACACTCTTCAGGATATTATCCAGGAGAACTTCCCCAACCTAGCAAGGCAGGCCAACATTCAAATTTAGGAAATTCAGAGAACACCACAAAGATAATCCTCAAGAAGGGCAACCCCAAGACACATAATTGTCAGATTCACCAAGGTTGAAATGAAGGAAAAAATGTTAAGTGCAGCCAGAGAGAAAGGTTGGGTTACCCACAAAGGGAAGCCCATCAGACTAACAGCTGATCTCTCGGCAGAAACTCTATAAGCCAGTAGAGAGTGGGGGCCAATATTCAACATTCTTAAAGAAAAGAATTTTCAACCCAGAATTACATATCCAGCCAAACTAAGCTTCGTAAGTAAAGGAGAAATAAAATCCTTTACAGACAAGCAAATGCTGAGAGATTTTGTCACCACCAGGCCTGCCTTACAAGAGCTCCTGAAGGAAGCACTAAACATGGAAAGGAACAACTGGTACCAGCCACTGAAAAAACATGCCATGTTATAAAGATCATTGATACTAGGAAGAAACTGCATCAACTAACAGGCAAAATAATCAGCTAACATCATAATGTCAGGATCAGAGTCACACATAACAATATTAACCATAAATGTAAATGCCGCAATTAAAAGACACTGACTGGCAAATTGGATAAAGAGTCAAGACCCATCAGTGTGCTGTACTCAGGAGACCCATCTCATGTGCAGAGACACACATATGCTCAAAATAAAGGGATGGAGGAAGATCTACCAAGCAAATGGAAAGCAAAAAAAAAAAAAAAAAAAGCAAGGGTTGCAATCCTAGTCTCTTATAAAACAGACTTAAAACCAACAAAGATCAAAAGAGATAAGGCTATTACATAATGGTAAAGGGATCAATTCAACAAGAAGAGCTAACTATCATAAATATATAGACACCCAATACAGGAGCACCCAGATTCATAAAGCAGGTCCTTAGAGACCTACAAAGAGATTTAGACTCCCAAACAATAATAATGGGAGACTTTAACACCCCACTGTCAACATTAGACAGATCAACGAGACATAAGGTTAACAAGGATATCCAGGACTTGAACTCAGCTCTGCACCAAGCAGACCTAATAGACATCTGCAGAATGCTGCACCCCGAATCAACAGAATATACATTCTTCTCAGTACCATATCACACTTATTCTAAAATTGACCACATAGTTGGAAGTAAAGCACTCCTGAGCAAATGTAAAAGAACTAAAATCACAGCAAACTATCTCCCAGACCACAGTGCAATCAAATTAGAACTCAGGATTAAGAAAGTCACTCAAAACCACACAACTACATGGAAACTGAACAATCTGCTCCTGAATGACTACTGGATAAGTAATGAAATGAAGGCAGAAATAAAGATGTTTTTTGAAACCAGTGAGAACAAAGACACAACATACCAGAATCTCTGGGACACATTTAAAGCAGTGTGTAGAGGAAAATTTATAGCACTAAATGCCCACAAGAGAAAGCAGGAAAGATCTAAAATTAACACCCTAACATCACAATTAAAAGAACTAGAGAAGCAAGAGCAAACATATTCAAAAGCTAGCAGAAGGCAAGAAATAACTAAGGTCAGAGCAGAACTGAAGGAGATAGAGACACAAAAAACCCTTCAAAAAAATCAATGAATACAGGACTTGTTTTTTTGCAAAGATCCACAAAATTGATAGACTGCTAACAAGACTAATAAAGAAGAAAAGAGAGAAGAATCAAATAGACACAATAAAAAATGATAAAGGGGATGTCACCACCGATCCCACAGAAATACAAACTACCATCAGTCAATACTATAAACACCTCTACACAAATAAACTAGAAAATCTAGAATAAATGGATAAATTCCTGGACACATACATCCTCCCAAGACTAAACCAGGAAGAAGTTGAACTGCTGAATAGACCAATAACAGGATCTGAAATTGAGGCAGTAATCAATAGCCTACCAACCAAAAAAAGTCTAGGAGCAGATGGATTGACAGCCGAATTCTACCAGAGTTACAAGGAGGAGCTGGTACTATTCCTTCTGAAACTATTCCAATCAATAGAAAAAGAGGGAATCCTCCCTAACTCATTTTATGATGTCAGCGTCATCCTGATACCAAAGCTTGGCAGAGACACAACCAAAAAAGAGAATTTTAGACCAATATCCCTGATGAACATCGATGTGAAAATCCTCAATATAATACTGGCAAATAGAATCCAGCAGCACATCAAAAGCTTATCCACCATGATCAAGTTGCCTTCATCCCTGGGATGCAAGGCTGGTTCAACATACACAAATCAATAAACATAATCCATCACATAAACAGACCCAATGACAAAAAAACACATGATTATCTCAACAGATACAGAAAAGGCCTTTGACAAAATTCAACAGACCTTCATGCTGAAAACTCTCAATAAACTAGTTATTGATGGAATGTATCTCAAAATAATAAGAGCTATTTATGACAAACCCACAGCCAATATCATACTGAATGGGCAAAAACTGGAAGCATTCCCTTTGAAAACTGGCACAAGACAGGGATGCCCTCTCTCACCACTCCTATTCCACATAGTGTTGGAAGTTCTGGCCAGGGCAATCAGGCAGGAGAAGGAAATAAAGGGTATTCAATTAGGAAAAGAGGAAGTCAAATTGTCCCTGTTTGCAGATGACATGATTGTGTATTTAGAAAACCCCATCGTTTCAGCCCCAAATCTCCTTAAGCTGATAAGCAACTTCAGCAAAGTCTCAGGATACAAAAGCAATGTGCAAAAATCACAAGCATTCCTATACGCCAATAACAGAGAAACAGAGAGCCAAATCATGAATGAACTCCCATTCACAATTGCTACAAAGAGAATAAAATACGTAGGAATCCAACTTACAAGGGATGTGAAGGACCTCTTCAAGGAGAACTACAAACCACTGCTCAACGAAATAAAGGAGGACACAAAGAAATGGAAGAACATTCCATGCTCATGGATAGGAAGAATCAATATCGTGAAAATGGCCATACTGCTCAAGGTGATTTATAGATTCAATGCCATCCCCATCAAGCTACCAATGACTTTCTTCACACAATTGGAAAAAACTACTTTAAAGTTCATATGGAACCAAAAAAGACCCTGCATTGCCAAGACAATCCTAAGCAAAAAGCCAACAAAGCTGAAGGCATCATGCTACCTAACTTCAAACTATACTACAAGGCTACAGTAAGCAAAACAGCATGGTACTGGTACCAAAACAGAGATATAGACCAATGGAACAGAACAGAGGCCTCAGAAATAACACCACACATCTACAATCATCTGATCTTTGACAAACCCGACAAAAACAAGAAATGGGGAAAGAATTCCCTATTTAATAAATGGTGCTGGGAAAACTGGCTAGCCATATGTAGAAACCTGAAACTGCATCCCTTCCTTACACCTTATGCTAAAGTCAATTCAAGATGGATTAAAGATTTAAATGTTAGACCTAAAACCATAAAAACCCTAGAAGAAAACCTAGGCATTACCATTCAGGACATAGGCATGGGCAAGGACTTCATGACTAAAACACCAAAAGCAATGGCAACAAAAGCCCAAATCGACAAACAGTATCTAATTAAACTAAAGAGCTTCTGCTCAGCAAAAGAAACTACCATCAGAGTGAACAGACAACCTACAGGATGGGAGAAAATTTTTGCAATCTGCCCATCTGATAAAGGGCTAATATCCAGAATCTGCAAAGAACTTAAACAAATTTAAAAGAAAAAAACAACCCCATCAAAAAGTGGGCAAAGGATATGAACAGACACTTCTGAAAAGAAGACATTTCTGCAGCCAAAAGACACATGAAAAAATACTCATCATTGTTGGTCATCAGAGAAATGCAAATCAAACCCACAATGAGATACCATCTCACACCAGTTAGAATGGTGATGATTAAAAAGTTAGGAAACAACAGGTACTGGAGAGGATGTGGAGAAATAGGAATGCTTTTACACTGTTGGTGGGAGTGTAAAGTAGTTCAACCATTGTGGAACACAATTTTCCTCAAGGATCTAGAACTAGAAATACCATTTGACCCAGCCATCCCATTACTGGGTATATACCCAAGGGTTTATAAATCATGCTACTATAAAGACACACGCACACGTATGTTTATTGCGGCACTATTCACAATAGCAAAGACTTGGAACCAACCCAAGTGCCCATCAATGATAGACTGGATTATGAAAATGTGGCACATATATACCACGGAATGCTCTGCAGCCATAAAAAAGGATGAGTTCATATCCTGTGCAGGGACATGGATGAAGCTGGAAACCATCATTCTCAGCAAACTATCATAAGGACAGATAACCAAACCGTGTTCTCACTCATATGTGGGAATTGAACAATGAGAACGCTTGGACACAGGGTGGGGAACATCACACACCGGGGTCTATTATAGGGCAGGGGGTTGGTGGAGAGATAGCATTAGGAGAAATACCTAATGTAAATGACGAGTTAATGGGTGCAGCAAACCAACATGGCACATGTATACCTATGTAACAAACCTGCATGTTGTGCATATGTACCCTAGAACTTAAAGTGTAATAATAATAAAATAAGAATTGTAAGACATTTATGGCAAAAAGTATGAAACTTTATTGATTTATATGAAAGACCACACGAAATGTATATATGTCTCAATAGTGAGACTAAATATCATAACGCTGTTTCTCTTAATTTCTTCCCAATTAATTTGTCAGTGTAGTTAATATCTCAGAAGAATCTTTTTAAAAGCAAACTGAGAAGCTGACCCTAAATTTCAGTGGGGAAAATGAACTATTTAATATATGATGCCAGAGAATATTTATTATTCATCTGGAAAAAAATAAAATTATATACCTACTTTGTACCATACATAAAAATCAATTACAGATGATTGTAAGACATGAATGTGTAAAGCAAAATATTTTAAACTTTCTGAAAAATAGAGTATTGCTATATTCTTGAGACATCACAGAATATCTTGAGATATAAAGAACCCAACCACTAAGGGAAAAGATCTGTCTATCTACCTAAATTTTAAACTCTGCATAAAAGATATCATAAACAAAATGACAAAATAAGCCACAGACAAAGGATATATCTATGTAAAGACAGCCTACTAATCAACAGGCTTAGAATTCAACCCAATAGAAAAATAGGCAGAGGATAGGAACATGCAATTTATGGAAGAGAAACTCTCATGGCCAGTAAATAAATGAAAATATGTTTAACTTCACTATTAAAAGCAAATGTAAACAATGGGCTACCATGACTCATCAGATTCAGAAAAATTTAAATATTTGACAGGATTAAACATTGGTAAAGATGTAGGAAATGGGAATTCCTTCACTCTGAGGAGGGAGTATAAATTGGTATAATCCCTTTTGAGAACACTTATATCAAGTTGTTCATGGACATACCTGATGATCCTAATTTCCATTTCTAGATATATGTCTTTGGGAAACTCTCACACATGCTTACAAGAAGACATAAGTATAAGATGATTATTCAAATATTGCTTATAACAGTTAATCATTGGAAATAAACAATAGAAGGGTAGATAAATTGTTTTCATACAATGGAATATTACACAATAATTAAAAGGAATGAATTAGCTCTTTGGGTATTAAAATGGATAACACTTAAAAATATTGAGACAAAAATCAAGTTACAAAAGGATTCTGTAATAGATTGGTTAAGAGCATGGATTTTACAGCCAGACTACCTGAGTTAAAACCCCAGCTTTCCACTAACTTGACTATGTGACTTGGGCAAATTATATAACCTTTCTGTGCTATGGTTTCTTCATCTATAAAAATGAGGATAATAGTAATACCTGAAAACCATACTATATAAAGGAAAAGGAGAGACCCAAATCAATATTTGGCATTGTGTCCCTAACACTATTCAAGGAAGGTAGTATTGTGACTGGTTGACATGAATATTGCCATCTTTTTTGTAGGTATTTTCCAATGTGTGGGAATAGGTGTATAGTCTTTTAGGACTTGATGATACACTCTAAAATATTCTATTTCTTCATTCTGATTCTATGTCATCATGAAACCTTATTTAGAGAGGGGATTCCTAAGCTAAGTGTTGCAGGTGCTCCTGGTTTCTTCTCACTGCTTATAGGAAAATACCAGGGGAAAAATAAATTGAGAAAAGGATAATTTGGGAAATTCCAAGCCTGTCCATATGACAAAGACATGAAAATTAAGATTCACTGTCAGAAAAGCATGCTTCCGAGAAAAAACTGAGTATATGACTCTATAACCTTCTGTTGACATGTTGGATCAAAAAGTTCAGAGTGGCTGGGTGTGGTGGTTCATGCCTGTAATCCTAGCACTTTGGGAGGCCAGGAAAGGACTGCTTAAGCCCAGGAGTTCCAGACGAGCCTGGGCAATATACTGAGACTCTGTCTCTGCAAAATATTTAAAAAATTATTGGCTGGGCATGGTGGCTTATGCCTATAATACCAGCACTTTGGGAGGCTGAGGCAAGTGGATCACGAGGTCAAGAGATCAAGACCATCCTGGCCAACATGATGAAACCCTGTCTCTACTAAAAATACAAAAATAAGCTGGGCGTGGTGCTGCATGCCTGTAGTCCCAGCTACTCCAGAGGCTGAGGCAGAATAGCTTGAACCCGGGACACGGAGGTTGCAGTGAGCCGAGATCGTGCCACCGCACTCCAGCCTGGCAACAGCGAAAGACTCCATCTAAAAAAAAAAAAATATCTGGGCATGCTGGCATGAGCCTATAGTCCCAGCTACTCAGGAAGCTGAGGTGGGAAGATTGCTTGAGCCTAGGAGTTCGAGGCTGCAGTGAGCTATTCATGCCACTGCACTCTAAACTGGGCAACAGAGTGAGACCTGTCTGAAAAAACAGTTTAGAGTATTTAGACACAAAAGATTATGGGATTGACTGTGGTTGTCCCTTTATCACACCAGGAAGCCTCTAGAAAGCTTAAGAGTATTGTCCCTCTGTGCAATAAAGTGAATTGTAGTAAAAAGAAGTATGTATATCCTTGTGAGCAAGTTCAAACAGTGATCTTTAATTTTTAAAAAATCAATCTGAAAAATATTTAAAGATGCCTTCCATATTCTTCTTGTTTACAATTATACCTCATGATAGTCACTTGAGAAAGTCTAAGAAATGACTTTCTAATTTGATAGGCCATAATTTTAGTTTTAATTAATAGAATTTCCAAACCTAAGGTATACACAGTTGTAGTAATTTGTATGATTGTGCTAACAATAATGCTAATTAGAGTTTGATAAAAATTCTTTAAAATCACAGGTCCAGTTGCGTTCAGAATAGGTGACTGCTAGGGAGATTGCCATCTTCCTCCCATGATGTTGAAGAGCTCAGCCTTCAGACAGTCTATGCTGGCATCCATCATTTACTGTTTGCCAGGGATGTTTCCTTGGGCAAGTTTCTTAATCCACCTGGACTTTAGTTTCCTTGTCTATAAAATGAGAACTGTAGTAGTTCTGACATCATAGTGGTTTTATAAAACTAAATGAGTTTTCTATATGTAAGACAGTTAGAATAGTGCCTGGCCCACAGTAATTGTTCAATACTTGATCACCATTATGATCTTCCACTACATAAATTAGCCTAAAACAATGTAGTCTGTTTGATCTCACCATCTTCATTCCATTTGTTAGGGTACACACTCTTACATTGTGCTGCAGCCTGGGGTCGTTTGGAAACTTTGAAAGCACTGGTAGAACTGGATGTTGATATAGAAGCTTTGAACTTCCGGGAAGAAAGGGCTCGAGATGTTGCTGCTAGATATTCTCAGACTGAGTGTGTTGAATTCCTGGACTGGGCAGGTAAGGAAGCTCACAAGGGGTTAGCAAACTGACTGATGTGATGAGTTTTTCTCCTATGAGTTACAGGATATGTCACCTTTTTTCACAGTGTTTTGTTTGTAGATACAACCACAGTCACAGTTGGTGATAATACATGAAATTTCCCCCTCTTTCTTTGTTTTGCTATTGGCCATAAACATTGTATTTATTAGGAACTGAACATATTGGAAGCTAGTTGATTTACCAACTTCTGTCTCACCAATAATTGTCTATGAGAAAATAATTTCTATAAGAAGATTATTGTATGTTCAATATGTATGTTCAAGGCCATTTTTTGAGAGACTCAGGCAAAGTGGGTCATTTCTTAAATGTTTAAAAAATAGCATATTTGAGTAATACATTTGATTCCTCAAATATAAAAGGTTGTAACAATAATTTTAGAAAGGTTTATTTAGGCTAAATTAATTTATAGTGCTAATAGTCAGAATAGTAGCTACCCTTACGGCATGGGGAACTTCTGGGATGTAATGTTCTTTTTCTTAACCTGGTTGCTGGTACATGGGTATGTTTCTTTGAAAATTCATTGAGCTGTATGCATGGTTTTTGTACTTTTCTGTTTGTAAGTTATACTTCAATACGAAGTTCAAAAAATAGTACTATTTTGAATTTGCTAATATTTTGCATATATACTTCCACAACCCTGTAAAGTATAGCTTAAAGAGATTTCAGGAAGATGTACCTTTGTAACTAAGCTAGTATTTATGAAGTTTACAGCATTTATTTTGCATGGTTATCTGCATTCCTGTTTTTAGCAAGCATTTATTGAATTCCCATTGTGAGCATAGTATTGCTGTAGATACAATTGGTTGTTCCTACCCTCTGGATATTTGTTAGGTGGGAGATTATAAGTTATGGACACATTCAACAATTATATAAAAATATCAGAAAGACTGTGATTAAAGGTTAAAATTGGCAGAGCAAGTATTCTGTGCTATAGAGTGGTGGAAGAATAGGAAGTCAGAGCATGTTGGGCTTGAGCTGGGCCTTGAAGAATGGATGGGATTTGAATATGCAATAGAGAGGGAAAGGGCATGAGCAAAATCTTAGAGCTGTGAGTGAAAGTGGCATGTTGGAGGATGGTGACAAGATTGCCTTATTGAGTAGTAGGTCATAGTTTCCACAGGTAGGCTATAACATAGGTAGAATAATAAAAGGGTTAATACATGTCTTCTTGAGATTGAGTTTAAATACTGGTGTCCCTACTTGAAACCTATGTGACCTTGGACAAGGTGCTTAAATTCTCTATACCTCAGTTTCCTTCTCTGAAAAAGGGGCAAATAATATAGTTCCCACCTTTTGTGGATTGCTGTGAAAATTAAATGAGATGATATAAAGCAGTTACCACAATACCTGGCATGTGGTCAGCACTTGAAAAATGCTGCTGCTTTTATTACACCATACCCTTAAATGCCAGGCTAAGGTGTTTTTATTTTATTCTGGGAGCCACTGAAAATTGTTATGTAGAAGAGGAAGAGGATGAAAGTGAACTTGAGGAAGTTTCAGCTGGTAGTGGTAAGATGCATGTTCATCAATAAAATGAGAAAGGGACTAGAATAATTGATAGAAACAAGGAACTTGAAGGAAACACATTTGGGAAGAAAGAGATGAGTTGTGCTTTGTAGATTATTTTTATAATTAACTGTCCACTTGAACTAAATATTTTCTATAAGCAATCTTATGTCAATATCTTCTATTTTTATGATTAGATCTGTAAGTAAAAGGAAAACACAAATAGCAAATAATTCAATTGATTCCCCCCATGAATAGTAATTTTAGGTGAAATTCACATTCCATAATTTTTTTTTTTTTTTTTGAGATGGAGTTTCGCTCTTGTTGCCCCAGCTGGAGTACAATGACGTGATCTTGACTCACTGCAACCTATGCCTCCCGGGTTCAAGTGATTCTCCTGCCTCAGCCTCCCAAGTAGCTGGTATTACAGGCATGTGCCACTATGGCTGGCTAATTTTTATATTTTAAGTAGAGACAGGGTTTCACCATGTTGGTCAGGCTGGTCTCGAACTCCTGATCTCGTGATCTGCCCTCCTTAACCTCCCAAAGTGCTGGGATTACAGGCATGAGCCACCATGCCCAGCCCACATTCCATAATTTAAAATCCATTTTTGAAAAATGACCCATAGTACTTAAAAATCACAATTCAAGGACAAATTTTGCTGTAACTTTTCTGAAAAATTTTTTGGGGCTTATGGATGTGAGGTATTATTGGCTTCCTTCTTCATAATATCCATCTGTTTAATTTGAGTCCTTAGGTTCTTGGAGCAATTATACCGAATATGTCTTAGTGGTGAAAAGAAATGAAAACTATAAAAAGCAAACTAGTATTGTGTTTCCAGATCAATGATTAAATTAATATTGGAGTTTCATAGTAATGTAGCTGTGGAATGTCAGAAACATAAATAACTCAACATAAAATTTAACATTTATTTAATTCAGCCTTACTATTTGTTTAATTCAGTCTTATTCAGAATGGAGTTTCATAGTAATGTAGCTGTGGAATGTCAGAAACATAAATAACATAAAATTTAACATCTATTTAATTCAGTCTTATCAAGAATGTATGTCACTTCTGTTTCTTCTAGTGATTACAGTAGGAGTTACCTGGGGAGACTTAAAGGATTCAGAAATCCCTACCCCAAATAGTCTTCTGCATTCTACTGAAAATTCCATTATTAGAGATAAATTTCTCTGGGTTTTAGAGGTTTGGGGATTTTTAAAGTCTTCAACAGTTCACCATTAGAATAAATGTATATTAATATTCTCTTAGAGGGAATTAGCTAACATTTCAGAACTCTGAAAGTATGAAACAAACATTTCTAGAAATGTGAAGGTGGGGTTGTGCTAAGGAGGAACGGAGGTAAAGGGAGTCTGGAAAGTGGAACAAAATAAACCTTTCGTAATCCATAATAGCCCAAGCCAGGTACTATTCTTTTCCGTTACTTATAAAACTGTAAAGTTTATTACTGTTTCAAGTATTATTTTTGAAAAGTTTTTTTCCTCCTTATAATGATGGCAGATATGTTATAGATATATTTTTTCTGGGATTTTTCAAGATACTTTAAGTCAAATCTTCTGTCCCAGTCTCAGGCCTATCTCCTAGCTGTTCTTTGAAAAATACGGTAACCATAGTTTAAAAAATTGAATTGTCTTGTCAACAAAAGTCTGAAATTAAAAAAACATTAATCTATAATCATTTATTATACTGAAAATGAAAACATTTATACTTAAAAATTAATATATTCTTTAATATTTCCATGCTATTTTAGCAATCTGAAGTAGGAAATTAAAAGTCTTCCTGTGGTTATAAAATTTTCTCAGGAAGCCTGGGTGCAGTGGCTCACACCTGTAATCCCGGGACTTTGGGAGACCAAGGCAGGTGGATCATGAGGTCAGAAGTTCAAGACAGCCTGGCCAAGATGGTGAAACCCCATCTCCACTAAAAATACAAAAATTAGCTGGGCACAGTGGCAGGAGCCTGTAATCCTAACTACTCGGGAGGCTGAGGCAGGAGAATCGCTTGAACCAGGGTGGCAGAGGTTGCAGTGAGCCAAGATGGAGCCACTACACTCCAGCCTGGGTGACAGAGTGAGACTCTGTCTCAAAAAAAAAAAAAAAAAAAATTCTCAGGCAAATAAGACAAGTCACAGATATTATTTATCAGAGATGTATTGAAACACTAAATTAAGCTTCTATTCTATATATAATCTAACACATTAAAAATAACAAAACACTTAAACATGTAGCAGTGATAGTATATGTTGGGAACAGGTGGTTGGTGTCACAAAAATCAACACTGAGACAAAGGATCTCTCAGCAAGGCTAGTTTACTTTCTGCAGAAAGGGTTGCTGCTCGCTAGCAGTCTTGCCACAAGAGCGCACACGAAGAAAAGAGACAGGGTCATTTATAACCTGATGCATCCACCCTGCTGCTGTGTCCGGTTTCCATTGGCTGGAATAGGACCTCACATTCTGTACTCAACCTGATTGGCTAGCAACTTAGAACTTCCCAAAAGAGGCAAAGGCAGAGGAGAACAAAGGAAGAGAGGAATTAACCTGTGGAATGCTGAGAGAGGCAAAAACACTTACAAATAAGGAAAGAGAAACAGGCTATGACCTCATGCTTGCTTGGACCTCTTCAGGCATGCCCAGGCAAATATCTAGGCTAAAATGTGGAGCTAAGAACAGAGTATATTGATTTCTTTATTACAGCTAGCAGAATTTAAGAATATTAGCACAGGTCTTTGAGTAAATTTTGCTTCTAAGAGAGGTTACTATCTATTCTGAAGTAGACTGGGAGGAATGTCCCTTTGAAGAGGAACCTCTATTTCATTTTCTACAATTCCCCCCTCTTTTATTTTATAATTCCTCTTTAAACTTGTTTAACATGTCTTGACTCAGTTGCTCTGTTTGTCCTTTTAAGAGAAGTAATCTTTCTGAATAGGGTGAAGAAAAGTTAGGAATTAACTTTGTAAGAGTGGCAGAGACAAGTTTTTGTATAAAACTTTGAAGGCAGGTAATAATACAACAGCCTATGAGAATAAGTACACCAATAACAAGAGCTAACGAGGTGAGAATTGAAGTGAAAATCCCTTTCCATCCCCTGAACCAATGTTCTGTCTTTTAGAAAAAGGATCATCTAATCCAGAATTTTTGGCAAGTTCATTGGATAGGGCTGTTAATCCTTGTAGCACTCTTGTTATAGTTCCATCAGGGGTAGTATTATTAGGAATAAAGGTACAACATTGAGTTTCAATCATTATGCAAACACCTCCTTTTTCTGCTAATATCATATCTAAGGCTATTCTATTTTTCCAGGCCATCTGGCTGGTAGGTCTTATTTGCTCAGCTATCCCTTCGATGGAGTCCCTAGTATAATTTATGAATCATTGCTGATTGTAATATAGTTTATCCAGTCTATATTTTTATTTATAGATATGTAGTTAACCACCAGAACAATGTAGATTCAAATCCTGTAGCTATTTGATTCCATGCTTTAAACTTATCTGGCACTCCTCATGGGACCCCAATAGCATCTATGTAAACCTGAGGATCAAAGGACTCAAATGGAGTTTCCCTTGGCCTGCAGTGTCTTGTTTTTACTTTCGCAGACTGACGAAATGCCAGGGTGAAGGGGATAGTCAATTGGATTAGAGCACAAGTACCACTCCAATTATAAGGCAGAGTGTCCAGTAAAGGTCCTCCACAGTACCATCATACAGCTCGGGGACTGATGAACAAGCTTCTGGAAAGGCCTGAGCTCCTTGCATCTTTTTATGCTTCCAAGGAACACTAAATTCTCCCCTTGCCATGAGAGGCAGGAAGTAAACTTGGCATTTAGAGGTGGAAGCTGGATTGCCCTCTGGGCCTGACCCTCAGTGTGTTGAACTTCAGGAAACAGCAGAGAGAGCTTGGCATGATGGATTATCCCAAGCAGTGGGATTCTGGAAGAGAGCCACCATACAGTCCATGCTTGGTCAACGAGGAGCCCATCCAAGTGGAAAGGGGACAGTCTGGGCCTCTGGCCTACCGTGTGCACAAGCGTAACAATCGCTTTTATTTAAAGTGCGAATGGAATATTTAATCGATTTCAGCCAGGCATTTGCATCTTGATATCCTATCTCAATGGCTAAGGTCTGTCTTAAGATATTTCACTTTCACAATAGACACCCTAGTTTTATCATTAGGTGTAGGAGCAACTGGTGTGGGATTTAAAACTGAGGCTACCGAAGAAGGGGAAGACTGGGGAATAATGCATATCTCAAAAATGCCTAGGGGGTCTTTCCCATTTACATCAATCCCCATACCATAGAAGTGAACAAGGGCAAGTTTAGAATCAGTTAAGGTGGAGGTGGTGAGAGAGAGAAGGACAGGGTTACACTGATAAGGCTGACAGAAATAGGTGAGGGATTTTAGATTTGCACAAACCTCTTCCGTGGAAGTCTAACCTTGCTCCTGAGTAGTTCAAAGGACATAGTTCCAGCTACTGCAAGGTTGCCAGGCTGTAGGAGCAGACAATTGGTGTCTCAGCTGCAGGCGATCACAACTATGAGAGCTAGGAATAACTGTGTCAGTTAGAGGGCTGGGGCATAAATATTTGTGTGAAAAGGCTAGCTGTCATTGATCTTTCACATCTCCACAAGGTGTGACAGAGCAAGCATTAAAGGCAATGGTCTGAGGTGAGTCAGACTTAGTTACATTAATAACAAAGGAGCTAGTAACAGAATAAGGAAAGGAAAGGAAGCAATATAGAAGGTATATAAAAATTAAGCTTTCTTTAACTTCAACTTGGTAGGACTCAATCCTGGTACAGCAACCCATGATTCTGACGAGGAAGCTGCTTTCTTAACTAGAGTATGGTGGGTCCATCCTTTCTCAGCTGTGCGGACGGCAGTCTCGGTGGTTAACAGCACCAGATAGGGGCCTTCCCAGGTGGGCTCGAGTTTCCCTTCCTTCCACCCTTTGATGAGAAGGTGGTCCCTGGGTTGGTGCTGGTGTGCTGGAAATTCTAGTGGTGGCCTGTGCTAAGAGACCTTTGACCTTAAGAGAAGAAAAGGTAGAGGAGAGACCAAGTATATAATTGCTCAGGAACTGATCCTTAGTTTTAAACACAGGAACATCAGCTTAGGAATGTAAATAAGGCAATCCATATAACATTTCATATGGAGACAGGCCTATATCCTTTCAGGGAGCTGTCCTGATCCTCAATAAGGCAATGGGAAGACATTTGGTCCACAGTAAATGAGTTTCTAGAACTAATTTGGTTAAATGGTTCTTTAAAGTCTGATTCATCCTTTCTACCCTCCCTGATGAAGGTGGATGCCAAGGGGTATGATACTCCCATCTAATGTTTAAAACCTGGGATAGCTTCTTAATGACATGGGCTGTGAGATAGGTTCCATTGTCTGAGTCAATATTCTCTATTAGCCCAAATTTGGGCACTATATTCTCAATTAATGCTTTAACTACATTATTAGCTGTTGCATTTGAAAAGGAGGTAGCTTCAATCTAGTGAGTTGAGCTGATCTACTATTACCAACAAATACTTGAGGCAAACGATTGGAGTCATTTCAGTGCAGTTCATTTGAACACTTTGGAATGGCCTTAGTCCTGGATCCCTCCCCCTTGGAGGTGATTTCTTTATGACTTGTTTGTTGGTTTTCTTAACATTTTAGACAACTATTTGTAACTTGCTTGGCTAGGGTATAAATTCCTATACACCCATGAAGGCTGAGAACCATGGTTAAGAACTCCCTTATGAGAGGTTTGGATAACATCTCCCTTTGATCTGGTAGTATCCATTTTCCTTCTGTGTTCTCTTTAGCTTCTATTTTTATTAACTTTTCCTTTTTTAGTGGAAGAGAAGATGGGGACTGCAGTAGGGGAAGGAAGGCAAGGAGTTAAGTGAAAGGCATTTTAGAAGAAACAGCAGCTTGTTTGGTTATCTGATCTGCAAGGTCATTTGGTTATTTCCCTGACTTGTGAAAGAAAAGTCCTTTATGCCCTGGGACATGTACAATAGCTATCTCTTCTGGCAACTGGAGATTGTCTAGGACACGAAAAATTAGTTCTTTGTGGACTAGATCTTGGCCTTTACTGTTAATAAGACCTTGCTCAGCCCAAATTTTTCTAACTGTATGTGCCACGCCAAAGGCATACTTAGAATCAGTATAAACAGTTCCTTCTTTGTTCTGCAAATGTTTCAAAGCTTGGTTGAGTGCAAACAGGACACAGGTTTGGGCAGACTAATTATTGGGCAGTCTTCCTGACTCTACTTCTTCAAGAGTTTCTCCATCAATTACTGAATACCTATTATGTTTTTCTCCTTTGACTATTTTGGGGGAACCATCTATAAACCAGTGCCGTCCTGTTTTAAAAGGGGCCTCTCCTAGATCTGGCCTGACTTTTGTTTGGTAGTCAGTCAAATCTAGACACGAGTGTTTTTTAAATTTGGGTCTCCTGCCAAGAAACCCGCTGGGTTGAGTGAATTATCAGTAGTCAAGGGTAAATCATCTTTTTCTAGCAAAATAGCCTTATATTTCAAGATTCTGGAGTCAGTAAGCCACCTTCCTGCTTTTTGATTTAAAATAGCTCTAACTTGGTGGGGCGTGCTTACAGTTAATCTCCCCCCAAAGGTTAATTTTCTACTTTCTTCAACTAATATTGCTGTAGCCACAGGTGTTTATCTTCCCTGTCTTACTCGAAACATTTCCTATCTTGAAGTTTTGGGGTGGTGCCTGGGATAGGCCCTTTCCCTGGAGCTTTCAACCCCCCTTGCTCCTTGCTGGAGGTTTCTAGCACTCCTGGATATGGCAGCGGCAGGGGGCTGGGGGTGGCTCAACCTCTCCTACTAGAGGCTTCTTGCCCTTCCTTCCTTTGGAGGCTTGCCAAGGGCCTTTTCCCATGTTGGATCCTAGATAGGCCCAATCCCTTGTGCTAGGGATGTCTCGCCTATTCTTTTCCCGGCAAGGCTCAATCCCCCAGATTCTTCAGACTGGGGATGTCTTGGCTGTCCCATCCTTAAAGGCTTGTGAAAGGCTCAATCTCTCACACCAGAGATGTCTCGCCGATTCTCTTTCCCTGGGAGGTTAACCTTCCTCCTTTTCCCTTTCGGTGGTTCCTTACACCCTTCCTGTTTGTGTTCATGCACTCTGTCCAGCAACAGACTGGTAGTCGTTCACACACACACACACACACACTCAGCCTCCAAAAGCTGACCACCAAGGAAATACTTTGCCACCCTCTTGCAGCTTTTCCTACCTTGGCCCGTGCATGGAGTCACCTGGTCACTGTGGTCCTGCAAGCCTCTCTCTTTCCCTGCGTTGCTGAGAATCCAACTATATTCCTTGCTCCGGGTAGGTCCTGGCTGTCCTCCAGGGGCTGCTACAATGGGCAGTGGGGCACCTCCCCATGAGAGAGGACCAAAGACTGTCCCAGAGGGGAATGTTAATCCCCTACGGGCCACCAAATTGTTGGGAACGGGTGCTTAGTGTTGCAAAAATCAACACTGAGACAAAGGATCTCTCAGCAAGGCTAGTTTACTTTCTGCAGAAAGGGTGCTGCTTGCTAGCAGTCTTGCCACACACCAACAAAAGAGACAGGGTAATTTATAACCTGATGCATCCACCCTACTGCTGTGTCCGGTTTCCATTGGCTGGAATGGGACCTCACATTCTGTACTCAACCTGATTGGCTAGCAACTTAGAACTTCCCAAAAGAGGCAAAGGCAGAGGAGAACAAAGGAAGAGAGGAATTAACCTGTGGAATGCTGAGAGAGGCAAAAACACTTACAAATAAGGAAAGAGAAACAGGCTATGACCTCATGCTTGCTTGGACCTATTCAGGCATGCCAGGGCAAATACCTATGCTAAAATGTGGGAGCTAAGAACAGAGTATATTGATTTCTTTATTACAGCTAGCAGAATTTAAGAATATTAGCACAGGTCTTTGAGTAAATTTTGCTTCTAAGAGAGGTTACTATCTATTCTGAATTAGACTGGGAGGAATGTCCCTTTGAAGAGGAACCTCTATTTCATTTTCTACAGTATACAATTTCTTCTCTAGTACTTTAGTAAGTCCGGGTTCTTTTTTAATTGAATGGGAAGTAACATTTCAACCCAGGCTTCTTTGGAAAATTTTAGTAAAGATTGTGGCAAAAAGTTTATAAAGGTTTCCAAAGAACAATTTTTAATCCTTAGATGATAGATTTCTTTTGTGATATCTATAATTGACTAAGCTACATTTGCATATGCATTTATTTAGTATCTTCTGGCTCCTTCTTCTTTACTCTTCTTCTTTAATTTGCAGTGCTTAATTTTCTTAGAGGAAGGATGGTGAGACCTGTGCTCCCAGATCTTGTATATCACTGATGCTGTGGTTGCCACTCTGTGGAGTGTTTGGTCAATGTTGTTGATCAATGGGCTTTCTAGATCATTACCAGGTTTTTCTAAGGAGGCTTGCTTTTTCAGCTAAAAGGAGAAAAACAATACAGATTTTATCTACATAAAACAGTAGAGTTCAATACTATAGTATAGTTAATAATATAGTTCAAATTAAATTTATGTTCTAAATATGTAAACAAACCTTATTAAAACAGCACACATCAATTATTTATACTAAAGGAAGGTTACTATAGAAGTAAGGTATAAGTGCAGAGGAAATGTTATCTATATGCCACATGTATGATCCTTATCACCATCAGCAAACAATTAGTGTGTCCTATGTTTAGGGTACTCTCTTGGGAGAAATTATTTGATTAGCAAAATGTATTCGTTTATGAAAGAACCTCAAGGTATAACACCATAAAGTAATAGTCATTTTAAAAATAAGAAAACATTTATAAATATCTAATTCTTCTGAAGGTCAATGAGGTTTTGTTTGTTTTTTGATCAAAGAGCTTTTAAGGTTGCCTCTCAAACTATGGTGTCATCTATTGGCAAAGTGGGAAATTATGTAATAGTTTAAAAGCTCCATTTCTCAGAAAGTTGTTCTAATATTAGCAATTAGTTTATAGCCCATATAAAAATTACATGACACCTTTTGTACTTAGATTTCTTAGATACATCTGAAAGGGTTCTAAGAGATCTCTTGTTACAGATCCTTTTGTGGATGAGGCAACTGAGATAGAGCAAATGACTTACCTAAGGACCCAGACAGATAACTTGATTTTCCATACATTCTCCTCATGGTAGCACACTACTTTTTTTGGTGTGTTTTGTAACTTGAAGTAGAGGGGGCTAGATGATTCTAAGGACCTTCTAATTCAATACACATTTGTTGAACACCTAGTATGAGCAAGATACTGTGCTAGATGCTGGGAATGAATGGGAAGTTGGGGGAAGGTTACAATGAGGAATAAAACACGGTACCCTCTCTCAAAGAAACTAGTAATATTATGTTCTAAACCCTTAGAGATTTTGTAACTATTACTACTTGTATCACGAATTCACCTTTTTTTGGTGTTTCTTCCATTTCTTCCACAGGTAATGCACAGACAAAACAAATAAGACGAAGAAGACAGCTTGTAATAAATTATAAATGAGATATAAACAACCCTGAAATATATCCATGTTAGCAAAGTCGCAGCATAGTTTATCCAGAAGATAAGGCAGGCAGTGAGATGGAGAACCCTTAACTTTCCAATAATGTACTTCTTCTGGAAGAATCTCCCATCCAACCTTTGTCCAGACAGTTCCATCACAAATGCAGAAACTCTCCCCGAAGAAGCAGATAAACAACAGAGAAAAAATCAGCGGTAGTCTTTGATTAGACATCCTTCTTTGTCAATTGAAAAAAAAGTAGCTAAAATTTAGCTATTTTAAAATAGCTAAATTAGCTAAATAATAAAATAAAATAACTAAATTCCCTACGAAGGGAAGCAGAAAATACCAGGAGCTATTAGTTAAAATGGTGCTTCAATAAAAGCACTTCATATAACCTTGCCAGTCAGCAAAATATGCCCAGCAAAGGATACAGTGATGATCATTGTAACATCATCAGTCATAGTGACTCAGGGATAAGTTCAGTGACATCATAAATAACCACATTGGAACTAAAAGGTGTCACCTGACCAATCACATTGAGTTTCTTAAAGATACTTTTTTGTTGTTGTTGTGTTGTTGTTTTGCCAGAATGGTTTGAGCTTCTTCAATTTTCTTAAAAGTGAACACTTTACTAATATTTTGCTAGCTAATAAATTCAACTATAGTCATATTAATAGAATCTTATGGAAACAATTTACTCATGTCACCTCTAACATTTCTTCTGAAGCACTGCAGTTTTACATTTACTTAAAAAATAGTATACCACTTCACATAACCCAGCATCTGCTTTTATTTTTTTGTTTGGGAATGTCCTTCCCTTCAAATAGTTCAACAAATATTGAGTGCCTGTCCCTTATAATATATTCCTGTGGTGGTGATGTGGTACTATCAGGTAGTGGGTGAGGGGTGAGGAAGGTGGCATGGTATATGATAAAAAGATGGGACATAGACCTTGCCTTTAAGGAGTGTACAATCTAGAGGTAAAAGCAAAAAGTAATATAATAATTAAAATGATTCTGATTTTATTATAAAAAATAAATAGTTCTCATTTTACTAAATCTAAAAAATTTTAGATTTTACTAAATGAGAACTAAATAAAATTATAATCACATAACTGTTGAGAGGGCAATGAGTCCCACTTGGGGGAATTAGGAAATTTTGCAGAAAAAGATATGTGAGTAGGCTTTGAAGAATGAGTAGAATTTTTATAGGTGGCAGTGTAGAGAGGGTATCTAAGATTGGGGAAGCATAATAAGCAAAGACATTTTGTGTAAGCATTCATATAACAAATATTTGCTGAGTGCTGACTGTGTGCTAAACATTGTTCTAGGAGCTGAGAATATATACACAACGTAGCCCAAAACAGAATCATTACCTTCATGGAGTTTACTTTCTAGTAGGGAGATACAGAAAATAATTGTATCTATCTAAATCTATATGTCTGTATCTGTGGAGTGCTATGGTGATATGATATGTCATTGTAGTTTTGATTTGCATTTCTCTGGATGATCAGTGATGTTGATCACCTTTTCATATACTGGTTTGCCATTTTGTATGTCTTTTGAGAAATGTCCATTCACATCTTTTGCCCATTTAAAAAAATAGGATTATTAGATTTTTTTCCTATTGAGTTGTTAGAGCTGCTTATATATTCTGGTTATTAATCCCTTGTCATATGAGTAGTTTTATTCCATTCTGTGGGTTGCCTCTTCACTTCGTTGATTGTTTCCTTTGCTGTGCAGAAGCTTTTTAACGTAATAATCCCATTTGTCGATTTTTTCTTTGGTTGCCTCTGCTCGTAGGGTATTACTGAAAAAATCTTTGCCCAGACCAATATCCTGGAGACTTTCCCAAATGTTTTCTTACAGTAGTTTCATAGTTTGAGGTCTTATATTTAAGTCTTTAATTCAGTTTGATTTAATTTTTGTATATGGTGAGAGATGGGGTCGAGTTTCATTCTTCTGCTTATGGATATCCAGTTTTCCCAGCACCATTTATTGAAGAGACTGTCCTTTCCCCAATGTATGTTCTTGGCACCTTCGTCAAAAGTGAGATTTATAGATTTATTTCTGGGTTCTCCATTCTGTTCCATTGGTCTATGTGTCTATTTTTAGGCCAGTCCCATGCTGTTTTGGTTACTATAGCTCTGTAGTATAATTTGAAGTCAAGTAATGTGATTCCTTCAGTTTTTATGTTTTTGTTTTGCTCAGGATGTCTTTGGCTATTCTGGGGCTTTTGTGGTTCCATAAAAATTTTAGTATTGTTTTTTCTATTTCTGTGAAGCATGTCGTTGGTATTTTGATACCAATGCATTGAATCTGTACATTGCTTTGGGTAGTATGAGCATTTTAACAATATTGATTCTTCCAATCTATGAACATGGAATGTCTTTCCATTTTTTATGTCCTCTTCAGTTTCTTGCATCAGTCTTTTATAGTTTTCATTATAGAGATTTTTCACTTTTTGGGTTAAGTTTATCCCAAAGTATTTTATTTTCTTTGTATGTATTGTAAATGGAGTTACTTTCTTGATTTTTTTTTCAGATTGTTCACTGTTGGCCTGTAGAAATACTACTGATTTTTGCATGTTGATTTTGTATCCTGTAATTTTACTGAATTTGTTTATCAGTTCTAATAATTGTTTGGTGGAGTCTTTACACTTTTCCAAATATAAAATTATATCAGCCGGAATCAAGGATAATTTTACTTCCTCCTTTCCAATTTGGATGCCCTTTATTTTCTTCTCTGATTGCTCTAGGTAAGACTTCCAACACTATATTGAATAACAGTGGTGAAAGTGGGCATTCTTGTCTTATTCCAGATCTTAAAGGAAAGGCTTTTAGTTTTTCCTGTTCTATATGACACCAGCTGTGGGTCTGTCATATGTGGCTTTGATTGTGTTGATGTATGTTCCTACTATACCCAGTTTTTTGAGGATTTTTACATGAAGGAATATTAAATTTTAGCCTCAATTAAAATGATCATATGGTTTGTGTCCTTCATTCTGTTGATATGATGTATCACATTAATTGATTTGCATTTGTTGAAACATCCTTGCATCCTTGGGATAAATGTCACTTGGTCATGATGATAGTCATGATGAATGGTCTTTTAAATGTGTGGTTGAATTCAGTTTGATAGCATTTTGTTGAGGATTTTTGCATCAGTGTTCATCAGGGAGATTGGCTTGTAGTTTTGGGGTTTTGTTTTGTTTTTTTTTTTTTTGATGTGTCTTTGTCCGGTTTTCATATCAGGGTAATAATGGCTCTGTAAAATGTATTTGGAAGTATTTCCTCCTTCTCTATTTTTCAGAATAGTTTGAGTAGGAATGGTACTAGTTCTTTAAGTGTTTGGTAAAACTTGGCATGAAGCTATTGGGTCCTGGGCTTTTCTTTGCTTGGAGACTTTTTATTACAGCTTTGATCTCATTACTTGTTATTGGTTTATTCAGGTTTTGGATTTCTTCATGGTTTAAACTTGCAGGTTGTATGTGTCTAGAACTTTATCCATTTATCTTAAGTTTTCCAATTTATTGACATATATTTGCTCATAGTAGCCTCTAATGATCTTTTGAATTTCTGTGGAATTGGTTGTAATGTCTTCTTTTTCATTTTTTTCTGATTTTTAAAATTTGGGCCTTTCTTTTTTTCTTAGTCTGGCTAATGGTTTGCCAATTTTGTTTATCTTTTCAAAAAACCAACTTTTCATTTCATTGATCTTTTGAATTTTTTTAAAATTTCAATTTCATTAATTTTTGTTCTGATCTTTTTTATTTATTTTCTTCTACTAATTTTGGGTTTGGTTTGCTCTTGCTTTTCTAGTTCTTTAAGATGTATTGTTAAGGTGTTTATTTGAAGTTTTTGTATTTTTTTAATGTAGGTGTTTATTACTATAAAGTTTCCTCTTAGTACTGCTTTCACTGCATTCCATACTTTTGGTATATTGTGTTTCTATTTTCATTTGTTGCAAGAATTTAAAAAATTTCCTTCTTATTAGTAATTTCTTCATTGACACACTGTTCATTCAGAAGCATACTGTTTAATTTCTATGTGCTGTATAGTTTCCAAAATTCCTCTTGTTATTGATTTCTAGCTTTATTCCATTGTGGTCAGAGAAAATACTTGATATAATTTTAATTTTTTTGAAACTTTTAAGACTTGTTTTGTGGCCTAACGTAAGGTCTGTCCTTGAGAATGATCCATGTGCTGAGTAGAAAAATGTGCATTGTGCAGTCACTGAATGAAATGTTCTGTAAATATCTAGTAGGTCCATTTGGTCTGTAGTGTAGATTAAGTCCGATGTTTCTTTTTTGATGTTCTGTCTGGATGATCTGTCCGGATGATCTGTCCAATGCTGAAAGTGGGGTGTTGAAGTCTCCACCTATTATTGTATTGGGGTCTAGCTCCCTCTTAAGCTCTAGTAATATTTGCTTTAAATATCTGGGTGCTCCAGCGTTGGGTGCATGTATATTCCCAGCTGTTATATCCTCTTGCTGAAGTGACCCCTCTATTATTATATATGACCTTCTTTGTCTCTTTCATAGTTTTTTTCTTGAAATCTATTTTGCCTGATGTAAGTGTACTACTCCTGCTCTTTATTGGTTTCCATTGGCATGGAATATCTTTTTTTATTCTTTTATTTTCCATTTATGTGTGTCTTTACAGGTGAAGTGTGTTTCTTATATGTAACAGATAATTGGATCTTTGATTTTTATCTCTTCAACCACTCTATGTCTTTTGATTGGAGAGTTTAGTCCATTTACATTCAGTGTTATTATTGATAAGTAAGGACTTATTCCTGCCATTTTGCTATTGGTTTTCTGGTTGTTTTGTGGTCTTATCTTCCTTCTTTCCTTCCTTCCTGTCTTCCTTTTAGTTTCTTGCTTTTTATTTTTTGTGTCTCTCTCTCTTTTTTTTTTTTTTTTTTTTTTTTTTTAGACAGAGTCTTACTCTGTCACCCAGGTTAGAGTGCAGTGGCACAATCTTGGCTCACTGCAACCTCTGCCTCCTGGCTTCAAGCGATTCTCCTGCCTCAGCCTCCCTAGTAGTTGGGATTATAGGCATGCACCACGACGCCAGCTAATTTTTGTATTTTTAGTAGCTGGTCTCAAACTCCTGACCTCAAGTGATCGCCCGCTTTGGCCTCCCAAAGTGCTGGGATTATAGATGTGAGCCACCAAGCCCAGCTTTGTTGTATGTTTTTTGATTTGAGATTACCATGAGACTTTCAAATAGTATCTTATAGTTCATTATTTTAGACTGATGACAACTTAACATAGATTGTATAAACAAACAAGCAAAGAGAAAAACAAATAAAAGCTACACTTTAACTTCATTCCCCTCCAACTTTTTACCTTTTTGTTGTTTTTATTTATATCCTATTGTACCGCCTATGTCTTGAAAATTATTATGTTTGATAGATTAATCTTTTAGTCTTTCTATTCAAAATACGAGTAGTTTACCCACCATAATTACAGTGTCATACATAGTATTTTGTGGTTTTCTGTGTACTTACTATTACCAGTGAGTTTTATATCTTCTGATGATTTCTTATGGCTCATTAACATCCTTTTCTTTCAGATTAAAAAACTCCCTTTAGCATTTCTTCTAGGACAAGTCTAGTGTTGATGAAATCCCTCAGCTTTTGTTTGCCTGCGAAAATATTTCTCTGATGTGTTTGAAGGATATTTTCATGGATACACTGTTCTAGGGTAAAAGTTATTTTCCTTTAGCACTTTAAATATGTCATGCCACTCTCTCCTGGCCTATATGGTTTCTACTGAAAAGTCTGTTGCTAGATGTATTGGAGTTCCGTTATATGTTATTGGTTTCTTTTCTCTTGCTGCTTTTAGGATCTTTATCCCTGATTTTTGGGAGTTTGATTACTAAATACCTTGAGGTAGTCTTCTTTGGGCTAAAACTGCTTGGTGTTCTATAATCTTCTAGTACTTGAATATTGATATATTTCTCTAGGTTTGGGAAGTTCTTTTTTTAATTAATATTATTCCTTTGAATAAATTTTTTACCCTGCTCTCTCTCTACCTCCTCTTTAAGGCCAGAAACTTTTAGATTTGCCCTTTTGAGGCTATTTTCTAGATCTTATAGGAGTGCTTCATTGTTTTTTATTCTTTTTTCTTTTGTCTCCTCTGACTGTATTTTCAAATAACCTGTCTTTAGGCTTACTAGTTCTTTCTTCTGCTTGATCAATTCTACTGTTAAGAGACTCTCATGCATTGTTTGGTATGTCAATTGCATTTTTCAGCTCCATAATTACTGCTTGATTCTTTTAAGTTGTTCCAAACTCTTTGTTAATTTTATCTGATAGGATTCTGAATTCTTTCTCTGTGTTATCTTGAATTTCTTTGAGTTTCCTCAAAATACCTATTTTGAATTCTCTCTCTGAAAGGTCACATATCTCTTTCACTCTGGGATTGATCACTGGGGCCTTACTTAGTTTGTTTGATGAGGTCCTATTTTTCTGACTGACCTTCTTGCTTGTGGATGTCCACTGGCATCTGGGCATTGAAGAGTTAGGTATTTATTGTAGGTATTGCAGTCTGGGCTTGTTTGTACCTGTCCTTCTTGGGAAGGCTTTCTACGTATTTGAAGGGACTTGGATGTTGTGATCTAAGTTTTTGGTTACTCTAGCCGTATCTGCATTAGGGGGCACCCCAAGCTCAGTAACGCTGTGGCTCTTGCAGACTTGTAGAGATGCTGTCTTAATGGTCTTGGGTAAGATGTGGGAAAATGCCCTGGATTATCAGGCAGAAACTCTTTTTTTCTTTTCTTACTTTCCCCTCAATAAACAGAGTCTCTCTCTCTGTGCTGAGCTGCCTAGAACTGGGGGAGGGGTAAGACAAGCACCCCTGTGGCCACCACCACTAGGACTGCCCTGGGTCAGACCTGAAGCCAGCATGGCACTGGGTCTTGCCCAAGGCCTGTGGTGGCCACTGCCTAGTTATTGCTTATATTCACTCAAGGCCCAATGGTCTACAATCAGCAGTTGGCAAATACAGCCAGGCATGCGTCCTTCCGTAAAGGCAACAAGTTCCCCCAGGCTCTGGGTGGGTCTGGAGATGCCATCTGGGAGTCAAGTCCTGGAGTCAAGAACCTTAGGAATCTAGCTGGTGCTCTATTCTACTGCAGCTGAGCTGGCACCCGAGCCATAAGACAAAGTCCTTCCCACTTTTCCTCTCCCCTTTCTTCTAACAGAGTAGTCTCTCCCTGTGGCCACCACTGCCCAGGCCCACAGCAAGTCCACCTGGCTACTGCTGGTATTCACTTGAGGCCCAAGGGCTCTACAATCAGCCTGTGGTGAATACTGCCCAGCATGGGTTTCTCCCTTCAGGGCAGTGGGCTCTCCTCTGGTCCAGGCCAGGCCCAGAAATGCTCTCCAGGAGCCAAGGCTTGGAATCAGGGACCTTAGGATCCTGCTTGGTGTGCTACACCACTGTGGCTGAGCTGGTACCCAAGTTGCAAGACAAAGTCCCATTTACTCTTCCCTCTCCTTTCGTCAAGCAGAAGGTGTCTCTCCCCTTAGTCCCTACAGCTGGGGAATGTTCTGGGTCACCCCTGAAGCCAGCATGGCTCTGAGTCTCACCCAAGGTCCGTGGTGAGTACTGCCTAGGTATCATTGCTGCTTATTCAGGACCCAAGGGCTCTTTAGTCAGCAGGTGATGAATCCTGCCAGGCCTGGGTCCTTCCCTTCAAGGCAGCTGGTTCCCTTCTGGCCCAGGATGTGTCTAGAAATACCACTTTGGAGTTAGGGCCTGGAATGGGGGCCTCAGGACTCTGCTTGGTGCCGTGTTCTACTGTGGCTGAGCTGGTATCCAAGTTGCAAGACAAAGTCTTATTCACTTTTGCCTCTCTTCTCCTCAAGCAGAAGAAAGGAGTCTCTCCCAGAGCTGTAAGCTGTGTTGCCTGGGATTGGCAGAGCGGTGGCAAGCACTCTCATGGTCATTCAGGCTGGTGTCTCACTAGGTGATGTGCACCCCAAGTCCACTGGCTCTGATCCCTGCACAGCACTAGGACTTGCCCAGGAATTGCAGCCCTCGTGGCCTAGATGGCCTTTCAAATTTATTTAGGACCCCATAGCACTTTAGCCTGTAGTGGTGGGGCCTGCTGGAACTCAGATTCCAACTGCTGGGCTGTGTGCTTCCCCTCTGGCTAGGGCTGGTCTAAATGCTGCATCCATGGTTGTCAGCTGAATTCTGCCCCATGTTGCTTTCTTCTATGATAGGGAAGCATTGAGCTGTAGTGCAAAGTCCCACAGTCACTGTGCTCTCCCTCAAGCATATAGATTCTCTGTCTGCACTGTGTGGCTATTACCAGGGGTATGGGGGAAGTGTGGTGTAGGCAGTTCAAAACTGTCTTTCCTACCCTCTTCAGTGCCTCTTTCCTTAATATGATGTTAAAAGGAGCTACTGTGATTGCTTACCTGATTTTTGGTTCTCATGTTGGTGCTTTTTTGTATGGATAGTTTTTCAATTTGGTGTTTCTGTGGGGTGGGGTGGACAGTGGAGGCTTCCATTTGACTATCTTGCTTTGCCTCTTGTGTTTGTCTTGTCATGTGTGTGTTTCTGTCCATTCTTTCAGATGCAAGGCTGACTCTGAAAAAATATATTGCAAAAGTCTCTTTAGCTGTTACTGACACAGAAAAGGGATCAGGGAAACTCCTTAAGGAAGACAAGGTACTGTATTGTGATTATTGCTTGTTCTGTAGTGTTTTGAGAATTTTGTCTTACATTTTAATTTTTGCACTGATGTTCTAAAGGCAGGTAGTGGTCCTTACTTCCTCCCTCCTCCCTCTTTCTTTCCTTCTTCCCTCCTACCTTCCCTTCCTTTCTTTATAAACTTCTAATAGAGGATAGTCTGATCAAAACTAAAATAAATAGTATTAAAGAGTGACATAGAGATGTACTAAGTATCAAACCCAGCAACATGGCTGAATCTTAGAAATGTAATATTGAGTAAAAAAAATTATCAAAGACTACATAGACTTTTATAAAGCTCAAAAACAAGCAATATCAAACTATATAATTTAGGGATGCCTACATATGGGAGTAAAACTATTTAAAAAGCCAAGCAAAGGGATAAGCACAGATCATAGTTATCTCTTGAAGGCAGTCGGGGGGTGGGATGGGGAGGGACAGAAGCTGTATTAATAGTACTGGTAGTGTTCTGGTTCTGGACTGGTAGGGTCCAAAATAATACAATGGAAATATTCATTTCATTATTTTGCTTCAAAACTGAGATATACATTGTATATTTTAGTATATATGTACATGTACAAATACATTGCATATTATTTAATGTGTCAAATTTTCCAGAATGGGAAAAGAGATACACAGCTGTAAACACAGTAATTTTAAAGCCCACTTGCCACATATCTAAGTACTAGATCTAAGCATTCCCTGTGGAATAGTTTAGTGCTCTGAATGTACATTTAAAAAATATACTGAAGGTATCAGAAATGTGTTTTGGTTTTAAATTATTTCATTTATTTTTGTGCAGGATGCTCTGTGAATTTCCTGTGACTTATTATTCAGATGAAAAAGAATTAGGTATTGCTAAAAGTATAAGATATCACCAAGTCTAGCACTTGATAAGTTATACATTGCACTTGTGTCTTGTAGAGTACTCTGCAAAATCTCTTGTGAAACAAACAAAATGTAGGCAAAATTTATTAGAATAGCATTTGGAGCTATCAGATCTGCAAAGCAAAATTTTCCTGACACAAAGAAATAGTGCTTTGTCAAACTAGTTACTAGAACATTCTTAATTTAATTTTTAAAAATTTGATTATTTGAACTAGAAATTATTATGTATACATAGTAATAATTAGAAAAAATCAGAATGTCTAAAGCAAACATAATAGTTTTCCCTTTTCTATTTCTATTCTTAATACCTACTATGTGGTTTCAAAAATAATTTTGTGTTATGTTTTCCCTTTCACTTATATAATCATATGTATCCATACACATAATAGGAATTTTATGAAAGATTTTGTTTTTATAAAAATGAGATCACACTTATATATATTATTCTTTAATTTTACTTTTTTTCCTTCTCAATAAGATATTATGGACACCTCTCTAAGTCTACCTGCTTCTACATACTTCTGCATATGCTACTGCTTATTATTTAACAGTATGGACAGGACATACCACAAATGTATTTATTTATCTTTATTTTTACAGACCATAGTATAATAAACATCTTAAATCAGACATCAGAAATTTGCTGCATATGTGCGATGAGATAATTTTACAGTGCAAATTGAGAGATTTTCAGTAAGATGGAGCTTTTCTTGTATTTCTTGAACTTCCTCCTTCTGTGAACCATTTGAGAGGGAATAAAATATCAGCATTGTCTTTTGAGTTGCATGCAACTCATACCATCCACCCATTCTTTTCTGGTCTTTGCAAGTACTTCTTTTAGTCACAGGGCTTAACAAAAATAAAGAATTAGGGAGAAAGTGTAGAATGGTACCAGGCTTCATGACTCTCGATGGTGAGTTTTATTGTGCTCATATTCCACTAATGTTAGAGCTGCACTGTCCAATATAATAGATACTAGCCACATGTGACTATTCAAATTTGAATTATTTAAAATTAAATAAAATTTAAAATGTAGTTCCTTAGTCACCCTAGCCACATTTCTAGTGCTCAATAGCTATTTATATCTAATGGCTACTGTATTGGACAATGCAGGTACAGAATATTTCTATCATCACAGAAAGTTCAGTTGGACGTGCTGGTTTAGAGATACTGTTGAGTTTTATTTTTCAATAAATAAGTGGAGAGCAAACTCTGTATTTCTGTCCCTAGAATACCATCCTCAGTGCATGCCGTGCAAAAAATGAGTGGTTGGAAACCCATACAGAAGCTTCCATTAATGAGCTTTTTGAGCAGAGACAACAACTGGAAGATATTGTGACTCCTATCTTCACAAAAATGACTACACCATGTAAGTTTTGGATAAAAGGTGGTTTGAATGTCAGAAGGGATGAAAATTAAGTTCAATGTTGTTATTTTTGAGATATTCTGATTTTAACAATCTTCATTAAGTAGTTATTAACATTGTTACAAGCACTAATCTATGATATAGTTCCCTAGTTTCATTATTTGCAATATTAGTAATAACTAATAATAACTGAATTCTTCCTATAGGAAATGTCTAATACTAATCTTAATATTACCATCATCAGTCATTAAATTTTATGGGATTACTGTAGCTTTGTTTTGATTTTTTTTTTTTTTTCCCCCGGAGGCAGAGTCTTCCTCTGTTACCCAGGCTGGGGTGCAGTGGTGTGATTGTAGCTTACCACAGCCTCCACCTCCTGAGCTCAAGTGATACTCCTGCTTCCTGAGTAGCTGGGACCACAGGCAGGCATTACCATGCTTGGCCAATTTTTAAATTTTTTATGGAGATAGGGTCTTGCTATGTTTCTCAGGCTGGTCTTGAACTCCTAGCTTCATGTAATCCTCCTGCCTCAGCCTCCTGAAGTGTTGGCTTTACAGGTGTGAGCCACCACACTGGGCCTGTCGGTGATTTTGATTCTCATCTAGGAGGCATCTCCTCCTGGGAGATAGGGTGGCAACATTTTATTTTATTTATATTTATATTTATTTTTTTCCTTCAACATTTATTTTAAGTTGCAGGGTACATGTGCAGGATGTGCTGGTTTGTTACATAGGTAAACGTGTGCCATGGTGGTTTGCTGCTCAGATCAACCTATCACCTTGGTATTAAGCCCAGCATCCATTAGCTATTCTTCCTGATGCTGTCCCTCCCCCCACCCCCACAGTGTATGTTGTTCCCCTCCATGTGTCCATGTGTTCTCATCATTCAGCTCCCACTTACAAGTGAGAACATACAGTGTTTGGTTTTCTGTTCCTGCATTAGTTTGCTGAGGATAATGGCTTCCAGCTCCATCCATGTCTTTTAAATGGACATGGTCTCGTTCCTTTTTATGGCTGTATAGTATTCCATGGTATATATGTTCCACATTTTCTTTACCCAGTCTATCATTGATAGGCATTTGGGTTGATTCCATGTTTTTGCTATTGTGGATAGTGCTGCAATGAACATACACATGCATATATCTTTATAATAGAATGATTTATATTCCCTTGGGTATATACCCAGTAACGGGATTGCTGGGTCAAATGGTATTTCTGTCTCTAGATCTTTGAGGAATTGCCATACTGTCTTCCACAATGGTTAAATTAATTTACATTCCTACCAACAGTGTATAAGAATTCCTTTTTATCCACAACCTTGCCAGCATCTGTTGTTTCTGGGCTTTTTAATAATTGCCATTCTGACTGGCATGAGATGGTGTGTCATTGTATTTTTGATTCGCATTTCTCTAATGATCAGTGATGTTGAGCTTTTTTTCATGTTTGTTTACTGACTACATGAATGTGTTTTTTTTTTTTTCGAGGCGGAGTCTCACTCTTGTCACTCAGACTGGGTTCTGCAACCCCCGCCTCCACTGTAACCCCCACCTCCTGGGTTCAAGCGATTCTCTTGCCTCAGCCTCCTGAGTAGCTGGGATTACATGTGTGCCACCATGCCCAGCTAATTTTTATATTTTTTTGTAGAGACGGTTTCACCATGTTGGCCAGGCTGGTCTTGAACTCCTGACCTCAGGTGGTCCGCCCACCTCAGTCTCCCAAATTGCTGAGATTACAGGCATGAGCCACCATGCCCAGCCTTTTTTTTTTGAATGTCTTCTTTTGAGAAGTGTCTGTTCGTGTCTTTTGCCAACTTTTTAATGGGGTTGTTTGTTTTTTGCTTGTATGTTTGTATAAGTTCCTTGTAGACTCTGGATATTAGACCTTTGTCAGATGAATAGATTGCAAAAATTTTCTGTAGGTTGTCTGTTCACTCTGATGATAGTCTCTTTTGCTGTGCAGAAGCTCTTTAGTTTAATTAGATCCTATTTGTCAATTTTTCCTTTTGTTGCAATTGCTTTTGGTGTTTTACTCATGAAATCGTTGCCTGCACCTATGTCCTGAATGGTATTGCCTTGATTTTCTTCTAGGGTTTTTATAGTTTTGGGTTTTACATTTAAGTCTTTAATCTATCTTGAGTTAATTTTTGTATAAGGTGTAAGGAAGGGGTCCAGTTTCAATTTTCTGCATATGGCTAACCAGTTTTCCCAACACCATTTATTAAATAGGGAATCCTTTCTCCATTACTTGTTTTTGTGAGGTTTGTTGAAGATCAGATGGTTGTAGGTGTGTGGTCTGATTTCTGAGTTCTCTATTCTTTTCCATTGGTCTATGTGTCTGTTTTTGTACCAATACCATGCTGTTTTTGTTACTGTAGCCTTGTGGTATAGTTCAAAGTTGGGTAGCATGATGCCTCCAGCTTTGTTCTTTTTGCTTAGGATTGTCTTGGCTATTCAGGCTCTTTTTTTATTCCATATGAATTTTAAAATAGTTTATTCTAATTCTGTGAAGAATGTCAATGACAGTTTAATGGGAATAGCATTGAATTTTTAAATTACTTTGGGCAGTATGGTCATTTCATAATATTAGTTCTTCCTGTCCATGAGCATGGAATGTTTTTCCATTTGTTTGTGTCCTTTCTGATTTCCTTGAGCAGTGGTTTGTAGTTCTCCTTCAAGAGGTTGTTCACTTCCCTTGACTGCTGTATTTTTATGTATTTTATTCTTTTTGTAGCAATTGTGAAGTGGATTTCATTCATGATTTGGCTCTCTGCTTGCCTGTTGTTGGTGTATAAAAATGCTAGCAATTTTTGCACATTGAGTTTGTATCCTGATAGTTTGCTGAAGTTGCTTATCAGTTTAAGAAGCTTTTGGGCTGAGATAATAGGATTTCCTAGATATAGGATCATGTCATCTGCAAACAAAGATAATTTAACTTCCTCTGTCCCTATTTGAATACTGTTTATTTGTTTATCTTGCCTGATTTCCCTAGCCAGAATTTCCAATACTATGTCGAATAGGCATGGTGGGAGAGGGCATCCTTGTCTTGTGCTGGTTTTCAAGGGGAATGCTTCCACTTTTTGTCCTTTCATTATGATATTGGCTGTGGGTTTTTCATATAGGGCTCTGATTATTTTGAGGTATGTTCCTTCAATACTTAGTTTATTGAGAATTTTTAACATGAAGAGATATTGAATTTTATCAAAGGCCTTTTCTTTCTCTATCGAGATAATCATGTGGTTTTTGTCTTTAGTTCTGCTTATGTGATGAATTACATTTATTGATTTGTGTATGCTGAACCAACCTTGCATCCTGGAGATGAAGCCAACTTGATCATGATGAATAAACTTTTTGATGTGCTGCTGGATTTGATTTGCCAGTATTTTATTGAGGATTTTTGTATCAATGTTCATCAGGGATATTGGCCTAAAGTTTTCTTTTTCTGTTGTATCTCTGCCAGGTTTGGGTATCAGGATGATGCTGGCCTCATACAATGAGTTAGAAAGGAGTCCTTCCTTTTCAATTTTTTGGAATAGTTTCAGTAGAGATGGTACCAGCTCTTCTTTATACCTCTGGTGGAATTCAGCTGTAAATCCATCTGGTCCTGGGCTTCTTTTTGGTTGGTAGGCTATTTATTATTGCCTCAATTTCAGAACTCATTATTGGTCTATTCAGGGATTCAATTTCTTCCTGGTTCAGTCTTTGGAGGGTGTATGTGTCCAGGAATTTATTCATTTCTTCTAGCTTTTCTACTTTATGTTCATAGAATTGTTTATAGTTTGTCTGATGGTTGTTTTGATGTGGAATCAGTGGTGATATCAACTTTATCATTTCTGATTGTGTCTATTTGATTCTTCTGCTTTTCTTATTTATTAATTTGGCTAGTGGTCTATCTATTTTATTAATTTTTTTCCAAAAAACCAGCTCCTGGATTCATTGATTTTTTTGAAGGGTTTTTTTGTGTCTCTGTCTCCTTCAATTCTGCTCCGATTTTGATTATTTCTTGTCTTCTGCTAACTTTGGGGTTTGTTTGCTCTTGGTTCTTTTTTTTTTTATACTTTAAGTTTTAGGGTACATGTGCACAATGTGCAGGTTAGTTACATATGTATACATGTGCCATGCTGGTGCGCTGCACCCACTAACTCGTCATCTAGCATTAGGTATATCTCCCAATGCTATCCCTCCCCCCAACCCACAACAGTCCCCAGAGTGTGATGTTCCCCTTCCTGTGTCCATGCTCTTGGTTCTCTAGTTCTTTCAGTTGTGGTGTTAGGTTGTTAATTTGAGGTCTTTCCAGCTTTTTGATGTGGGCATTTAGTGCCGTGAATCTCCCTCTTAACTCTGCTTTAGCTGTATCCCAGAGATTCTGGTACATTGTCTCTTTGTTCTCATTAGTTTCAAAGAACTTCTTGATTTCTGCCTTAATTTCAGTATTTACCCAGGAGTCATTCAGGAGCAGGTTGTTCAATTTCCATGCAGTTGTGTGGTTTTGAGTGAATTTCTTAGCATCGAATTCTAATTTGATTGCACTGTGGTCTGAGAGACAGTTTGTTATGATTTCAGTTCTTTTGCATTTGCTGACTGTTTTACTTCTGCATATGTGATCAATTTTTGAGTAAGTGCCACGTGGTGATGAGAAGAACGTATATTCTGTTGTTTTTGGGTGAAGAGTTTTGTAGATATCTATCAAGTGTGCTTGATCCAAAGCTGAGTTCAGGTCCTGAATATCTTTGTTAATTTTCTGTCTGGATGGTCTTTTTAATATTGTCAGTGGGGTGTTAAAGTCTCCCATTATTATTGTGTATGAGTCTAAGTCTCTTTGTAGGTTTCTAAGAACTTGTTTTATGAATCTGGGTGCTCCTGTATTGTGTGCATATATATTTAGGATAGTTAGCTCTTCTTGTTGAATTGAACCCTTTATTGTTATGTAATGCCCTTCTTTGCTTCTTTGTCTTTTTTTTTTTTTTGAGATGGAGTCTTGCTTTGTCACCCAGGCTGGAGTACAATTGTGCAATCTCGGCTTACTGCAAACTTCGTCTCCTGGGTTCAAGCGATTCTTCTGCCTCCCCCTCCCGAGTGGCTGGGATTACAGGTGCCCACTTCCACACCTGGCTAATTTTTGTATTTTTAGTAGAGACTGGGTTTCACTATGTTGGCTAGGCTGGTCTCGAACTCCTGACCTCAGGTGATCCACCCATGTTGGCCTCTCAAAGTACTGGGATTACAGGCATGAGCCACCATGCCCAGCCCCTTCTTTGTCCTTTTTGACCTTTGTTGGTTTAAAGTCTGTTTTGTCAGAAACTAGGACTGTGATCCCTGCTTTTTTCCTGTTTTCCATTTGCTTGGTAAGTTTTCCTTCATCTCTTTTTTTTGAGCCTATGTGTGTCTTTGCACATGAGATGGGTCTCTTGAAGACAGCATACTGATGGGTCTTGGATCTTTATCCAGCTTGCCATTCTGTGTCTCTTAATTGGGGCATTTAGCCCATTTACATTTAAGCTTAATATTGTTATGTGTGAATTTGATCCTGTCATCATGATGCTAGCTGGTTATTTTTGCAGACTTGTTTATGTGGTTGCTTCAAAGTGTCACTGGTCTGTGTACTTCAGTTTATTTTTGTAGTGGCTGGTAATGGGTTTTCCTTCCCATATTTAGTGCTCCCTTCAGGAGCTCCTGCAAGGCAGGGCTGGTGGTGACAAATTCCCTCAGTGTTTGCTTGTCTGAAAAGGATCTTATTTCTCCTTTGCTTATGAAGCTTAGTTTGGCTGGATATGAAATTCTGGGTTGGAAATTCTTTTCTTTAAGAATGTGGAATATTGGCCCCCAATCTCTTCTGGTTTTAGGGTTTCCACGCAGAGGTCCACTGTTAGTCTGATGGGTTACCCGTTGTAGGTGATGTGGCCTCTCAGTCTGGCCACTTTTAACATTTTTTCTTTCATTTTGACCTTGGAGAATCTGATGATTATGTGTCTTGGGGTTGATCTTCTCATGGAATATCTTACTGAGGTTCTCTGGATTTCCTGAATTTGAATGTTGGCCTGTCTTGCTAGGTTGGGGAAATTCTCCTGGATAATATCCTGAAGTATGTTTTCCAACTTGGTTTTATTCTCCCCGTCTTTTTCAGGTACCCCAATCAGTCATAGGTTTGGTCTTTTTACGTAGTCCCATATTTCTCAGAGGTTTTGTTCATTCCTTTTCATTCTTTTTTTCTGTATTCTTGTCTTCCTATTTCAAAAGATAGTCTTCAAGCTCTGACATTTTTTCCTCCTCTTCGTCTGTTCTTCTATTGATACTTGTGTTTGCATTGTGAACTTCTTGCATCATGGTTTTCAGCTCCATCAGGTCAGTTATGCTCCCCTCTAAACTGGCTATTCTGGTTTTCAGCTCCTGTATTGTTTTATCATGATTCTTAGCTTCTTTGCATTGGGTTACAATGTGTTCCTTTAGCTCAGTGAAGTTCATTATTACCCACCTTCTAAAGCCTACTGTCATTTCAGCCATCTTGGCCTCAGTTCTGTGCCCTTGCTGGAGAGGTGTTGCAGTCACTTGTAGAAGAAGAGGCACTTGGGCTTTTTGAGTTTTCAGCATTTTTGCATTGATTCTTTCTCATCTTTGTGGGCTTATCTACCTTTGAGTTTTGAGGTTGCTGACCTTTGAATGGAGTTTTTTTGAGGCCTTTTTTGTTGATGCTGCTGCTGCTGTTGCTTTCTGTTTGTGTGTTTTTCTTTTAAAAGTCAGGCCACTTTTCTGTAGGGCTGCTGCAGTTTGCTGGGGGATGGCTCCAGAAAGCTGGAAGTTGCCTTGGCTTTTCCTCTACCTGGAGGTTTCAGCAAGTAAAGCCTGTGAAACAGCAAGGACAACAACCTGCTCTTTTCTTTGGGAGCTTTGTCCCAGTGGGGTATTGACCTGTTGCCAGCCTGGACACTCCTGTAGGAGGTATCTGAAGACCCGTGTTGGGAGGTCTCACTCAGTCAGGAGGGATGGGATAAGGGACCTGCTTAAAGAAGCAGTCTGGCTGCTTTTTGGTAGAGCAGGTGTGCTGTGTTGGGGATAGCCCTTGCTCATCCAGACTGCCTGGACTCTCCGGAGCCAGCAGGCCGAAAGGCTGTTGACTGAACCGCAGAGACATCGGTCATCCCTCCCCACAGTGGCTCCATCTTAAAAGAGATCAGAGTTATGTCTGTATAACCCTGGCTGGAGTTGCTGTAATTCCTGCAGGGAGGCCCCACCCAGTGAAGGGGGATGCATTGGGGTCCCATTTAAAGAAGCAATCTGGCCACAATCTGGCACAGCAGCTGTGCTGCATTGTGCAGGACTCCTCCTCATCAGGACTTCTTGAACTCCCCAGAGCTGGAAGGCTAGAAGGGCTGAGTTGAACAAACTGCAGAAATGGATGGCACCTGCCTCTACCCTCTGGGAACTCATCCATCTCAGGCAGTCTCCAGCCTGTTGCGCTGTCTGGCAGGAATTCCAAGGTGGTGGGTCTTAACTTGTGAAGTGCCGTGGAAGTGGGGCCCACAAAATGACACTGCTTGGCTCTCTGGATTCAGCCCTATTCCTAGGGGAGCATATAAATGGATCTCCTGCCTTGCTGGGATTCCTGGGGCCAGAGTATGTAAAACTCCTGGGTCTCTGTGTGAGCCTGAGCATCTGCTTTGCCAAGACTCCACATAGGTCTGTGTATCAGACCCAAGGCTCTGGTGGCATGGGCTCATGAGGGGATCTCGTGATCGGTGGGTTGCAAAGATCTGTGTGAGAAGTGTGGTTTCTCACTTTACTTACTCCTCAAGCAGATAAGCCACACGTACATTGTGAGTGGTCGCACAATCACTCACTGCTTCCCTTGGCTGGGGGTGGGGGTTCCTTTGGCTCTGTGCTGCTCTTGGGTGGGCCATTGCCCCACTCTACTTTTCTTCATTCTTTCTGGGTCAAGCCATTTGCCTAGTCAGTCCCAATGGAAGAACCTGGATATTTCATTTGAAGGTGCTGAATTCACTCACTGTTTTTATTTTCCATGAGAGCTGTGGACTGCAGCTTTTTCTAATCGGCCATCTCAGTTCCTCTTGGCAGCATTTTAAAAAGCAGTTTCAGTATTATAATTCTATATTTCGGGAAAAACCTACTGTGGGAATACTATCCTAAGAATCAGAAAGGTGAACGTATCAGAATATTGGTGGCAGGCACACCCCTAACATTTTTTTAAAATAATAGCTTTATTGAGATATAATTCTCACACCTTAAAATTAATCATTTTAAAGAGTACAATTCAGTGGTTTTCAGTATATTCACAAAGTTGTGTAATTATCACCCTTATCTAACTTTCGAGTTTTACCTCTCTGAAAAGAAACCCTATAGCTATTAGCAGTCACTTCCTATTCTTCCCTCCCTCAAGCCCTGGCAACCACTAATCTACTTTCTGTCTCTGGATTTGCCTTCTCTGAACATTTTTTTTTTAACTTTTTTTTCTGGGGGCAGGGCAGGTTGGGTTAGGATGGCTGCCCTCTGGACCTGCCCCTGAACATTTATAAATGAAATAATATAGTATGTGTTGCCTTTCGTGGTGGCCTCTCTCACTTGGCATAATATTTTTAATGTCCATCCATGTGGTAACATGTATCAGTACTTCATTCTGCTTTATGGCTAAATAATATTCCATTTTGTGGGTACAAATTTAATCTATTTTTTTTTTTTTGAGATGGAGTCTCACTCTGTTGCCCAGGCTGGAGTGCGGTGGCATGATCTCGGCTTACTGCAAGCTCCGCCTCCTGGGTTCATGCCATTCTCCTGGCTCAGCCTCCTGAGTAGCTGGGACTACAGGCGCCCGCCACCATGCTTGGCTAATTTTTTGTATTTTTAGTAGAGACGGGGTTTCACCATGTTAGCCAGGATGGTCTTGATCTCTTGACCTTGTGATCCGCCTGCCTCTGCCTCCCAAAGTGCTGGGATTACAGGTGTGAGCCACCGTGCCCGGCCCAAATTTAATCTATTTATCAATTGATGGACATTTGGGTTTCCACTCTTTTGGCTATTATAGATAATGCTGCAATGAACTGTTGTATGAAAATTTTTGTGTGGTCACATGTTTTCCTTTTTCTTTGGTATATTGCTGAGTTATAAACTGATTTCCATTTTATATTCCAACCAGCAGTACATGAAGATTCAAATTTCTCCACATCTTTGTCAGTATTTGTCATTGTCTTTTTTTTCTATTTAAAGTCACCTTATTTAATTTTATTGTTAATTTTGTTAACATTGAACTCACAACCAACAGCATTATAATTCATGTCTGAATGAAACTTACCTAACACAGTATTTTCTCTGTAAGACACATTAAATCGTTCTTGCACTTAGGAGCACTAGACCGCACTTCAGCACTACACTTGGGGGGCATTTTTTTTTTTTTTTTTTTTTGAGACGGAGTCTTACTCTGTCGCCAGGCTGGAGTGCAGTGGCGCAATCTCAGCTCATTGCAACTTCTGACTCCCTGGTTCAAGCGATTCTCCTGCCTCAGCCTCCCGAGTAGCTGGGATTACAGGCACGTGCCACCGCGCCCAGCTAATTTTTGCATTTTTAGTAGAGATGGGGTTTCGCCATGTTGGCCAGAATGGTCTCAATCTCCTGACCTTGTGAGCCACCGCGCCCGGTCTGGGGGGGCATTTTTAAACAACAACATCTAGGCCGGGTGCGGTGGCTTACGCCTGTAATTCCAGCACTTTGGGAGGCTGAGGCGGGTGGATTACTGGAGGTTGGAAGTTCATGACCAGCCTGGCCAACCTGGTGAAACCTTGTCTCTACTAAAAATACAAAAAAATTAGCCAGATGCGGTGGCGTGCACCTGTCATTGCAGCTGCTCAGGAGGCTGAGACAGGATGATCACCCGAATCCGGGAGGTGGAGGATGCAGTGAGCTGATATCATGCCCCTGCAGTCCAGCCTGGGCAACAGCTACACTCTGTCTCAAAAATAAAATAAAATAAAATAAAACAACAAAATCCCAACAAAAAGAAAAAAAAGCCAAAAACAGGACACTACACCTCAAAAAGGACCCTTGTTTATGGTATAATAGCTGTCTTATTTAAGAAGATAGTGTCATCTTGTTCAGCCTTTGCTGGGAACATGTGTGTTGGGAACCTCAGATTTTTCTCTGCTTTGTGCATATCTGTAAATGACTGCAAAAGTACCAGGAGTATTGATTTTAGCAAGCAGGCAGATTTGCATACGAAATCTATGAAAGTGGCTGTCCAATATGTTAAATGGAAATGTTGGAATATATTGCATAATTCCATCATATTTATGATGGTAAGAATTCCACTTTACTGAAGCTATAACTATTTGGAAATTGAAATTTAAAACTGGTTTCAATTTGTAGTTTTTATCAAAGTTCTGCAGATAGATGTTTTCAGAGATAGTTATACAAAATTTAGGAAAATAGTGGCCGTAGAGCCCCTTTTCCACAGTTTCTGTTTCCCAGGGACAAACAGGTTCAGCTCTTTCTTTATTTTATTTTATTTTATTTATTTTTTTTTTTTTATTGATCATTCTTGGGTGTTTCTCACAGAGGGGGATTTGGCAGGGTCATAGGACAATAGTGCAGGGAAGGTCAGCAGATAAACAAGTGAACAAAGGTCTCTGGTTTTCCTAGGCAGAGGACCCTGCAGCCTTCCACAGTGTTTGTGTCCCTGGGTACTTGAGATTAGGGAGTGGTGATGACTCTTAGCGAGTCTGCTGCCTTCAAGCATCTGTTTAACAAAGCACATCTTGCACCGCCCTTAATCCATATAACCCTGAGTGGACACAGCACATGTTTCAGAGAGCACAGGGTTGGGGGTAAGGTCATAGGTCAAAGCATCCCAAGGCAGAAGAATTTTTCTTAGTACAGAACAAAATGAAAAGTCTCCCATGTCTACTTCTTTCTACACAGACACAGCAACAATCTGATTTCTCTATCTTTTCCCCACCTTTCCCCCTTTTCTATTCCACAAAACCGCCATCGTCATCATGGCCCATTCTCAATGAGCTGTTGGGTACACCTCCCAGACGGGGTGGTGGCCGGGTAGAGGGGATCCTCACTTCCCAGAAGGGGCGGCCGGGCAGAGGCGCCCCCCAACCTCCCGGACGGGGCGGCGGCCAGGCGGGGGCTGACCCCCCTCCTCCCTCCCGGACGGGGCAGCTGGCCGGGCGTGGGCTGACCCCCCACCTCCCTCCCGGACGGGGCGGCTGGCCGGGGGGGGGGCTGACCCCCCACCTCCCTCCCGGACGGGGCGGCTGGCCGGGCGGGGGCTGAGCCCCCACCTCCCTCCCGGACGGGGCGGCTGGCCGGGCGGGGGCTGCCCCCCACCTCCCTCCCAGAGGGGGCGGCTGCCGGGCGGAGATGCTCCTCACTTCCCAGACGGGGCAGCTGCCAGGCGGAGGGGCTCCTCACTTCTCAGACGGGGCGGCTGCTGGGCGGAGGGGCTCCTCGCTTCTCAGACGGGGCGGCTGCTGGTCGGAGGGGCTCCTCGCTTCTCAGACGGGGCGGCCGGGCAGAGACGCTCCTCACCTCCCAGACGGGGTCGCGGCCGGGCAGAGGTGCTCCTCACATCCCAGACGGGGTGGCGGGGAAGAGGTGCTCCCCGCATCTCAGACGATGGGCGGCTGGGCAGAGACGCTCCTCACTTCCTAGACAGGATGGCGGCCGGGAAGAGGCGCTCTTCACTTCCCAGACTGGGCAGCCGAGCAGAGGGGCTCCTCACATCCCAGATGATGGGCGGCCAGGCAGAGACGCTCCTCACTTCCCAGACGGGGTGGCGGCCGGGCAGAGGCTGCAATCTCGGCATTTTGGGAGGCCAAGGCAGGCGGCTGGGAGGTGGAGGTTGTAGCTAGCCGAGATCATGCCACTGCACTCCAGCCTGGGCAACATTGAGCACTGAGTGAAGGAGACTCCGTCTGCAATCCCGGCACCTCAGGAGGCCGAGGCTGGCGGATCACTCGCGGTTAGGAGCTGGAGACCAGCCCGGCCAACACAGCGAAACCCCGTCTCCACCAAAAAAATACGAAAACCAGTCAGGCGTGGCGGCGCGCGCCTGCAATTGCAGGCACTCGGCAGGCTGAGGCAGAAGAATCAGGCAGGGAGGCTGCAGTGAGCCGAGATGGCAGCAGTACAGTCCAGCTTCAGCTCAGCATCAGAGGGAGACTGTGGAAGGAGAGGGAGAGGGAGACCGTGGGGAGAGGGAGAGGGAGAGGGTCATTGTCTTTTTTAAAAAAATTAGCCATCCTAGTGGGTATGAAGTGGTATCTTAATGTATTCTGATTTGCATTTCCCAAATTACGAACAATTCTGAGCATCTTTTCATGCTTACTGGCCATTTCTGTATTTTCTCTGGAGAAATATCTATTTGAATTGCTTGCCCATTTTTATTTTTTTCTTTTCCTGGTCATTAAAGGGAAGAAACTTTTCCTTCCTTCCTTCCTTCCTTCCTTCCTTCCTTCCTTCCTTCTTTCCTTCCTTCCTTCTTTCCTTCTTTCCTTCTTTCCTTCCTCCCTCTCTCTCTTTCTTTTCTTTCTTTCATTTTAAGACAGGCTCTCACTCTGTTGCCCAGGCTGCAGTGCAGTGGCACAGTTACAGCTCACTGCAGCCTCAACCTCCCTGGGCCCAAGCAATCCTCCCACCTCAGCCTCTGAAGTAGCTGGGAGTACAGCGGTATGCCACCACACCTGGCTAATTTTTCTACATTTTGTAGAGACAGGGTTTTGCCATATTGCCCAGGCTGGTCTCAAACTCCTGGGCTCAAGTGATCTACTTGCCTCGGCCTCCCAAAGTGCTGGAATTACAGGTGTGAGCCACCACACCTGTCCTTGCCACCTGTAGATTGGATTGTCTTTTTATTTTTTAGTTATATGAGCTCTTTATGTATTCTTGATACAAGTCTCTCGTCAGAAATATGATTCTATTTCCTCCCATTCTCTGGATTGTCTTGTCATTTTCTTAATTATGTTTTGGAACACAAAAAACTTTATTTGGATTGAGTTCAATTTATCTGTTTTTCCTTTGTTGCTTCTGCTTTCTGTGTCATACCTAAGAAACCATTGCCAATCCAAGGTCACCAAGATTTAATTCTATGTTTTCTTCTGAGAGTTTTGTAGTTTTAGCACTAATGTTTAGTTCTGTGATGTATTTTGAGATATATATTTTTATTGTGTGTGTGTGTGTGTGTGTGTGTGTGTGTGTGTGTGTGTGTGTATGTATGTATTAGGCCATAGGGGTCCAATTTAATTCTTTTGCATGTGGATAATCAGTACCTAAGATTTTTATGTTTATCAAAAAGGAGTTGTGGATTTTTAAAGGTTAAGACACTTAACCTAGTCCAGATATTACAGTATGACATAATGTTTCTTGCCATCTAGAACTAACATGAATCATATGATCTGTTGAGCACACACATAGCACTCTCCTAGGAGCCTACCACTTAGTTTGTGAGTAGAACATACCTGAAAAGATAATCTAAGTGCTCTATATGATCAGAGAAGCCTAAGTATAAAGATAAAGCATCATGAAGAAAGAAGAGTTTCCTGAGAGGATGGATAGCCAGTGTGGAGTATGAAGGAGATTCCAGAATGAAAGCACAGTATTATGATCAAAAGTGGAAATGTGGGGAATAAGGAAGTGGCCAGTACCCATGTGGCTGATTGTAGCTGAGTCTGTGTCAAGGTACAGTAGAAATGTAGAAAATAGAGTTTTTGCAAAGTTAACATGTGATCATTTTATTAAAACTACTAAATTTTAAACTTAGAAGTTTCGGCTTTATTTTTTGGGCAGTGGGATGTCATTTAAAGGCTTTGGGGTGGGAGAGAAGAGAGATTAAGTACGGAGGATAATCTGGGCTTGTTTGCAAAATGGATTGGAGGGAGAGGAGACTAGAGAAAGTGAGTATAGTTTAAGAGTGAGATAATTAAGACCTGAATTATTTTTTATTTTTTAAGATTTTGTGATATCTTAATTTGTTTTTCAATTACAATTTTTTTTTTAGAGACAGGGTCTTGCTATGTTACCCAGGCTGAACTTGAATTCCTGGGTTCAAACAGTCCTCCTGCCTCAGCCTCCTAAGTAGCTGGGACTATTGGATATACGGTTATTCCCACCTCTCCACCAGTACCATTAACCTGGCCCAACAATCCCCCCTCCTTCCCTTCTCACCTGTGAAGATTTGCCTCTCTCCCCCGACCCCCTATATCACATGTTCTCTAAGCACCTTCATATCACAGAATGTTAGATCTTGATGGAACCTCTGAAATGAACCCTGACTTTGCAGTGAAGAAAGTGAAGACAACAGAGGTTTAGCGGTTTATTCAAAGTTACTCTCATCAATGGCAGAACTAGGGACAATAATACTGATTATATGGGAAATGTGACCTCACAGCTTTAAATATAGTGAACAGGAGAGACTATTTGAATGACATACCAACAACACTAGGGTTGAATTAGTAGCTGGTTCAGCCTGGGACAATCTAATTTATTCCATTCTTATTGTCTTAAAAACTGGCTTCATTTTGTTTCATATTGCAAACTAATTAAATGTAATTTTAAAATCTGTTTCCTTTCAGGTCAAGTGAAAAGTGCCAAATCTGTAACAAGCCATGACCAGAAGAGAAGTCAAGATGATACCTCCAACTGAACATACGTTCTGTAAAAGGCCACATTTTCTTTTAGTATCTGAAAGGCAAACCTATTCATGCCATTTGAAATCGAGAAAACAGATGTGGGTTTCTTTAAGTATTTAAGTACAACATTACATCGCCCTTGTTTTGTTTGACCTGTTCAGCATGCTTATGTCCGGACTCTGGCCTCGCCTCTGCTCCTCCAAGCACAGCCCCATGTGAGTTTCACGTGCTCCTTCAGGAAAGCACTTGGGTATAAATCATTCGTGAAGACCATGTGGAGGCTTTAAGAACTACTCAGAGAATCTAATAATTTTCTGTGTAATTGAGGCATTCCATATAAAAGGACATATTTGGCTATTTCCAGAGAAAAAATTTGTTCTCCCTGCCTAAAAAGGAAATCTTATGGAATGACACTTGGAGCAAGGAAATATTAAGACCAGCTTGGATTAGGAGCCTCTGGGTACAACTATCACTTTTTATGTCCAAAATTAAATTTCACCTGTGAGGTGGGGTATACCTCTGAGTAAAACCCCTCTTTATCTTTGACCTCCTTCTATCTGTAAATTAATAAACACAAATCTGTATAGTTTTATACTTAGAAGAGTTCTCCTATTCTGTAAGGCTGGCAATACAGATATTGTAACTGGACTGAAGACCATTTCCCCTCCCATTCTGTTTTATATTTCCTAGGTTTTAAGTACGATAGTTGGTTTCATATTGGTGGTTTGGAAAGCCTTTTTTCTAATTTATTTAATCAGGCGCCTCAACCTTCTCTTACGTTGTGACTTTATGGAAAAGTTTTATAGAAAAGAAGATGGTTTTTAAAAAGCACTTATTGTTCGTTCTTATGGCTTTCTCTTCTTTGTCCTGTTCTGAAAGCTAGTTTTCCCTTATGGGGAGAAGGAAAAGGAATGGGTAATTCAGTAATACTTTGTCAGTTGACATTTATTTAACCATGGTTTTGAGATAACCCTGTTTTAAATGTCTCCCAAAGTTTTTAGTTTTTTATCCTTTTAATGTATGAGCAATTCAGTTTCAATTTTTTAAAGCAAAAGAACACTGCAATAACTTTCAGCCACCTTTTTGGCCGACCCAGTGGGTGTTTATGGAGCAGTACAAAGAAGACCTGTGTTTGCTCCTTTTTTTTTTTTACCCTCCTTCTCCCTTCTCCCTTTTCCCTTCCCTTCCCCTTCTCCTTCCTCTCCCTTCCTCTCCCTTCCCCTCCCTTCCCCTCCCTTCCCCTCCCTTCCTCTCCCTTCCTCTCCCCTCCCCTCCCTTCCTCTCCCCTCCCCTCCCTTCCTCTCCCCTCCCCTCCCCCTCCTCTTCTCTCTCCTCCTCCTCTTCCCTCTCCAACTCCTTCTTCTTCCTCTCTTATCTCTCTCTCTCTCTCCACCCCCGCAACCTTCTTGACAGGGTCTGCCTCTCCTGCCCAGGCTGGAATGCAGTGGAGTTATCATGATCATAGCTCACTGTAACCTGTAACTCCTGCACTCAAGTGATCCTCCCACCATGCTTGGGTAATTGAAAAAATAAACATTTGCAGGCTGGGTGCTGGCTCACACCTGTAATCCAAGAACTTTGGGAGGCCAAGGCAGGCGGATCACCTGAGGTCAGCGGTTTGAGACAAGCCTGGCCAACATGGTGAAACCCTGTCTCTACTAAAAATACAAAAATTTAGCTGTATGTGGTGGCACGTGCCTGTAATCCCAGTGACTTGGGAGGCTGAGGCAGGAGAATCACCTGAGCCCGGGAGGTGGAGGTTGCAGTGAGCCGAGATCGCACCACTGCATTCCAGCCTGGGTGACAGAGTGAGACTCCATCTCAAAAAATAATAATAAAAACAAATAAAAATTTGCAGAGATAGAGTCTTGCTACGTTTCCCAGGCTGGTCTTTGAGTTCCTGGCCTCTAGCATTCCTCCTGACTTGGCCTCCCAAAGTCCTGGGATTACAGCTGTGAACCACTATGCCTAGCCCATTTTCTTAATACAGTATATTGTGCGAAGACCGGTGTCCTTAAGGACTGCAATAATTTAGGAAAAGTCCAGGTGCCATTTTTGTCCTTTCTACTCTAACGCTACATTTTCTGAGCTTGGATTTTGAATACAACATTATTTTCCAGGAGTGTGTTCCAGATTAGGGAGGGATTCCTGGATTCTTACTTCAAAGATTTCTAAATTAGACCAAGGCATTTCTGGAGACCCCTTAGTATAAAATAAACCTATTTTCCCTCTTTATTAATCTTTCAATCCTTATCCTCAAACTTTTTATAGCTTTTGATATATTTGCTGATGCTATTTTTAAACTCCTTGTGTTGGTACTTTTATGTCAATTATGATTCCTCTACTCTCTTAAAACTGCTTTTCTAACTCCTTCACCAGTTCCTCTTCTTCCTCTTGCCCCCAGTTGTGAGAATTTCTCAAAATTCAATCCTAACCTTTGGTAAAGCAATCTGTAATTCTCTATTCCATGACCTTCCCTGTCACCAGTATTATGAAGAATGAGTCTTTCCCTCTTTAGGGCACCCATAGTGCTAATAGCCTCATACTGTATTCTACTTAATTGTTCACAGGTTTGTCCTTCTGTGTGAATTGTAAGCTTTTTGAGGGTAGGGATTTTGTTTTGTTCTTTTTTTATACCTAAAAAGTCCATAAAACAGTAAGTTAGTAAATAACTGAATGAATTATCTTTTAGTAATACCTTATACATAGAACTCATTACCTCTTCATTAATTTATAGAGCTTGTGCACCTTTATAAAAATGACTCCCAACACTTATCTCCATATCTTGCCCCATTTTAACTCCTACTCCTCTAGCAGATAAGCCACACATACATCCAACATCTCTACGCCTAATTTCTCCTCTGACCTTCTATTTTCTAAGCCTTCACATTGAATGTCATTTTACTTTCTGGCATGTGAACCAAGTGATTACAACAGATTCCTGGATCTCATGTCAAAGATTCCTTTGATGTGAGAATCTGAACATTTATTTATATCTATAGATTTACAATTTTAGTCCATTTTGAGAGTTATAGTATCTCTTGTTACATATTGTTACATTGAATTATAGATCTATTCATAGGCAACTTTAAATGCCCGTAGGCTTTGAGTTTGAGCTGTTACATAGGTAGCTGCATGGCTTTTTCTGAACATCCACAAAGTAATTACTATTCAAAGTGCATACTAATAAATCAATGAAGCCTCCACATTATTTGGGAAGTAGTCAATCAAAGGCTAAATTCAATGTTATGATAACTTTTAGGCAGTAGTTCTTTAGACTTCTGTATTTAATTGAACAGAAAAAATGTAAAAAAAGGGGAGGAGATTGATAGGACATCATTAATAAAACAACTACTATCTACTATCACTATCATTTAACAAAAGACATTTTAACACCAGAAAAGGGAAGAGATCTCAGTGTAGGGCTCTACCCTTTAAGTTAAATAAATTAAGTTTTATTATAGACCTTTATGTTGTATTTATTTTTCTTATTTTGTCATATATGATGGAACTTTTGTCATGAATCAGAACTGGCCTGTGGTCCAGCCTTTGAGAACTACTGCTCTGGACTAAGTAGATTGCTATTTAGATTAACATGATGCCCCCAGATTGTAAAGGACTGACACTTGCCCCCATGTTCAATCTAATATGTGGTAGATTGTATTTTCCAGGATGGCCACATCTCCCTTCCCACATGCTCTTCTTACAATATGGTCATGACATTCCTCACGTAGAGAGATGTGTCTCTGTTCTTTCCTCTTGAATCTGGGCAGGCTCGTCACTACAGTGGAAGTGATTCCATGTGATTTCTGAGGCTAGATCATAAAAGGTGATGAGGCCTCTGCCTAACTAGGGGAAATGCTTTCTCTTGAGATGCTCACTCTTGACCAGCCTATAGAGAGATCCACAGGGAGGAACTGAGGCCCCAGCCCACAGCCTTGGTTGAGCTCCAGCCTGCAGTCATCCCCAACTTGCCAGCCATATGAGTGGGCCATCTTAGAAGCAGATCCTCCAGTCAAGCCAGCCCAGCTGATGCTGTGTGGAGTGGAGACAAGCCTTCTGTGCTGAGCCATGCAAAAAATTGCAGATTTGTGAACGAAATAAATGATTGTTATTGTTTTAAGCTACTCAGTTATGTATTTGTTACTTAACAATATATAATTCACAAATTGTATAACTTGGAAGTGAGAAATTGACATAACAAAACCTAAAATACATGGCATTGTCTTTGGGACTAGATGGTAGAGGACAGAAAGGCCTGGAGGAGGGTGTGGGTGAAAGCTACAGGCTTTCAAGTACAATATTAGCAGAAGCGCTAGGGCCTTCTAGGAGGCTATTGGTGAGTTTATAGTAAAGAGAGGAAGATGTTATTGGAAGCTGGAGAAACCCTTGTTAGGAGTTGGTGGGTAAGTTTGGCCACATTTTGTCTAAGGAATGAATTCGATGACCCTGCTAAGGATATTTCCAGACTGAGTATGGCTTCTACTAAATGAGAGGAGAGAGAGAAACTGAGAAGGAGCATTTCAGCTTTCAAATAAATTTTAGGATTTAGAAGATATGAAAAGAGCCAGTGCTCACTGGCTTTGAAAATAAAATTGCTTTTCAATCCTATCCTTTCTAGATGGCAAAAAGTTCTCCACCTAAGGAATGGTTTCTGGGAAAAAGATAAAATCCATGGTGGAATTATAAAGTCATTTGTTAAGAATTCAGAAATATCTAAGGTGGTGCCTCATAGAACCTTTCAGACTTTAGGTGGGCTTTCTCCATGCAGCTGGGAAGGTGGCCTCCAGCTGCTCTGAGGGGTCTTCATCACAACTAAACCTAAGTGGAGAGAGAACAGCTGTCTCCCAATAATGGAATATACCAACCTAGGGAGCCATCTAATTGGTGTTGTCTGAGTCCATGCCCACTCCTGAACCAATTATAATGTTAGGAGGATGGGAAACTGACTAACCCCCCTGTGTTTTGTGTCTATCTCAATTAAATAGTATTGTCTCTTTTCAGAAGATGGAGTTGGGAGAAAACACTGGGCAGCCTCTCAGCGCTCAACTCCCCAAACTGACCAGAATCTCCTTCAGCTGGATTTATAAAAAATGGTGAAATATAACTTTATTATTGCTTTTTTTTAAAAAAAAAGCTCCATGGGAAAGGATAAAAAATTTGATCACCTCTATATTTTAGTTATTGCTTTCTTTAGCTTTCAGAACTATGTGTAAGCTAACTGACTTTATGGATTTTCTCCAACTTTTCCTGAAGTATGAGGATTTTTCTAAAGGCCATGGGGAATCTGAACTTCGAAACTTAAATTCAACCTACAGGAGTCTTAGCTGCAGGGCTTAGGTGAACCGAGTGAGCCTGAGGGGACAGCAGTAGGATGGGAACTAGGCAGAACCTGGAAGGGCATTACTCAAACTGAGTAGTGCTGAGATCAGTTTGACTAAGGAGAGAGTCAAACTTAATTTTGAGAGGAATCAAGGTGACAGCCAGTATAGATAAGGTGAAGATCCGAACGGGAGGGTAGTGAACTTGGTAATGAGGTGAGTTAAGTAAAGGCAGAAGAGGGAAGAGTAAGGAATGGGTCTCTTAGGAGAGGGCCTGTGAATAAGCCAATTACTTTTTAACATAGTCCTTGGCATTATAGTAGGGATGAGCTCAGTGGCTTAAAAGAACCACATCAGTTTGTACAAAAAAGGAAGTCATAAAGAATATTTTAGGAGCTAGTATGTGGGCACCAATGTTGCTTGTCACAGTCATAGAGCTGTTGATTAGAATTGTGTTTAGTCTGAAGTAGGAATTGAGACTCACTTGCCAGAGGTTTCTTGATACATAGTGAAGGTGTAATCTTACTGCTGTGATGTTCTCCTTGGTGCCCTCAAGAAGATGATGTGCAGCAACCTTGGTGAATGTGGTATAGGAATGAGAGAGTAGAATTTGTCACAAAACAACTCTTCCTTGAAAGTAACCCACCAATTGATGATTATTGTTCATTTGTTTAATATTTATACTGTATTTGTTTTTAGTAATTATATTTGAGGCAAGAAGTATATAAGTTAGGCATCATGGAATTTGGGATGCATTTGTCCTCCCATGAAGAATGGGTAACATTGTTTCTTCAAATTGAGGACTGGAAACCAATGATGGATAGGAGTTAGGAAAATGGGAGTGAGAAACATTGAAAAGGAAGGAGAGGTAGAAAAATAAAATGAAACAGTATGACTGAAAAAGAATTAGAGAGGAGACAAGACTGTGTTGAAGAGGGTTAGGGCTGAGCCAGATGGTGTTGGCATAAGAAATATAGAGTATATATCAAAAATATAGAAGGAGATTCTGTCTACATTAATATCTTTGACTATTTCAGCTATTATGTTGTTTTGGGACAATCAAAGATGGGAGAGACCGAACAGAGTGAGTTCAGGAAAGGTCTTTATTAAAAGGTGATCACCTGGCTCAGTAGGACTAGCGTCCAGGAAAGTCTGAGCCCTGGACAAAGAAAGCAGCCACCTTTTAAGCAGTCAGTGGCCAGGAGCTACGTGATGCAGGAAGCGTACTTACAAGAGCGAGAACAAAGGCAGTTGATCAGTCTTTTACATTTATCTATGCTACGTGTTCCACATCCCTGGGAAACCATGTTTCTGTATTAACCTTGTAACTTTGCAGCTGCGCTAGGGAGGTGAAACAGGAACTCCCTGAGCCTCAAGGAATGTGAAACTAGCAAGTACAGATAAGGCTTGCTGAGCACAGAAGGAAAAACACGCTGTTAGTATTCTTCTCTAACTTAGACTACAGGGGAGCTACACTACACTTAGCTTTTGAAGGGAAAAGTAAAAATTTTTGGTTGTCTTTGATTATACTTGTAAAATTCATGAATTCATTCTACAATGTCAGCAAAAAAAAAAAAAATCAGTTAAAACAGTTGTGGGTACTTACGTAACTTGAGTGTTAAAAAATGAAAGCTTCCCAAGAACTAGATCACTTGGCTTCTTCTGGATTGGGGGTGGGGATAATGTAGGCAGCCAATCAGAACGAAAGCAGGCTGGCAAGAAACCAATGAGAAGTAGGCATGGAAATGGATTTTGGTGTGATATCAGTTGGTAGTACTGTCCCTGGCAAACAGACGCATAACTGTGCATTGTTCTTTGGGATTTTGAGAGCCTTCATCTCAATTTCAACTTTAAAGCAGCTTAATCTTTAAGGAACATATCTCTGATCTGGGTAATTTGTAGAACTTAATTTGAGGGTCATTACATGTGAGGATAGCAGGAGTTGAAGATGCCAAGGACCTGAAGGGCTACTGGAGGGACAGGTGAAGTGATTTGAAGATGTAGCATTTTGAATCTCTTTCTGGCCCATCCTCTGCTTCACACCAGAATCATTGTGACCTGTAGACCTGCAAAACAAAGGACCAAAGGTAAGCCTTAAATATTATTGGAGATACTTGAGGAACCTCTAGGATTTTTAGATTAAGGCTAGCTGCAAGGAAAAATAAAACAGAACAAATCTTTCTCAGGACCACTGCATAGATTTGCACAGGTTACATCCTACACAGAGCACCAGCTGAGGTGAGATACTGGGGCTGAAATCCAGCCTGGTAGTCACATGCCAAGCCATGTGCCTTGTTGACAGGCTTCATTGCTCTGAGGAAGGGGGCCTTTTTCTAATTCACTCAAAGGCATCATATGATCAAACCTTGGTCTTTTCCTTTATTTTCAGGTTATTCACCCTTATCCTCACCCCCAACCTTAACTGGTGTGACTCAACTTTGACTTTGTTTCCCATTTGCCATCTTTTATTGGAAGGGTGCTGAGAGAAGAAAAAGATATATTAGGGCTGGAGTGGTAAAATGGAATTCCAGAATGATTTATACCAACAGAGAAGGGGGAGCATAACATTTATCCATGCTCCTTCCCCCTCAAATAGTTCAGCCCATCAAATATTTTTGGACAGCCTATCTCGTGCCACATGCTATGTGCACAGCCTTAAGGAAAGTTCGGGCCCTGGCCTTTGAGAAACTCACTGTCCAATGGGGAAAGCAAGCACATTACTATATCATTACAATGGTAAGTGCACCTATCAATGCACCCCCTCTCCCATATACATGTAACAGTACAGGGAGTAAACACTAACACTGCTGTTAGTGTTCCTATAAAATGTTCTTGGAGCAAGGGGTAGGACAAGAGGTATTAATGTGTGCCCTGTGACAAGAAGAGACATGTTCAGATCTGAGTGTGGCACAATCTTAGGTAGAAATGGTATGGATGAATTGGATCTTGGTAGGTCTCATGTTCTTTTTGCATGCTATACAGGTTAGCATGCAGAAGTGAAAGTGTCAATAATAACCAAACCACTCCATCAAGTTAGGTCTGGGGAAAAGCAGCAGCAAAAATGAGTTCTTACTTCTGGGCACAAAATGAAAGTAACAGACCTGATTTACTCTGCGGGCAGCCAGCTGACTACCTTGTTGAAGAGAAACATTTCACAACGCTTGTATGCTTCATTGTTGTTTTGGGAGGTAGGTGGTTGTTTTTGAAACTCATCTTTCCTCTGCCCTGTGAACCTTTTGTCAATGCAGAAAGCCATCACAACTACATAACATCAAAAGAAGGGGCCCATTGAAACGATAAGACATGAGTGAATACTGTCAATCTCGCTTCATTTAATTATAAGTAGTGTCTATTCTATATTCCTGTATTCAGTGACATTTGCTGAGCATGGTAGTGTGGTAGACATGTAAGAAGAATAACTTAACTTCAAGAAGCCCTCTCATGGGAGAGATTGGCAAACACATAATTACTATGCAGTGTGTTAAGTATAACTATAAAGTTGTCGTCAAGATTCTCTGCTCACAAGGAGGAGGAAGAGCTGTACACTGCCTGCCTGGCCAGACCTAACCTGACCAAAATATCTGAGATGAGGGGAGGACAATGCGAGCAAACACACAAATAGAGCCCAGGCATACAATTCATGATTTACATAATTGATGTCATTCATTTTGTCCATTTTATTATGGCTTTTGGTGTAATCTCTCTTCAGGGAAGATAAATAACCCACCCCAACCCCAAGAAGGAAATTAGGAAAGGCTTCACAAATAAGGACCTCTTAAACAATGATTAAGAATTCAACAGGTATAGAGAATGATATTCATGCAGATCAAGTAACATATTCAACACACAGATGCTTTAGTCCACAATTCAACACTAGGGATTAGGAAAAAGGAAAAATAGCTGCTTTAAAATCCTTTCTGGAACTAGGAATACTATACAGAAGCAAATATGTATAAACTCCTTCAATTTTACCCATTGTATCAAAGAGTGAAATTGCTTTCTTTGGGAATCTTTAATATACTCACTAATGACCTTGGTCACTTTTGATATCACAAGTTGCTGATGACCATGGACTAGCTCTATATCCTTTATAGAGACAAACGCTCCAGTAGTAAAGAGCATTGCAGAAAGAGTGTAAAAAACATATCTTTATCTGGTCTTACCTGTAAGAAGTACAGATGCTCCTTGACTATCAGGTTGTGTCCTAATAAACCCATCATAAATTTAAAATATTGTAAGTTGAAATGCATTTAATACAACTAACCTACTGAACATCATAACTGAGCCTAGCCTACCTTAAAAGCTTTCATAACACATTTGCCTACAGTCAGGGAAAATCATCTAACACAAAGTCTATTTTATAATAAAGTGTTGACTATCTCATGTAATTTTGTAAATATTGTACTAAACGTGAAAAACAGAATAGTTGTACGAGTACTCAAAGTACAGTTTCTACCAAATGTGTATCACTTTTGCACCATCCCAAAGTTAAGCCACATCATTAAATATTAATTGAATACAGAAGGTCTTGACTTACTTTGGGATGGTGCAAAAGTGATACACATTTGGTAGAAACTGTACTTCGAGTACTCATGCAACTATTCTGTTTTTCACATTTAGGGCTTTTGAAGATGTGTTTAAAGAATTGTGAAGTCATTGTTTTGACGATTCTTTCTCTATCAGGATTCGTGATAGGACACATGGCCTACAATTCTGTTGAGGTACTGTATGTACAATAAATTAGAGAATAAAGGAAAAAATGCCAAAAATAAAGTCCACTCCCATCTCATCCCTGAATGCATGGAATGTTTTTTCTTATGGGAACAGCTACTCAAAAAATTTTATCTGGTATTAAAAAATTTGGAAAATAACCACACAGTAAAGGACACATCAATTAGGGAAACTTCAAAAAAGCAGTAATAAGAGGAAAATGTGGCCAGGTGCGGTGGCTGACGGTTGTTATCCCAGCACTTTGCGAGGCTGAGGTGGGTGGATCACTTGAGGCCAGGAGTTTGAGACCAGCCTGGCCAACATGGCAAAATCCCATCTCTACTAAAAATACAAAAATTAGCTAGGAGGGGTGGCCCATGCCTGTAATCCTAGTGACTTAGGAGGCTGAGGCATGAGAATCTCTTGAACGGAGGAGATGGAGGTTGCAGTGAGCCGACATCACACCGCCACACTCCAGCCTGGGCATCAGAGCAAGACTGTCAAAAAAAAAAGAAGGAAAGAAAGCAAGGAAAGACCATCCTGGCTAACACGGTGAAACTCTTTCTCTACTAAAAAATACAAAAAATTAGCCAGGTGTTGTGGCGGGCGCCTGTAGTCCCAGCTACTCAGGAGGCTGAGGCGGGAGAATGGCGTGAACCCAGGAGACGGAGCTTGCAGTGAGCCGAGATTGCGCCACTGCACTCCGGCCTGGGCGACAGAGCAAGACTCCGTCTCAAAAAAAAAAAAAAAAAAAAAAAAAAAAAATCAAGGAAAATGTGTTTGCGCTCTTGGGTTCATCATCTGCTTCTGGAGCCTTGCTCTGGCTTCCTTCCCCTGCACATACACTGGCTTCCTCCTTGCTGTTGCCTTATAAAAGGCCTGCTTATAGGCTGAGGCAGGAGAATGGCGTGAACCCGGGAAGCGGAGCTTGCAGTGAGCTGAGATCTCGCCACTGCACTCCAGCCTGGGTGACAGAGCGAGACTCCGTCTCAAAAAAAAAAGGGCCTGCTTATAAAAGACCTGCTTATAAAAGGCAGCAGTTGTGTTCATCATGAGGCATGGTCACTGCCAGATTCAATGTAAAACACACTTCATAGCTTCATATAATATATACCATAGATACAAGAAAACATTCATTCATTCATTAACCTAGTATTAACTTCTGATTTCAACTGCATAGCAGTGTGATCAATAACAATTTGCCTCCACTCATTCCTTTATTTTTGAAAAATGGAGATAATGCTTGTACCCATCTAGGATTGTAAACGCTTCTTCCTAATCTTCTGAAATACCATCACTACTACTAGCTGACATCTTTAGAGTGTTTACTAAGTGCCAGGCTCTCTTTTAAGTGCTTTGTATTTATTAATTTATTAGCTTATTAACCCTTGAGTTAATTTATTCACTCTCACAGCAACCCATTGAAAGCAGATACTCTATTTCCATTTTACAGATGAGCAAACTGAGGTATAGGGAGGTGAAGTAATGAAAGTTAAACTATTGATTGGGACAAAATAAACTTTTTAGGAGGGAATATTTATAGCACTTCAATCATTATTGTTGTATTTTCCATTAATCTGTGTACAACCTTCATGATTTATGTCTTATGTATACAATCTACTATTTTCTATGAATTATTTTTCTCTACTGACTCACTTAAAGATTTAAAAATCCTAAGCCAATGTTTGTGAAACAAGTACCTGTTTAAGATTCTTTCCCTCATCTAAAGCAAATTGAAATAAACATCTAACAGTCAAATTAAAAAATACTTACCTGTGAATCACCAAAAATATTTTCTGATATCACCAATAGTAGGGATATCACTTTTGAAAATACTGATTGCACACCACAAGCAGTGTTTGTGTAGCCCAAAACCACTCAATTATCTGGTGAATAGAGGTCTATATAGGTAACCTATCTGGATGGCTAGATCAAGAAATCTACCACAGGACCCTTAGGACTGCCCTTGTAGATACTCTCTCGTTAGCTGTAAACTGAAAGATTCTAAAATTTATATTGATTGACAGCATCAACCTAGTTTCTAATACTTGGAAATGGTAGCAAACTAATTTCTTGTTTGCCTTTGTTACTTTAGGTGCACCAAATTGTCTACCCTCTTCTAAGAACATCAAGTTTTTCACTTTATTCTTACTTTTCACCTTTAATTATATTTATGGTTGCTTTGGATGTAGAATTTTATACACTCAAGAAAATGTTTTGGCAGGTAAGAACACATTTAAAACAAAGTACGATCAATTCTTGCTTATGCACGTTGATAGAGAATATGGCTGCCTATATAGATGATTAATAATTCACAAAATGTCATATTTTATTTGTTTTGCCCTCTTCATTCTATAGAACTACTAACTAAAAAGAATTGAAGGGAGAGGAAAGGAATTAGTATTTGCTGAGTGACCATTGTGACTAGGCATTCTCAGTGCAAATATCAGAGTAAATAACATTTCCATTTTGCATATGAGCAAACTGAAGCTTAGAGGTCACAAACAAGGATAATAAATGTCAGAATCTGGATTCTAGTCCCACATCTGACTTAATCTCAACTGTTTCTGTAGATTTGCCCATTTTCCCTGCAAAGATTGTTACTTGTGCCTTCTATGTTTTTTTCTTAATCATGCCTGTTGTACTGTTTTATTTCTTTTTTCAGAGAACATTTTATTTTGGTTTTATTCTGTTCTTTCTAACATCTTGAATTAATATTTGATTCATTTTTAGCTTTTTTTAGTTTTCTGTGTGCATTTAAGGTTTTAAATTTTCTTTTTAGTGGTATCCCACATGTTTTGGTTTTTAGTGTACTCATCACCATCCAGTTCTACATTTTCTTATACTTTTTGACCCATTAGTTATTTACAAATTGTTTTGAATTTTCCAAATATGATGTTTTATTATTATTTCTCTTATCACACTGTGATCAGAGAACATGTTTTATATGTCAATTCTTTGATTTGTGAAGATTTGCTTTGTAGGCTTGTACATGTTTTTTTTTAAATGTTGTGCTATAAAAATATATGTTCTCTAATTATTGAGTGTAGGGGTCTAAATTTGTTCAGTAGATTGTTTTATTATGAAGTTCAATCTTCTATGTTTTTCCCAATATTATTTTTCAGTTCAGTTTAACAAGTTTCCACTATCACTGTGGATTTATGAATTTCTCCTTGCAATTATGTCAGTTTTTACTTTATACAAATAGAGGTTGTTATTAAGTGTCTACAAGTATTGCTATTTTTCTCAGTTAATTTTTTTCTTATTATTTAGTTACCTTTTATCCCAAATAATGCTTTTTGCCTTAAATCAATTTTATGTGTAAAATTGACTATAGTTACATCAGCTTTATTTTGGTATTTGCCTGCTATAATTTTTCCATCCTTTTGTTTTCAACATTTTGGTATCTTTTTAATAGTATACAGTTGGATTTTTTTTATTTTATACAGGTTGATAATTTCTGCTTCTTTTTAAAAACTAGTTTAGTCCATTAGTATTTATTGTAATTAAAAATAGATTTAGAAGAGAAAAGATTTGAACAGATTTGGGACACCAAGGAAGATATATGGATGGAATAAAAGCACTTGGAAAGACGCTCAACATCCTAAGTCATTAGAGAAATACACACTAAAACCACAATGAGATACCACTGTGTACCTATTGGAATAGCAACAACAAACCTGTTAATGCCAAGTGCTGGTGAAGATATGAAGACAATGAAACTTGCATACATTGTTGGTGAGAATGCAAAATGGTACAACCACTTTGGGAAACAGTTTGGGAGTTTCTTATAAAGTTAAATATATACTTGCCACATGACTCACCAATCTCACTCCTGTGTATTTACCCAAGAGACATGAAAACTTATGTTTACAAAACCTTTATATGAATCTGTATAGCAGCTTTATTTATAATCTCAAATGTCTGGAAACAAACATTCTTCCATTGGTGAATGAATAAACAAATCGTGGAACATCTTTCAATGAAATATTACTCAGCAATAAAAAAGGAATGGAGTATCGATAGGCACAACAAGGAAGAATTTAAAATGCATTGTGCTAAGAGAAATAAGCCAGCCTCCAAGGGGTACATACAAATTATAAAATTACATTCATAGACCTTCTAAAAATGGCAAAACTGTAGGTCTGGAGAACATCATTGGTTGCTAGGGAATGGTGTTGGGGAAAAGAATTGACCACAAAGATATAGCATGAGGAAATTTTTGGGAGTGATGTATCTGTTTTGTTTCTTAGTTGTGGTGTGATTACATAACTGTATGCATTTATCAAAACTCATATAACTGTACACCAAAAGAGTAGATTTTACTGTTTATAAATTGAAAATAAAGTTTTTAAAAGAAATATATTTTGACTTTTTCTCACATATTATTTCATCATTTTATTTACATGCTTTTTCTCATTCTTCCTTTTCTGAATTAATTGAATTCAGTTTTCTTTATCCCCTTTGTTCCTTCTACTAATTTAAAAATTTTATGTTCTATTTTTTGGTGGCAGGCATTTCTGGTTGCTTATCCAATATGCAGTCTCCCTCTCTTTCTCACTTACAGAAAGTTAAAATTTTTCGTTTGGTATGGCAATAGGCTTATGTAAAATATCATATTTCCAAGCATCCCTAACAACTTTGGTACCCTAAGAAGATAGTTTGGCCAATAAAAAGTGTACAAAAGTTTGCTGAATAGGCTTCTAGAAAGCCCTTAATAAGGGGGTCAAATCAGCTGGCATGTGCTTTTTGCTCTTTGCTTTACCTCTCTTTCTGCCTGGAGCCCTCCAGTGGGCTAGAATGAATATCCATCTTGAGATTGTGAAGTGGTGAACATGAGAACAGGCACTACATATGATTGAACATAAAGAGAAAAAAAGAGCCTGGGTCCTTAAGAGCATTGAGAGCCGACATACTAACATAAGGCAGTTTATTCTGGATTTAGGATTACTTGAGGTACAGTGGCTCATGCCTGTAATCTCAGCACTTTGGGAGGCCAAGGCAGGCAGATTACGAGGTCAGGTTTAGTAGAAACCCCATTTCTACTAAAAATACAAAAAATTAGCCAGGCATGGTGGCATGCACCTGTAATCCCAGCTACTCAGGAGGCTGAGGCAGCAGCATCACTTGAACCTGGGAGACAGAGGTTGCAGTGAGCAAAGATTGTGCCATTGCACTCCAGCCTGGGCAACAGAGCGAGACTCTGTCTCAAAAACAAAAACAAAAAACAAAACAACCAAAATCTCCATTTATTGACACTGTAAGTGCTCTTTTCTGTTAAATGCAGTCAAAATTTCTATATTCCTAAATACAATTCTTACTGGTTTCATACGTTTTAAAAATCTTAAATTTTAATAATTATATTTGATTTAACAAGTCTAAAGCTAAATATCTCTACTTTCCTCCAAATAAGGCAGGAACTTCAGAATGCTTTAATTATCCTTTCTCATCTTATATTTTATTACATTATTGACATAATACTACCATCCCTGAAATTAGTCATTATCATTATTATTGTGATTGTAATGTTTTAGGTACCAGTGCTTCTCTACACTCATCTACATGCTTATCAATTTCCATTTCTTTGCTCACTGCTCCTTCTTGCATCCAACTCCATCTTTCTGGATTCAGCTTCCTTTCTCCTGAATTTTTGCTCTAGCAGCTTTTTAAAAATTGTAATTTTAAATTGACTAATAATTGTACATAGTTATGGAATACATAGTGATCTTTCAATATATATAATGTATAATGATCAGATCAGGGTAATTAGCATATTTATCTTCTGAAACATTATTTCTTCATGTAGGGAACATTCAATGTCTTCCTTCTAGCTATGTGAAACTATATAGTATATTGCTGTTAACTATAGTCATCCTGCAGTGTTATAGAACACTAGAACTTACTCCTATCTAGCTGTGATTTTGTGTCCTTTTCATTAAAGGTCTATGAGTAGTCATCTTTTTTCATTTAGTGGTCTTTGTTTCTCTGAAAATGTATCTGTTTTGTCTCAATTTGAATAATACCTGAGCCTAATTGTTGCTTTTGAGACAACTGCTATCAATCTAATTGTCATTCTTCTGTAAGTACCTGTCTTTTCTCTCTTTTCAGATTGTCTCTTTTTCTTTGGTGTTCTGTACAGTAGTTACCTTTTATCCACCATTTCACTTTCCACAGTTTCAGTTATCCAAGGTTTCAGTTACTTGTGGTCAACTATGGTTTGAAAATATTAAATGTAGGTCTCTAAGAACTTGCTTTATGAATCTAGGTGCTCCTGTGTTGGGTACATATATATTTAGGATAGTTAGGTCTTCTTGTTGAATTGAACCCTTTACCATTATGTAATGCCCTTCTTTGTCTTTTTTGATCTTTGTTGGCTTAAAGTCTGTTTTGTCTAAAATTAGGGTAACAGCCCCTGCATTTTTCTGATTTCCATTTGCTTGGTAGATTTTCCTCCACTCCTTTATTTTGAGTCTATGGGTGTCATTCCATGTGAGATAGGTTTCTTGAAGACATCATACCATTGGGTCTTGCTTTTTAATCTAGCTTGTCACTCTGTGCCTTTTAAATAGGGCATTTAGTCCATTTACATTGAATGTTATTATTATTTTGAGACAGAGTCTCACTCTACTGCCCAGGCTAGAGTGCAGTGGCACAATCTCGTCTCACTGAAATCTCCACTTCCCAGGTTCAAGTGATTCTCCTGCCTCAGCCTCCTTAGTAGCTGGGATTACAGGAGCACACCACCACACCTGGCTAATTTTTGTATTTTTAGTAGAGATGGGGTTTTACCATGTTGGCCAGGCTGGTCTCAAACTCCTGACCTCATGATCCACTTGCCTCGGCCTCCCTAAGTGCTGGGATTACAGGCATAAGCCACCGCGCCAGGCCAAGGTTATTATTGATATGTGTGGATTTGATCCTGTCATTGTGTTGTTAGCTGTTTATTATGCTGACTTGTTTGTGAGGTTGCTTTATAGTATCACTGATCTGTGTACTTCAGTGTGTTTTTGTATATGCTGGTGACAGTCTTTCCTTTCCATATTTAGTGCTTCATTCAAGATCTCTTGTAAGGTGGGTCTGGTGGTAATGAACTCCCTCAGCATTTGCTTATCTGAAAAGGATCTTATTTTTCCTTTGCTTAGGAAGTTTAGTTTGGCTGGGTAGGAAATTCTTGGTTGAAGATTTTTTTCTTTAAGAATGTTGAACACAGGCTCCTGATCTCCACTGTCTTGTAGGGTTTGTGCTGAGAGGTCCACTGTTAGCCTGATGGCGTTTCCTTTGTAGATGAGGCATCCAAATAGGAAGAGAGGAAGTCAAACTATCCCTCTTTGCAGACAACATTATTCTATATCTAGAAAACCCCATAATCTCAGCCCCAAATCTCCTTCAGCTGATAAATAACTTCAGCAAAGTTGCAGGATAGGAAATCAATGTATGAAATCATTAGCATTGCAATACACCAAAAACAGCCAAGCTGAGAGCCAAATTAGGAATGCAATCTCATTCACGATTGACATAAAAGACTAAAATATCTAGAATACAGCTTACCAGGGAGGTGAAAGATCTCTACAATGAGAACTACAAAACACTGCTAAAAGTAATCAGAGAAGACACAAACAAATGGAAAAACATTCCATGCTCATGGATAGAAAGAATCAGTATCATTAAAATGGCTACCCAAAGCAATTTACCAATTCAGTGCTATTTCTATCAAACTGCCGAAGATGTTCTTCACAGAACTAGAAAAAAATTATTTTAAAATTCATGTGGAACCAAAAAAGACCCCAAATAGCTAAAGCAATCCTAAGCAAAAAGAACAAAGCTGGAGGCATCACATTATCCAACTTCAAACTGTACTACAGGACTACAGTAATCAAAACAGCATGGTACAAAAACAGACACATAGACCAATGGAACAGAATACAGAGCCCAAAAATAAGGCTGCACACCTAAAACCGTCTGATCTTCAACAAAGCTGATAAAAACAAACAATGGGTAAAGGACTCCCTAGTCAATGAATTGTGCTTGGATAGCTGGCTAGCTATATGCAGAAGGTTGAAATTGGACCCCTTTCTTACATCATATACAAAAATCAACTCAAGATGGATTAAAGATTTAAACATAAAACCTAAAACTATAAAAACCATGGAAGATAAGCTAGGAAATACCATTCTGGACATAGGAACAAGCAAATATTTCATAATGAAAGATGCCAAAGGCAACTGCAACAAAAGCAAAAATTAACAAATAGGATTTAATTAAACTTAAGGGCTTATGCACAGCAAAAGAAATTATCAACAGAGGAAACAGCCTATAGAATAGGATAAAATATTTGCAAACTATGCATGTGACAAAGGTCTAATATCTAGCATCTATAAGGAATTTAGACAAATTTACAAGAAAACAACTCCATTAAAAAGTGGGCAAAGGATAAAAACAGACACCCTTCAAAAGAAGACATACTTGCAGCCAACGAGCATATGAAAAAAAGCTCAACATCACTGATAATAGAGATATGCAAATCAAAACCACAATGAGATACTATCTCACACCAGTCAGAATGGCTGTTATTAAAAAGTCAAAAAATAATAGATACTGTCGAGGTTCCAGAGAAAAGGGAATACTTATACAATCTTGGTGGGAGTGTAAATTAGTTCAACCACTGTGGAAAGCAGTGTGGCAATTCCTCAAAGAGCTAAAAATAGAACTACCATTCAACCCAGCAATCCCATTACGGGATATATACCCAAAGGACTATAAATCATTCTGCCGTGAAGATACATGCACATGAATATTCATTGCAGCACTAGTCACAATAGCAAAGATATGGAATCAACTTAACGCCCATCAATGCCAGATTGTATAAAGAAAATGTACATATTTGCCATGGAATACTGTGCAGCCATAAAAAAGAATGAGATCATGTCTTTTGCGGGAACATGGATGGAGCTGGAGGCTATTATCCTTACCAAACTAAGGCAGTAACAGAAAACCAAATACTGCATGCTCTCACTTACAAGTGGAAGCTAAATGGTGAGAACTCATGGACACAAAGAGGGGAACAACAGACACTGGGGCCTACTTGAGGGTTCAGAAAAAATAACTATTGTATACTAGGCTTAGTACCTGGGTGATGAAAAAATCTGCACAACAAACCCCCATGACACAAGTTTACCTGTATAACAACCCTACACATGTACCCCAGAACCTAAAATAAAAGTATTTTTTTAAAAGAAAATATTAAATGAAAAATTCCAGAAAAATTCATGAGTTTTAAATTGTGTGCCTTTCTGAGTAGTGTGATAAAATCTTGTGCCATTTTACTCTGTCTTGCCCAGGAAGTGAATCATCCCTTTGGCCAGCATACCCACTGTGTATACATTATCTCCTGCCCGTTAGTCACTTAGTGGCCATCTCTGTTATCAGATAGAACATACAGTATCACAGTGCTTGTGTTCATATAACCCTTATTTTACTTTATAATAGCTCCAAAGTGCAAGAGTAGTGATGCTGTCATATGGTTACACTTGTTCTATTTTATTATTAGTTATTGTTGTTAATCTTTTACTGTGCCTAATTTATAAATTAAACATTATCATAGATATATATGTATTTTAAAAAACCATAGTATATATAGGGTTGGGTACTATCCGTGGTTTTAGGCATCCACTGGGGTCTTGGAGCATATCCCTTGCAGATAAAGGAGGACTATTTTAGTTTCACTGTGATGTTTCTGGGTGTTAGTATCTTTTTATTTATACATATTAAGACTTCTTATGGTTACTAAATCTGAGAATTAATATAGTTCATCAGTTCTAGCCACAATTTCGGCTATTATCTTTTAAATATTTTCTATACTCTGTTATTTCTTTTTTTTTTTTTTTTGAGATGGAGTCTCACTCTGTTGCCCAGGCTGGAGTGCCATGGCACAATCTCAGCTCACTGTGACCTCCGCTTCCTGGGTTCAAGCAATTCTCCTGCCTCAGCCTCCTGAGCAGCTAGGATTACAGGCATCCGCCACCACACCTGGCTAATTTTTGCATTTTTAGTAGAGACGGGGTTTCACCATGTTGGCCAGGCTGGTCTGGAACTCCTAACCTCAGAAGATCTGCTCGCCTGGGCCCCCCAGAGTGCTGGGATTGTAGGAGTGAGCCACGGTGCCAGGCCTTGTTATTTCATTCTTAAATTCCCATTAGTTGTAGATTTTCCATCATATTCTCCATGATTTTAAATTCTCTGTCTTTTATCTTTCAGTGCTGTATTGTATGTAATTTCCTCAAATTTAGCTTCCCATTTACTACTTTAACAATATGTAACCTACTGCTAGGCTTAATTGAATCATAAACATTTTTAACCTTTATTCTTTTCCAATATATGCATTTAATGTTATAAGTTTCCCTTTAAACACTGCTTTGATTGCATCCCTCTACTTTTGATGCCTTATTTTCTTTGTGATTCAGCAAAAATATTTAAAAATTCGGACAAAATGGGAAATTCCTAAAAATATGTAATTTGCCAAAACTTACACTAGAAATTCTTTTTATTTATTTATATATCTATTTTTTTTTGAGACAGAGTCTAGCTCTGTCACCCAGGATAGAGTACAGTGGCATGATTACCCCTTACTCCAGCCTCGACCTCCTGGGCTCAAGTGATCCTCCCATCTCAGCTTCTGGAATAGCTGGGGCTACAGGCACATGCCACCATGCCTGGCTAATTTTTTCTTATTTTTAGTAAAGGCAAGGTCTCGCTCTCTTGTCCAGGCTGCTTTCTAGGCTTCTGGCCTCAAGCGATCCTCCTGCCTCAATCTTCCAAAGTGTTGGGATTACAGGCATGAGCCACCGTGGCTGGCCTACTCTAGAATTTAAAAAGACCCAAATAGTCCCATAATCATTAAAAATTGAATTGGCAAATAAAAATGTTCCAAAAAAAATGAGACCCAAACTATTTTAAATGTAAGTTATGTGAACCAGTATGAAAGATAACTCCAATCTTATGTCTTACAGACAAGAGTAAAAGAGGAAATCCTCCCGCACTTATTTTATTTTTAGAGACAGGGTCTTTCTCTGTTGGCCAGGTTGGAGTGCAGTGGTAATATCATGGTTCATTGCAACCTCAAACTCCTGTGCTTAAGCAATCCTCCCACCTCAGTTTCCTGAGTAGCTGGTACTACAGGTGTGCACCACCATGCTCAGCTAATTTTTAATTTTTTTTTTTGTAGAGGTGGGAGTCTCACTATGTTTCCCAGGCTGGTCTTACACTACTGAACTCAAGATATCCTCCTGCCTTGCCTCCTAAAGTGCTGGGATTATGGGCATGAGCCACTGCACCTGGCCTCCTCCCTTACTTATTTTATAAGCCTTGTTTAATCTTAACACCAAAACTATACAGGAATATTAAGAGAAAGAAAAATCATAAGTCAATGTCACCCACAAACATAGAACAATTCCACACAAATTTTGGCACAAATATATCTAGTAACATATAAATAATAAAAACATGATCAAGTTGTGTTTATTTCAGAACAAGGTTAATTTAACATTTAAAAAATTGCTTAATGTAATTCATGCTCTTATGAGATTTAAGAAGAAAAACCATATGACGTTACAATAGATAAAGAAATAAAAGGACCTAATGGTCAAATTGTGAAAACCTCACAGAAAGTAAAACAAAAGACAGAGATGGAAAATAAGAAAAGGATTGAATAACACAACTATTTTTTTTCCTGAGGATGACTTTGAAAAATAAATACTTTCTTATACTTGGGCATAAACAATGTGTGCATAGAAATTACAAAACTCTGTAAATCACTTAATCTCAAGCATTTCATGGCCTTCCCTTTCTCTATTGCAGAACTACTTATTTTACAACTAATAAAAGGTAAAGGGGGGCATTTTCTGTGACTATTTTAGAGTCTTGGTATATAAATTTGTGTCATGTACCAGACACAATACGTCACTAACAATTTACTTTCCAAACTAATCAGGATATGTTTTATATAGAAGCAGGAGAAATTTGCATTCTGTTTAAGAACCTTTCATATTGAGAACCATTGAACTAGAATAACAACAAGAAAGATAGTTGAGTCAGTCTTTTTAATAATAAGGTAGAATCTTGCTTATTTGAAAGGGGCGGTTTCTTTGTGGCAGGTGGTTAAACTAGAATACCTTTTAAAGTTATCTTCCAGGGTAATTGTATAACATTTACAACCAAGATCTGACTCTTAGGATATAAGTAAATGCCATCATGCCATCTTTAGATGTTAAGTCTAATACTGTGTTATGAATTGGTTCACAGGTCTTGTTAACTGGATTAATTAGCTTTTCTACAGCAAGCATCATAATTGGATATGTCGTTATAAAATTCAATAAAGATTCATGGGATTTGCAATCTTGCCTACTCTTTAGCATCACCCTTGGCATTATAGATCCTCTTCGTTCTGTGAATTCACTAAAAACTATTGGTATGTCACATTTATTTCTCTCTCTTATCTTGAAAATATAAGGGTACATTATTTTCTTTTGATTATATTTTTCTTGCATGAATTGTGCACCCAGAAGAATAAGACTCTGTGCTTTTTTTTTCACCTTGAGAGGTAGAGCACTGATTGACTTTAAGGAGACAGTGCAAATAAGACAGCCACCAAGGAGATGAGATAAGTAGTGCCAATTATAATCTCCAAGGAAGTTTTTCATTTTTTTTCAAAGAAAAAGTAACCTTCTAGAAGGTGATAAAAATTGGCATTATTATTCTGTTCCAGTGAATTCTTAGCCACAAGGTAGATATTCTAAGTTGGTGAGTTTGTTTACCAATAAGGGGAAACATTAAAGATCCCTAAAGAGACTATTCCAAGGCCTTGCTACCTCTTGTTAGAACTGCCTCCATTTGGAATAGCTAAGGTTTGGCAGGTGGTGGAGGGGTTTATAGTTTATCTTCAAGAAAAGGGGTAAGGATATAGTTTGGCACTCAAATGTATTACTCAATAAAAGCTTATTCCCAAGAGGATTTGGAGTCCTGCACTATTTCCCATATTATTTGGTAAGGTGGAAGATGATTTCACTCTGAAATATCCCCCTATTGTCAGGTTTTTTTTTTCTTTGTTCCTTCTAAAAACAACAACAACAACAACAACAAAAATGGGATACACGTGCAGAATGTGCAGATTTGTTACATAGGTATATGTGTGCCATGGTAGTTTGCTGCACCTATTGACCTGTACTCTAAGCTCACTCCCCTCACCTCCACCCCCCAACAGGCCCCGGTGTGTGTTGCTTCCCTCCCTGTGTCCATATGTTCTCATTGTTCAACTCCCACTTATGAGTGAGAACATGTGGTGTTTGGTTTTCTGTTCCTGTGTTAGTTTGCTGAGAATGATGGCTTCAAGCTTCAGCCATGTCCCTGCAAAGGACATGATCTCATTCCTTTTTATGGCTGCATAGTGTTCCATGGTGTTTATGTACCACATTTTCTTTATCCAGTCTATCATGGATGGGCATTTGGGTTGGTTCCATGTCTTTGCTATTGTAAATAGTGCTGTAATAAACATACATGTGTATGTGTCTTTATAGTAGAATGATTTATATTCCTTTGGGTATATACCCAGTAATGGGATTGCTGGGTCAAACGGTCAGGTTTTATTAACACAGCAGTATCAACATGAATGGCTAGATGCTATGGTTTCTGTTTTTGACTCGGAAATATTTTCCTAACCAATTTTAAAGTATCAATTGTATTTAGTGGAAATATACTACCTTATGAGTGGAGTGAAAAACCTCCAACCTTTCCAGCTTGTGATATTCTTATTTTCATACTCCTAGCTGGGAAAACATAGAGTTTTAGGCACTTTTGGAGGTTCTGTTCTAAATTGTTACAAGGTAGATACATTTCTCAAAGACTCTGATCCTGTTCTCTTTTTTCTCTTTGCTCCCTTAAGTACAATTTTTTTCTGTCTTTCCTTACCTGTCTTATTCTTTCAACCATTTGTATTTACCTCTTGTTTCATTACCTCATTTTGCTTCCTGCTCTCCTTTCTGCACTCTCTTGACTGTAAATGGTTATAATAAACTATAAATGTTATTTATTGCAGTTTCAACATTCAATTTTTTTTCAAAAAAAGGAGTACAGTAGAAAGTCTTCTTTTTTTTTATTTTTTTATTTTTTGAGACGGAGTTTCGCTCTATACCCCAGGCTGGAGTGCAATGGCATGATCTTGGCTCATGGCAACCTCCACCCCCTGGGTTTAAGCGATTCTCCTGCCTCAGCCTCCCGAGTAGCTGGGATTACAGCCATGTGCTGCTACGCCTGGATAATTTTTGTATTTTTTAGTAGAGAGGGGGTTTTGCCATGTTGGCCAGGCTGATCTCGAACTCCTGACCTCAGATGATCCACCCACCTTGGCCTCCCAAAGTGCTGGGATTACAGGCATGAGCCACTGCACCCGGCTGAAAGTCTTCTATTGCTTTAAGACGAAACTAGTGAAGGTATTGGGTTGGCTCTTAATTTTTATATTTTTTTATGTCAATAACACTCAGGAGGTTAGATAGATTCTGGATCCAGTAGCATTGTCTCCTGATAAGACAAATTTGACTTATTTTTATGGGGAAAGTCACTCTCACTTGTTTTGGGTGTTGGCTGGGCCATCATATTGTCCCTTTGTGTGAATTAGATAAATGGTTCTTTCTTCAAAACAGTTTTCTTAAATAAAAGAAACTATTAAATAAAATAGTCATAATACATTATTTTTTTAAGCAAAAACTATTTTTTGCCAAATGCCTAAAATTATAATATACAGAACTACAATTTCTATAATGTTAATAGTGTTTCTTTTGATGAGGTGCCCATCTGCATTGTAAACCTGTACAACCTAAATCTAAAGTGGACTGGCCCAGTCAAAAGTGTAGTAGACGTTCATATGTAAGTTAAAAGGAAATTGTCTATCCATTACCTGTTTTAAAAGAGTGTAAGCGCTTAAATAACTTTTATTTTAAAGCAAATCTGGAAGAGGATCTTGTAAAGAAATAAAATATAGAGTGTTAGTATGATCTCAATTGAGTAAAAAGAACCATATGCTTAGAAAAGGACTTCAACTTTAAAATGGTTATATCTGGGTCATCATAGAATTATAGAAGATTTGTTTTATTCTTTTCTTTTCCAAATTTTACAATGAATATAATTCATTGTGGACTAATATAAATTAGGTCCACATTAAGCCAAAAGAGAAGGTGGAGAGAGCTTGAAGATGTAGCAATAGAAACTGTCTAAAATGAAACACAGAGAGAAGAGGACGAGAAAACATGAACTGAGCATCAGTGTGAGCTGTGGACAACTTCAAATGACCTAATGTATGAGTCCCCGAAAGAAAAGAGAGGGAGGAACAAAAAATTTGAAGAAATCCTGAGAAAAAGTTTCTAAATTTGATAATAATGAAAGCTACAGATTCAACAAGTTCAATAAACTGCAACCCAAGAAATATAAAGAAGACTACACAAAAGCACATAAAAAGCAAATTCCTTAAAACCAATTATAAAGAGAAAATTTTAAAAGCAGCCAGAGACAAAAGTCACATTGTATTTAGAGGAACAAAAATAATGACAACAGACTTAGAATTCTACACTCAGTGAAAATATCTTTTGAAAGAGAAGGTAAAATGAAGACTTTCTTAAACATACAAAAACTGAAAGAATTTATCATCAGCAGGCCTGCACTACAAAATTGTTAAAAGTCTTCTAGGCAGAAAGAAAATGATGTTAGATGGAAATTTGGCTGTGGAATTTTATCTACTCAAGCCTCTGGAAATCACAACCAATCTATTTTTGGTTTCTATGTATCTGTCTATCACGGACATTTCATGTAAATCAAATCATACAATATGTGGCTTTTGTGTCTGGCTTCTTTCACTTAGTATAATGTTTTCAAGGTTCAGGTTTTAATAGTATCAGTAAGTACTTCATTCATTTTTGTGGAGGAATAATACTTCATTTTAGGGATATATCACATATATTTATTCATTTATCAGCTGATAGACATTGAGTTGTTTCCACCTTTTAGCTCCTATGAATAATACTATTATGAATGTTTACGTACAAATCTTTGTGTGGACATACATTTTCAATTACCTTGGGTATATACCTAGGAGTAGAATTGCTGGGTCCTATTTTGTACTTATTTCTAAAATGAGGTTATTTTGGAATCTGATTCAGGTTTATTCAAACTAAATGTGGTATCTTGAGAAGTATTTGTCTCATTCTGAAACTCAAGTATGGTTGAGACAATGAACAATACAAGCAGTGCTATCGCCATGTTTCTTTGCCATTGCAAATGCAGGAGGCACAATATAGAAATTTAAAAATGGTGATTGTGATTGTCTTACAGACCCATCCCAGTCATAGTTGCCTTGTTCTTTCTCTTTTTTCTTTTTCTGTTCTTTCTCTTCTGTTTCTGCTTCCTGTGCAAGAACATTATTTTCATGTAGCATATTGAGTTACATTTTGTATTTCCTTTTTCAGGCATTTCTAAAATATACATTGATCTCATTAGAGGAGAATCATTGATCATTTGTAGCATCGCATCAATTTTTTTTGGAAATTTTCGGGGCAACAGAATCCACTTTTCTATTTTTAGAGGTAGGAGCATTTTTTGTCTGTATATTTTCTAAAATCATTCTCATTAAAATTAAAATACATTCAAATGTTTTAACTTTGCTGCCTTCTCTATACTTTACTTTTGGGCTGATTACAATGATATATGAAGTAACAAGAAAAAAATCATAGTTGACCATCTGCATCCACGGATTCAACCAACTGCAGATCAAAAATATTCAGAAAAACTCAATAAAAATAACAATACAACAATAAAAATGCAAATTAAAATGCAATACAGTATAGCTATTTACATAGAGTATTTGCATTGTATTAAGTATTAGAAGTAATCTAGAGATGATTTAAAGTACACAGAAGTATGTGCTGTAGGTTATATGCAAATAATATGCTATTTTATATCCAAGGTTTTGAGAATCTGCAGATTTTGGTATCCAAAGGGGTTCCTGGAACCAATGCCCCATGGATACCCGAAGGAGGACTGCATGTGTGTTCTTGGACATTAAGGGGGAAAGAACATTTAAAAAGTGCTTTAGTTTTTCTCAATATGCATAAATGCATGTGTGCACACATATAGTGTCACAATAGACACATATAGTGTCAGCTCGCTCAGAATTACTTCTTTACTGGATCAATCTGGATCTCAGTGACTGAGTGCTAAGAATTGGCTTGGTTCTGGATTTGGGTCTCAGAGTGAAAGCAGAACATTGTATGCAGGACTGGAGAATCCAGTCCTAGAAGTGACAAGAGCCAGATTCCTGCAGCTAAAGCCCACTGGGATATGAAGCTGTTGCCTTGCTAGGTTTCCAGATGTGTTACTAGTAGAAATGAAAAGGGGAAAAAATCACAGTATGAATGGAGAAAATGTGTTTTTCTGATATACTTTTGTGATAGTCACAAGAGGAGGAAGATACTAAAAGGAGAAATAAATATTAATGAATAAAGAGGGGTTTGCAGTGCTTCTCAATGAGGGAGCTACCGGGCATTGGGGTGGGACAATTTTTGTCATTTAGGACTACCCTGATAGCTACCCACTGACTGCCACTAGTGCCCCCAGTTATTGTGACTAATGAAAATTTCTTATCTTCATTTTCCAATGTCTCCTGGGCTGGGGGCAGGGGTCATAAACTAACTGCAGGTTAGCAGTGACCCTGGGCCTAGTTAGCTTGGTCTTGACATAGTTTATCTAAAAATTTTTAATTTAGATTTTTTTTGTTTAGACATTCACTCTAAACCCATTTGTCACAAGTTTTTCCCATTTATTCTCCTTGCCTTTCTCCTGAGGACATTTGAATCTTCTATCCCTAGATAAGCAAACCTTAAGCTGCGGACTGTAAGGGAAGGTTATTCTGAGAGAGGTTTTTTTACCAGACTTTCACAAGACACTCCTATTTGCTGACAAATAAGGTGTCCACTCAAAATCTCACAAGCAAACCAAAGTGCAAAGACCCAAATGCCATCAGTGAAAGAGACAAAAGTTATAGCTCAAGTTTTTATTTCTTATTTTTTCTTTCTTTTTTTTAGATTTACATGTAGGCATTGAACTCAGCTATGACATTTTGGGAAGCATAATATTTGGATATTGGTGTGCAAAAATCATTCAGTGTATATTGGCTGACGTTTTTAGCAATATGCTGACTAATATCATTCTCTGCTTTTCAATGGTGTACATGACTTTCTATATTGGTAAGGCTGAAATAAATACAAAAATTACTGTCCTTAAAGTAAGTTTTATACATGTTTATTTTTTCCTGATCTTGAATCCAGTTGCTTCTCCTCCTTTTTGTGGCCCCACTGTGTGTCCTGTCATATTATTTTACTTACCTCTAGCTCTTTCCTGGTCTTTCTTAATATCCTTTTTATTTCAACTCCATGTCCAATTTCCTTGCACTGTTCTCTGTGGTTACTCTCTTGTTCTTTTTGGACTCTTCATTTGACTTTGTATATAGTCACTGGCATTCCCCAGGCAGAGGAATCAACATTGAGCTCATTTCTGCTCTAACCCTCAGAACAAACCATCTGCAAACTGAGAAGGCTAGGAGAGATGCTCCTGAGGCTTTTCTAGATCAACAGCCTTTAATTCAATGGATGCCAAATTGAGAAGACTGTAGAAATGGCAGCTCTTACTTAGGCTAAGAGTCAGGAAGGGAGAGGTATATTTATTGTTGAAAGAGAAGCAGGAGAGTGAAATAATCACAGGAGTAAGAGTGCTCAGCACTGGCTGACCTTCAGCTAGTTTAGTCCAATGAAATGGAGATTTAAGTGTTTACTGGCCTGACTGAGGTGCCCGGTCCCTAAGAGACGTAGTAACTGTGGCCAAACTGTCAAATTCCACTTTTGCTCTCATCTCAGACAGTGAAGCAACTTCGGTTCTTCAAAGACCTCAGGTATCAAGAGGTTAATTACTTCTCTTTCACCTCCAGTTACCTAAAAGCGCTGCTTCTTCTGCAGATTAATTGCCACCTGAGGGTTTCTCACTGCCCTGAATCAGTAAAATTATAGAAAGCATTCATTGAACGCTCATTTCCTTCAAATTTCTTCATTTTTCCCCTCTCCTGTGCTGCTTTTTATAGATGCCTTAAATGTTTGAAGAAAAAAATTTAATTTAGTCTATTTTTCTACTAGACTGTGAGTTCCTTGAGGTGGAGGCTCTTAGTCATCTTTTTATTTGTTCTCTTTTCTATGTTTGGAGCTTGCCATATGCCTGATAGTAATTTAACACATGTTGGTTGAATAAACTGCTACTAGTCCTCGAAGAGCTTTGGAGTTAGGCAGACTTGAGTTCAAATCTCAGCTCTGCAATTTATTAGCTTGGTGACCCTGGAAAATTACTTAACCTCTCTACGGTTCACTTTCCTTATCTTTAAAAGTGGTATGATAGGCTGGGTGCAGTGGCTCACGCCTGTAATCCCAGCACTTTGGGAGGCTGAGGCAGGCGGATCACTTGAGGCCAGGAGTTTGAGACCAGCCTGGCCAATATAGTGAAACCCTGTCTCTACTAAAAGTTCAAAAAATTAGCCAGGTGTGCTGGCGCACGCCTGTAATTCCAGCCACTGGGGAGGCTAAGTCACAAGAATCCCTTGTACCCGGGAGGCAGAGGTTGCAGTGAGCCAAGATCATGCCATTGCACTTCAGCCTGGGCAACAGAGTGAGACTCTGCCTCAAAAAAAAAAAAAAGTGTTATATCACCTAATGTATTAAGGGTATTGCAGGCATTAATGAGATAATCTGTCATGTGACTCACTCCTGCTGGTGTGCTGATAGCTCTTGCTGGCTTGCCAGAGCTGATTATCCTCCTGTCTTTCAAACTCTGTTCAAGTGACATTATGTTGAGAGCTCGAAATTGGCCACAGTGAGTCTTTACACCATAGAAATTGGAAGACACTGCAACACTGCAACTCAGGGTTCCCTCTACCGCCCCAACCTTGAACTGGGTTTTAAAAAGCTTTTTTCCCTTACTGCCTGTATAATTGCAGAAAAGAGCCGGCTTTAAACATTTACCAGCACATCACTGGGCTCAAGGTAGGGCAGTCAATAAATATGAGTTCCTATTCCCTTTTCCTTCTAAAAAATGGAGATGCTTCCAGTCAATGTGTGGCATCATCTTAACCAGATGTGTATGAATTGAGGGCAGGCAGGTAGGATGGGGTTCCCTAGAGTCTTTTAGCATTATTGCCACATTAGAAGTCTCCCATTTCTGACATACAACTTTTCAAGTTGGAATAGGGTTGTTTGGTTAAGCAGTATGAATTCCTTATGCTCATTCAGGTATATAGCCAAAAAGCTGATCAATTCAGCTCAATCCCAATTCAATTCAAATCAAATGTTTACCAAAAATATATTTGAGCATTATGAAGTCTGATTATTTTGTGCTAACTAAACGGCATCATAAGACTTTGAAGCTGATTTCTGTGAAGGAGTATAAGTCGCATAGCTGTGGAGTAAAAGGTCCTTAAACAATTGAGACACTTGTGATTTAGATTTTAGGAGGTGGAGATCGCAGAGAACTGAGCCAGGACCTTGGTTCTAGTTTAAGCTTTACCCTCAGTTCCTTCACCTGTAAAATGGGGAGACTGAGTTAGGCAGTGATGGGATGGTAAATTGGCTCTCTGGGAAGAGAAAAAGCCCCGATTTGCAGTGCTTGTCAATTTTCATGGGATAAATACATCTACTGTGGCTGATTTCAAGGATGGCTTTCGTTAGCAACCTGCTCACAAAGTTACTAAAAAATTAACAACTTTCCTGAGCAGGTACCAGGTCTCTAAGAACCAGCCTTAAACAGAATGATGATTTTCTCTAGAAATTATGCCTTTGAGATTGTAGCTGTCACCAGCAGAGAGGAAATATCTGTATTTTGGTTGCATTTGTTCAGGTAAGACTTACTGCAGAGTGTGGATGAATGATAGAAGGTAGGAATTTAGCATTAACCCCTCAGGCTTAAATACATCCCAGAGTCAGCACTTGTGTGTGCTATATATACTGATTTCAACCAACAATTCTTTGTAGCTTCAAGGCAGCGCTGTGCCGCTGCTCAGAATGAAAGCTTGCTAGGTAGCCTCCTGTTTTAGGTTGAATTGTGTCCCCCCAAAAGACGTTGAAGTCCTACATTCCAGTACCTGTAAAGGTGACTTTATTTAGAAAGAGGACCTTTGTAGATGACCAAGTTAAGATGCAGTCATTAGGGTGGGTCCTAATCCAGTATGACTGTATCCTTATAAAAAGGGGAAATTTGGACACAGCGACAGATACACATAGAGGGAAGATTATGTGAAGACACAGAGAGAATACCAGCTATAAGCCAAGGAATGCCTGAAACTACCAGAAGCTAGGAGAGAGGCCTGGGACAGAATCTCCATCACAGCCCTCAGAAGGAACTAACCCTGCTGATCTTAGACTTCTAGCTCCAGAACTGTGAGACAATACATTTCTGTGGTTTAAGCCCCCCAGTTTGTGCTATTCAATTATGGCAGTCCCAGGAAACCAATACACCTCCCTCCTTTGTTACACTTTCCTCTGCTTCAGGAATTAAAAAACAACCTCAGGCAGTCCTTTACTCATACTTAGTAAGTTCCTGAAAGCAAACTCAGAAAAAGGCAGTGTTATAAGGAGATGTTCCATAGCCGGAAAGCGAAAATGCAGATAAAATTCTCACTTATACATTCTTTAATATTACATTTCTTTCATGTTGTTTAATTTTGTTCTTTTCCCTGACTAATGAACATACCATCAATTGGCTTAAGTCCAAAAAGCATCTGATTGAGGTTGGAGAGTCACCTCTTTGAGTGTTGATGTATAATTCATGAAAGAACATGGGTTCTAGAAAAGTGTAGGCTACAGGCATTCCAAGAGGGACTCCTCCATCCTAGCAAGGAGGGATATTTTATCAAGTGACAGTGTTTAGAATTTTGGGGGAATGGAGATAATAAAAAGTAGAAGGAGTTTTTGTCATCTTTATAATTGTTTTAAAAGTCTACAAACAATGCATCCCCTTGTTGCCTGTAACTGGGGCTTATCACTTCCACTGTCCCTTCTTTATAAAATACCAATTATAGAGAATTGGAAATTGAAAGATAGTTTCCCTGTCATCACAGTTTGCGGCACTCCTGGTTTTATTGTCATTGGTTATTTAAAGTAAATTCAGTTAAATAAGTAGATAAAAAGAAGTCTAAAGTGAACTTAAGGGATTAGATAAACCAAAAGAATAGTAAACTCCTCTTTAAATTAATAAACTATTAATTTACTAAGCAACAAAGTAGATAAAAACAATTAACAGCATGATAGTATTATCACTTATTCATTGCTTTAAAAGTGTGGCAAGCATTTTCATGTTTTCTAATTTAATTTTCACAACTGTATGAGTCATAACTATTTTACACCTATTTTATAGTTACGGGGCCACTAATGGAGGAAGGTGAGGTCACATTCCAAAAGCAACCAGCTCTGCTTTCCCCCAAAGCTCTTCCAATCCTATCTTTCATGTTCTTTGTCTTCCTTTCTGTCTGACGGTTTTAATGTGCTATTTGAAGACTCTGCAGCCTAAGACTGCAGAGTATTTATGGTATTCAAATATCCTTCAGGTTGGTTTTCCTGCCTCAGACTATTAATACATTTACACATTTGTTTAGAGCCCAACAAATTACAAGTTTAATTAGGGAGGTCTATAGCTGCAAAAGAAAAGCAGGTGTAAGGAACTGGAGTCATCAGAAGCACTGAGCTTGGCTCACAACTCTCAGCACATGCAGTGCAGTATTTCTGAGATGCTTAAAGGACACCTTGAGGGCTGTTGAACTTATTTTCCATTAGCCCTATCCTCAGTGATGGTCTCCAGCAGGACTTGGCAAACTGCGACTCTTGGGCCAAATCTGCCTGTTAGCTAAAAATGGTTTTTACATTTTAAAATGGCACAAAAGAAGAATATTTTGTGGCATATGAAAATTATGTGAAATTCAGACTTCAGTGTCTATAAACCAAGTTTTACTGGACACATCCATTTACATATTATCTATGGCTGCTTTTATACTACAACAGCTGAGTTGAACCATTGTAACAGAGGCTGTATGCATCACAAACACTAAATATTTACTATGTGGCCCTTTATAGAAAAAGTTTGCCAGCCCCAGGTTTACTGGATTAGGTCAATCCCTTGAAGCAACCTTCTAAGAACTACTACTTCTCTTAAGATTCCCACCAATTCTTTATTCAAGATAAAGTGTCTCAGTGTGCAGATATGAATACATTGCATTTGATTCATTTGTTTTTTTTTTCTCCCCAGTGGAATTTTTAGGAATGTCAGGCACTCTTGCCTTAGCCGCTGTAGGACTGAATTTAGATTCTTTAACTTTTAAACCGAAGATCGAACTTGTAATTACTAAGTAAGTTTCCTATCGTGCCCTTCGATGGATCTCATAGCAGTTTAGTGCATAAGGCGTCTCGCCTTCATGGACACTAGTAAAACTCTTTTTCCATAACCTTTCTTTATCTTGAAAATTTTATTTTTGCTATCAGTTATATTTGAAAAGAATTTAAGGTGCCAACAATTATCAGCATTAATTGATACTCCTGTTATGAATAAAGTATCAGTGGCTCAGAAACCATGGTGTTTTTTATATGTAACCTGACAAAAATTTACTTTGAACCATGGAGATTTAAAGATACATTTTTTCTTTGTTTCCTTCATAATATACCTAAATAACAGTATATTAATGTGGGAAGAGCTGGAAAAGACGAGTAGCAGAAAGATGTAACATGTAACATCAATAAAACTCTTACCTACCCTTTACTCCTGGTAATAAATGCCATATGAATATCTCTGGATAGGGGGAAAATCATTTGCCTGTCTGTGCAGAGAAATAAGTTAGCCTTTCTCTGAAAGACTATGATAAATTAGAGAATTGGTTCAGAATTATCGAATACCAAATCATCGTCTAATGTAGAAATTCCCACATCAGATGAAAACAAATGTCGAACTGAGAAAAATAAGCCGTAATCCTGAGTTTTCCCATGAAAATTAATTTATTTAATATAAGGACTATGCATTACTATGAAATTATGTCCGTTCTACTTTTTTGTTGTTTATAATGTCCTTTCTTTTATGACATTCCAATGATAGAAGATGGTATTTTCTTTTCTACTCGGCAAAATGAAAAAACATGGGCGGCCGGGCACGGTGGCTCACGCCTGTAATCCCAGCACTTTGGGAGGCCGAGGCAGGCGGATCACGAGGTCAGGAGATCGAGACCATCCTGGCTAGCATGGTGAAGCCACATCTCTACTAAAAATACAGAAAAAATTAGCCGGGCGTGGTGGCAGGCTCCTGTAGTCCCAGCTACTTGGGAGGCTGAGGCAGGAGAATGGCGTGAACCCGGGAGGCGGAGCTTGCAGTGAGCCGAGTTCGCACCACTGCACTCCAGCCTGAGTGACAGAGCGAGACTCTGTCTCAAAAAACAAAAACAAACAAACAAACAACAACAACAACAAAAAACATGGGCACCTAAAACTATTCCAGTTTTGTGCGTATGTGAATGAAACATTACTGTGTTTTTAAATCCAGAAGCTTGGGAATAACCAGTTCATAGAACATCTACTTGGTGTAATGCTCAATTTAGACCGTTTCCTGAGCTCAGTGGTGCTGTCTGTTGACATAATTATAAATTACTTTCTATTCACTCAATTGTTTATTTTTTCACCCATTCGACCAATCCTTTCTTAATGTCTGGTGTGGTCTGGATGTTGCATCTTAGGTCTGGGGCCACGAAAATAAGTCCCTTCTCAGAAGTGCTCCTTGTTAAGTGGCAGACATGTTTATATAAGAAAGTAACAATATGTGTGAATAATTACATATTTATTCAGGTTCTACTGTATACATAATGCATTTTTTAGGTCCTGTAGAGAGAATTGAAAAAAAATTTCTTTTGAGACAGGATCTTGCTTTGCCTTCCAGGCTGAGGGGCAATGGCACTATCAAAGCTCACTATGGCCTCCACCTCCAGGGCTCAAGCGATCCTCCCACCTCAGCCTCTCAAGTAGCTGGGACTACAGGCATGCACCAGGATACCTGGCTAATTTTTCGTATTTTTTGTAGAGATGGGGTTTCACCGTGTTTCCCAGTCTGGTCTCAAACTCCTGGGCTCAAGCAATCTATCCTCCTCAGCCTCCCAAAATGTTGTGATTACATGCATGAGCCATTGTGCCCACATGACATTTTTTTAAAAGTATTTAACTCAGGCCGGGTGCGGTGGCTCATGCCTGTAATCCCAGCACTTTGGGAGGCCAAGACGGGCGAATCACGAGGTCAGGAGATCAAGACCATCCTGGCTAACATGGTGAAACCCTGTCTCTACTAAAAATACAAAAAATTAGCCGGGCGTGGTGGCGGGTGCCTGTAGTCCCAGCTACTCAGGAGTCTGAGGCAGGAGAATGGCGTGAACCTGGGAGGTGGAGCTTGCAGTGAGCCGAGATCGCACCACTTGCACTCCAGCCTGGGTGACAGAGCAAGACTCTGTCTCAAAAAAAAAAAAAAAAAAAAAAGTACTTAACTCAGTCAGTTATTCCATGACTTCTGAATTTTTTGAAAACTATGCACTGGGGTTTGAGGTCCCCTCACTCAAACTCTTCCCCAGTAGGGGTTCAGAACCAATTGAATTAAGAGATAGAAATCACTTGGAGAACCAAACTGTCTCCTTGATTGGGGTAATGCTGTGTGTATCGAAGAACATGATTTATGTCTGCAGCTAAAACGAGGCTTCCTTATGCTTCTTTCCGAGCATAAATTTTGAGATCCACCTGTAAGGAGAATGGTTTGTGGGGCAGATGCACTTACCCAGTCAGCTGAAAGGGAAAGTCTCAAGAGAGAGAGTCTAGAGGAGGCAGGCCTTGAGATCTGCTTGTGGAAGTCACACTTGGGTCTGACCCAGGCGTGCTACCACATGGAACCATACAGAACAGAACATGTACTCTACTGAGGCCTCAGCCCCCTGCCCTAACCCACATGCTCTGGTCTACTCAGCAAGAATCTCTGGGGGTGGTTCTGTCCATTTTTAGAATTCAGTCTGGGTGATTCTAATGCTTTCTTCTGCTTAAAAACTACATTAGTGCAGACAGTCAGCACCGTAGGAATTCAGAGCAGGACCACCTCCACCTAGGGTGCTTAAGATGCTTTCATGGACAACATGGGATTAGAGTTAGCCTTACAAGACTTTTAGGAATTCAGTAGACAGGAAAGCAGACAGGAGAGACTTTCAAAGTAAATAGAAGAGTACATGTGAGTCACAGAGGGAGAGGTTGTGCAGAGAGCATTGAGATGATCGTATTAGCTATTGCAAAGTCAAAGTTACCGAGGTACCTACTAGTAGCAACTACAACTCCGGGTTTAGCAGTAGCAGGCCCAAGAGTTGACATGCTCCCACTGAATCCCAGAGAAATTGATAAATCATCAGCTGGGGGAGGTCCTCATTTTTCTGCTTTGCTCTTATTATTCTACTGTGAGAAGCAGCCCATGGGTATTGGTGTGATGAAGGTAATGAAAAATATGGAACTGGGTGCTTTTAGATCCAACAAAATTCTTTTAAATGTTGACTATAACAGAGATGAAGGCAAGGGCCTCTGCTAAGACAGCATGGTAGATATAAGATATATGATTTTATATGAAAAGGAAAATATATTTTTAAGATGATTGCTTAAAATGTCATTTCTATTTCATTCATCCTAGGTTCTTAAGAATTTTTTCATCTGTATATGAACATTTAATATATGCTTTCTTTGGCATTGTGATTGGATGTGGAGAACTCAGCCACTATGAATTTCACACTATACCTTTCATATTCATTTTATTTACAACAGTGAATTTGGTAAGGTAAGAATAATATTTTAAAGTTTGTTTACTAAACTGAGATTCTCAAGGCCAGAATTAGAATTAGGAAGCAGTGGCATACAGCAAAAAGGGCTCTGGACATGGAGCCAGGAAACCGGCATTGTTATCAAGGCCTTGACAATAGCTTGCTGTGCAACTTGGGGTAAGTGTTTATTTTTCAAGATTTTATCCATAAAATGAGAGGGATCGGCGTCACCCATAAGCTAGACAGAAATGCATATTCATGAGCCCATCTCAACCTACTGAATCAAATCTCTAAATATGAGATCCAGGAAATAGTTTTAACATGCTCTTCAGGTAGTTTGTATGCATGTTAAAGTTGAGCATCACTGGACCAGATTAATTGCTCTTAACATTTTTGTTGAATTTCACCATAATTTATTATCGTCAATAGCTATGAGAAAGCCACTATCATGCTATGTACCAATAGCTGTGATAATGCAGTTACCATGTACTGTATGCCATTGATGTGAATATCACTTTGTGATGTATGTGTTATTGCATCACTTCACAGACGAAGCCCAGAGAATGTAAAAACCTGCCTAGAGTCACTCAACTCATAAGAGCAAATTTGGTATTTAAACCTGACTCCATGAGCATCCTTATTCTAGAATGGCATTGCCCACTGATGGTAGTTGTGTCTTCCATAAGAATTTATGGCAATGTCTCCAAAAACACTGTCATTTTCACTCAGGATGGTGGCCAGGGTAGCTTGTCTTATAGTATGTTCCCATGGAAACTTGAGTCTGCTAACGCAAGGCACTGCATGCAACTCAGATAGTCACTCTCACACAGAAGGCTGTGTACACAGCCCTGAGTGCTACCCCTATCCCCCACCTCATCAGAGTGGGGCCTAAATTGGTGCCTACCTGCTGTTCCCATGCAGCTGTGAAATCAGTAGCCATCTTATCATCTTTTCTCTGCCTCTCTGTCTGGACTCTTAAAAAACAGTTTTTAAGTTAGTCATTGCTCCCTAGTATAATTTAGGTGTTTATGTTTATTTCTGGATCCAAATTCCATCTCCCACACTTGTTAGCTTTGTGACTATGTAACTATGTGACTTTGGGTCATTACTTAATCTAAGTTTCAATTACTTATCTGTAGACTGGGCATAATAATAGATCATCTCAGAGGGTTGCTGTGAGGATTCAATGAGGTAATGCAAGTACAAGAATTTAGCACCATGCCTGGCACATAGTAAATGCTCAGTGAAGTGAGTTTTTGCCATGATTGTGGCTATCCTTATTTTCTCAGGATAAGACACAACTTTTGAAGCTTCAGAATAATGAAAGGATTCCCCAAAGAAATTATCAGTAGGTTTTAAAACAAAACATTATTAATAAAATTAAAACATGAAAACAAACCACCACTGTATTTGTTAATTCTTTCAGCAGATATTTATCAAGCACCTACTAAATGTCAGGCATTGTTCCAGGCACTTAGGACACCTCAGTGGACAAAATACTCTGAAAACATGAAAATTTCTGCCATCATGGAGTTTACAATGTAATTGGGGTTTTCAGAAAAAAAACCAAAATCATGTTAAATGAAGAATATAATATATTAGAAAATAATAAAGACTATGAAAATAAATAAAGCATGGTGAGGAAGTTGGATGTGCCAGCACTAGATGGCAAGCTGCAATTCAACCCAGTGGGCAAGGTAGGCCTCAATGAGAAAGTGACATTTGAATAAAGATATGAAAGAGGTGAGGGAGCCAGGCAGATGGGGGGAAAGACTCATAATTGTACATGCCCTAAGGGAAGGGCCAGCCTGGTATGTGCAATAAACAGCAGGGAGGCCTTGATCACTGAAACAGAGAGAGGGGAGAGCAGGAGATGAGGATAGATAGGTAAGTATGAAAAAAAGTAAGAGAAAGAACCCACGTATGAATACCTTTGTGAGTTAAGAAAACACCTGGAAGGATGTACATCAGCCCCGTAAGAGTGGTTACTTTCCTCTGGGGAATGGGATTTGTGAAGGGGAATAAAGTCAGGGCATTTTAGCTTTTAAAATGTTTACTGAGGATGGAGCAAGATGGCTGATGAATAGAAGGCTCCACTGATCATCCCTCTCACCCCCCTGCAGGAACACCACATTTTAACAGCTATCTGCACACAAAAAAGCACCTTCATAAGAACCAAAAATCAAGTGAGTGATCACAGTACCTACTTTAAAATTCATATTGCAGAAAGAGGCACTAAAGAGGGTAGGAAAAACAGTCATGGATTGCTGACACCACCCCTCCCCAGTCCTCCCCACCACAAAGCAGCTGTGTGGTGCAGAGAGAGAATCTGTGCACTTGGGGAAGGGAGACCACAGCAACTGGGGGAATTTGCACTGAACTTAGTGCTGCCCTGTGACAGTGGAAAGCAAAACTGTGCTGAACTCAGCCAGCACCTGCCCACAGAGGGAACATTTAGACCAGCCCTAGCCAGAGGGGAAGCACCCATTCCCGTGGTAGAAACTTGAGTTTCTCAGCAAGCTGTGGGATACTAAGTGAACTTGGAAGGCAGCCTAGGATATAAGGACTGCAATTCTTAGGCAAGTCCTGATGCTGTGCTGGTCTCAGAGCCAGTGGACCGGGGCAGTGCGTGACCTAGTGAGACAGCAGACAGGGTGGCTTGGGGAGTATTTGTGCCACCCCTCCCACAGCCTCAAGCAGCGCAGCTCAGAACAATGAAAGTGACTTCTTCCTTCTGCTTGAGGAGAGGAGAGTGAAGAGAACTTTGTCCTGCATCTTGGATACCAGCTCAACCACAGCAGAATAGGGCACTGGGCAGAGTTTTGAGGCCCCCAGTTCAGGCTCTAGTTCCTGGACAACATTTCTAGACACACCCTGGGTCAGAAGAGAAACTGCTGTCTTGAAGGGAAGGACCCAGTCCTGGCAGGATTCATCACCTGCTGACTAAAGAGCTCTTGGGCCTTGAGTAAATAACAGCAATACACAGGTGGTATGCTGTGGGCCTTGGGTGAGACTCAGATGTGCTGGCTTCAGGTACCAGCTTGGCCACAGTGGGGTAGACACCAAGTAGGCTTTTGGGGTCCCAAGTCCAGGCCTAGGCATTCTTGAACTTGCCCTGGGCCAGAGGGGAGACCTCTGCCCTGAAGGGTGAGTCCCAGGCCTGGCAGCATTCATTAAAAGCTGGCTTGAAGAGCCCTTGGGCCTTAAGTGAACATGGGTGGTGGTGTGGCAGAACTCCCTTGGGACTGGTGGTAGTGGTGGCCATAGGGAGAGGCTTTCCTGCCTGTGGAAAAAGGAGGAAAGAGTGGGAAGAACTTTGTCTTATGGTTTGAATACCAGCGTAATCACAATAGAATAGAACACCAGGCAGATTTCTAAGGCTTTTCATACTACTTTTTATTTTTTATTTCTTTTTGGGACAGGGTCTTGCTGTGTTGCCCAGGCTGGTCTTGAACTCCTGGGCTCAAGCGATTCTCCTGAATTGCTTGAGAAGAAAGAATTAGTCAGCTTGAAGACAGACTATTCAAGAATACACAGTCAGAAGACGCAAAAGAAAAAAGAATAAAAAAGAATGCGGCACACCTACTAGGAAATAACCTCAGAAGGGCAAGTCTAAGTGTTATTGGCCTTAAAGAGGCAGTAGAGAAAGAAATAGGGGTAGAAAGTTTATTCAAAATGGTAATATCAGAGAACTTCCCAAACCAAGGGAAAGATATCAATATTCAAGTACAAGAAGGTTGTAGAACGCTGAGCAGATTTAACCCAAAGAAGGCTACCTCAAGGCATTTAATAATCAAACTGCCAAAGATCACGGATAAAGAAAGGACCCTAAAAGCAGAAAAGAAGCCACTTACAATGAAGCACCAATCAAGCAGAAATTCTAGAATAAAAAATGCAAGTGACATACTGAGGAATGCATTAGAGTCTCTTAATAGCAGAATTGATCAAGCAGAAGAAAGAATTAGTGAGCCTGAAGACAGGCTATTTGAAAATATGCAGTCAGAGGAGACAAAAGGCAAAAGTCTGGCAGCAGACTTTTCGGTGGAAACCTTACAGACTAGGAGAGAGTGGCATGACATATTTAAAGTGCTGAAGGAAAATAACTTTTACCCAAGAATAGTATATCTGTGAAAATATCCTTCAAACATGAAGGAGAAATGAAGACTTTCCCAGACAAACAAAAGCTGAGGGATTTCATCAACATCAGACCTTTCCTAGAAGAAATGCTAAAGGGAGTTTTTCAATCTGAAAGAAAAGGATGTTAATGAGCAATAAGAAATCATCAGAAGATATAAAACTCACTGGTAATAGTAGGTACACACAAAAACATAGAATACTATGACACTGTAATTGTGGTGGGTAAACTACTCACATTTTGAATAGAAAGACTAAAAGATGAACCTATCAAACATGATAATTTCAACAAATTTTCAGGACACAGACTTACTGGTAATAGTGGGTACATGGAAAATCATGGACAATTATAACACTGTCTGGCAATTCCTCAAAGAGCTAAAAGAGGAACTGCCATTTGGCCCAGCAATCTCATTATTGGGTATATACCCAGAGGAATATAAATCATTTTACTATAAAGACACATGAACGTGAATGTTCATTGCAGCACTATTCACAATAGCAAAGGCATGGAATCAACCTAAATGCTCATCAATGCCAGATTGGATAAAGAAAATGTAATACATATACACCATGAAATACTATGCAGCCATAAAAAAGACTGAGATCATGTCTTTTGTGGAACATGGATAGAGTTGGAGGTTATTATCCTTAGCAAACTAACACAGGAACAGAAAACCAAACACTACATGTTATAACTTACAAGTGGAGGCTAAATGATAAGAACTTACGAATACAAAGAAGGAAACAACAGACACTGAGATCTACTTGAGGTGGGAGGATGGGAGGAGGGAGAGGAGCAGAAAAAGTAACTATTAGGTACTGGGCTTAATACCTTCATGATGAAATAATAGGTACAACAAACCCCTGTGACACGTGTTTACCTATGTAACAAACCTTCACGTGTACTCCCAAACCTAAAATAAAATATTTAAAAAACGCTGTAATTGTGGTGTGTAAACTACTCCTAAGTAGAAATGCAAAATGACAAACTACATTTGTTGTAGTTGTAATTACTTCAACAACTTTTCAAGACATAGACAGTACATACAATAAGATATAAAGAAACAACAAAAAGTTAAATAGCAGGGGGGTAAAGTCAAAGTGTATCGTTTTTTATCAGTCTTCTTTTTGCTTATTTCTTCGTTTATGCAATTAGTGTTAAGTGTCATCAATTTTAAATGATGGGTTATAAGATAGTATTTACCAGCTTCATGGTAACCTTAAATTAAAAAATACAACAGATACACAAAGAATTAAAAGCAAGAAATTAAATCATACTGCCAGTGAAAATCACCTTCATTGAAAGGGCTGGAAGGAAGGAAAGAAGAAAGAGAAGACCACAAAACAACCAGAAAGCAAATAACAAAATAGTAGCAGTAAGTCCTTACTTATCAATAATAACATTGAATGTAAATGGACTAAACTCTCCAATCAAAAGACAGAGTGGATGAATTAATAATAAAAAACAAGACCCAATGATCTGTTGTCTCCAAGAAAAACACTTCACCTATAAAGATACATATAGACTGACAATAAAGGGATGGAAAAAGACATTCCATGCCAGTGGAAACCAAAAAAGAGCAAGAGTAGCTATACTTCAGACAAAATACATTTCAAGACAAAAACTGTAAGAAGAGACAAAGAAGGTCATTATATAATGATAAAGGAGTCAATTCAGCAAGATGGTATGACAGTTTTAAATGTATATGCACTCAACACTGGAGCACCCAGATAAAACAAATATTATTAGTGCCAAAGAGAGAGAAACCTCAATGCAATAATAACAGACTTCAACACCCCACTTTTGCCATTGGACAGATCTTCCAGACAAAAATATTAACAAAGAAACATTGGACTTAATTTGCACCATGGAACAAATAGACCTTATAGATATTTACAGAACATTTTGTCCAAGAGCTGCAGAATACACATTTTTCTCCTCAGCACATGGATCATTCTGAAGGACAGACCATATGTTAGATCATAAAACAAGTCTTAAAAGGTTCAAAAAAGCTGAAATAATATCAAGCATTTTCCAGAATAAAACAAGAAATCAATAACAAGAAGAATTTTGCAAACTATACAACACAGGTAAATTAAACAAAATGCTCCTGAATGAAAGTGCATCAATGAAGAAATTAAGAAGGAAACTGAAAAATTTCTTGAAACATATGATAATAGAAACACAACATACCAAAACTTATGGGATGCAGCAAAAGCAGTACTAAGAGGGAAATTTATAGTTACATGTGCCTACATCAAAAAAGAAAAAAAAAAAACTCCAAGCAAATAGCCTAATGATACATCTTAAAGAACTAGAAAAGGAAGAGCAAACCAAACTCAAAATTGGTAGATGAAAAGAAATAATACATATTAGAGCACAAATAAATGAAATTGAAATGAAAAAAATAGGAAATATAAATGAAACAAAAAGTTGGTTTTTTGAAAAGATAAACAAAAATGACAAACCTTTACCTAGACTAAGAGAAAAAGAGAGAAAATCCAAATAAATAGAATCAGAGATGAAAAGTGAGACATTATGATTGATACCACAGAAATTCAAAGGATCATTACTGGTTACCATAAGCAACTATATGCCAATAAATTGGAAAACCTAGAAGAAATGGACAAATTCCTAGACACATACCACCTACCCTACCTAAATCATGAAGAGATCCAAAACCTGAACAGACCAATAACAAGTAATGAGATCAAAACTGTAATAAAAAGTCCCCCAGCAAAGATAAGCCCTGACCTGATGGCTTCTACCATGCTGAATTCTACCAAACATTTAAAGAAGAATAATACCCATTATACTCAAATTATTCTGAAAAATAGAGGAGGAGGAAATACTTCCAAACTTGTTCTAAGAAGTCAGTATTACCCTGATACCAACACCAGACAAAGACACATCAAAAAAAGAAAACTTCAGGTCAATATCTCTCATGAATATTGATGTAAAAATCCTCAACAAAATGTAAGCAAACATAATTCAACAATGCATTAAAAAGATCATTCATCATGATCATCCCTGGGACTTATCCCAGGGATGCAGGGATGGTTCAACATATGCAAATCAATCTATGTGATACATCATATCAACAGAATGAAGGACAAAAACCATGTAATCATTTCAATTGATGATGAAAAAGCATTTGATAAAATTCAGCATGCCTTCATAATAAAAACATGCCTTCATGATAAAAAAAAGACATTCCACGTTCATGAATTGGAAGGATCAATATTGTTAAAATGTCCATACTATCTAAAATGATCTAGAGATTCAATGCAACCTCTATCAAAATACCAATTACGTTCTTCACAGAAATAAGAAAAATAATTCTAAAATTTATGTGGCAACACAAAAGACCCAGAATAACCAAAGGTAATCTGAGCAAAAAAAACAAAAGTGGAGGAATCACATTACTTAACTTCAAATTATACTGCAGAGCTATAGTAATGAACACAGCATGGGAATGGCATAAAAACAGACACATAGACCAATGGAACAGAAAAGAGAACCCAGAAATAAATCCATATGTCTACAGTGAACTCTTTTTTGACAAAGGTGACAAGAACGTATATTGGAGAAAGAACAGTCTCTTCAATAAATGGTGCTGGGAAAACTGGATATCCATAAGTGAAAGAATGAAACTAGGCACCTAACTCTCACCACATGCAAAAATCAAATCAAAATGGATTAAATATGTAAATCTAAGACCTCAACCTATGAAACTACTGCAAGAAAACATTGGGGAAACCCTCTAGGACACTGGTCTGGGCATAGATTTCTTGAGTAATAATCCACAAGTGCAGGCAATCAAAGAAAAAATGGACAAATTAGATAACATAAAGTTAAAAAGCTTCTGTATAGTAAAGGAAACAATCAACAAATTGAAGAGACAACCCACAGAATGGGAGGAAACCACCCATCTGTACAGTGGTGCATGCCTGTAATCCCAGCTACTTGGGAGGCTGAGGCAGGAGAATCGCTTGAACCCGGGAGGCAGAGGTTGCAGTGAGCTGAGTTTGCACCACTGCACTCCAGCCTGGGCGACAGAGTGAGACTTTGTCTCAAAAAAAAAAAAAAAAAGAAAAAGAAAAAAAGAAAAAAGAAAACTACCCGGCCAGGCACGGTGGCTCACGCCTGTAATCCCAGCACTTTGGGAGGCCGAGGCGGGCAGATCATGAGGTCAGGAGATCGAGACCATCCTGGCTAACAGGGTAAAACCCTGTCTCTACTAAAAATATAAAAAATTAGCCAGGCGTGGTGGCAGGCGCCTGTAGTTCCAGCTATTCGGGAGGCTGAGGCAGGAGAATGGCATGAACCCGGGAGGCAGAGCTTGCAGTGAGCCGAGATCGCGCCACTGCACTCCAGCCTGGGTGACAGAGCAAGGCTCCATCTCAAAAAAAAAAAAAAAAAAGAAAAGGAAAAGAAAACTACCCATCTGGTGAGAGTTTCATAACCAGAATATATAAGGAGCTCAAACAAGTCATAGGAAAACATCTAACAATCTGATTAAAAAATGGGCAAAAGATCTGAGTAGACACTTCTCTAAAGAAGACGTACAGATGGCAAACAGGTATATGAAAATGTGCCCAACGTCATTGATCATCAGGGAAATGCAGCTCAAAACTACAGTAAGATATCATCTGATCCCAGTTAAAATGGCTTTTATCCAAAAGACAGGCAATAACAAATGATGGTAAGGATGTGGAGAAAAGGGAACTCACATACACTGTTGGTGGGAATGTAGATTAGTACAACCACTACAAAGAATATTTTGGAGGTTCCTCAAAAAAGTAAACACAGAGTTATATCATTCAGCAATCACACTGCTGCATATATACTCCAAATAAAGGAAATCAGTATATCAAAGAAGTATCTGCACTCCCATGTTTATTGCAGCACTATTCACAATAACCAAGATTTGGAAGCGACCTAAGTGTCCATTAACAGATGAATGGGTAAAGAAAATGTGGTACATATACACAATGGAATACTATTCAGCCATAAAAAAGCATGAGATCCTGTCATTTGCAACAATATGGAAAGAACTGGAGGTCATTATGTTAAATGAAATAAGCCAGGCACAGAAAGACAAATTTCACATGTTTTCACTTATTTGTGGGATGTAAAAATTAAAACAATTGAACTCATGGAGGTAGAGAGTAGAGGGATGGTTACCAGAGGCTGGGAAGGGTAGTAGGGGGATAAGGGGGGAAAGTGGAGGATGGTTAACAGGTACAAAAAATAGAATGAGTAAAACCTAGTATTTGATGGCACAACAGGGTGACTATAGTTGATAATTTAATTGTACAATTAAAAATAACTAAGAGAGTCTAACTGGATTGTCTGTAACACAAAGGATAAATGCTTGAGGGCATAGATACCCGATTTAGCATGATGTCATTATTATGCATTGCATGCCCCGTATCAAATGTCTCATGTACCCCATAAATACACACACCTACTCTGTACCCACAAAAATTAAAAATTAAAACATTTTTAATATACTTTTTTACTGTTTGAGGTTTTTTCAGTATTCATGTATTGTTTTATCATTTAAAACCAAGATAAAGTAACTAGATTGGCCTTCTCTTCCCGGTCCTTCCTGGAGTTGGGAAAAGCTGGGTTGAGGGAGCGTTAAAAAAAAATTATGAAGGATACGACAAGTTCATAAAAGAAGAAATATGAGTGGCTAAAACATTTTTAAGTTTCAAACTCACTAGAAATTTTTGAAAATAAAAGGAAAAGTGGTAAAATCAGTGGTTCCTAAAAACCATGCATTCAGCCCTGTGAGACTGTGATAAAGACCTTGTGGAACACTGGCCCTGCCCCCCTCATCAGCTGGCTCAAAGGACCCTCTTCTGCTTGCTGTCTTCATTCCAAACACGTGTGACAAAGTTCCTCAGATACTTGTTTCTTCAGGTCCTTCCAAGGCTATCCTCTGGCTGCCCTTCATCCTGGCCCCCCGTGGCTTCAGATTACAGGACAAACGATCCTTGCTTAGGGAAAGCCTCCCTGCTTCTTGTCCCTGCTGTCCGCCTCCACCAGGGGAGGCACCGCTCTCCCACACTCTTTCTCACTGTATAGTTCTCCTTTTAGCACTCCCTGCAAGTATTATAGAATACTTACTTGTATAGTTAATGATTTAATGTTTGTTTCCGCAGTGAAATGTAATCCCTGGGGGAAGGGATCAGCTCTCTTGATCTCTACAACATTCTTAGATTCTGGAATAAAATTTTTATATATATTTGTTGAATGACTAAATAACTGTAAGAATCTTATAAATGTTTGTATTCCACTTCTAAGAATGTGATTTAAAATGTGGAGTGGATAATGTGCTCATCAAATTATATATGCTAAATACGTGCAGATTTCTGTATACCAATGAAGCTGTTAAATTATTTTAAAAATCTGGATGATGATTTATTCAATGTATTTTCATTGTAGTTGTATTCATAGAGATGAAAAATTAGAAAGAATCCAAAGGTCCTGAGGGGTGTGAATTATGGACAAGAAAATCTTGTACTTTCCTTTTATAAAATCACTTACCCTTGACGTGTGTATTTTTAAGATTAATAGAAAATTGTTCCTAATCTGTTAATAAGCTCCACTATGTATAAAATGTTTAAAGAATATTTAAAATTAATAATCTTTTAAGGTAGACTGAAAGCTACAATTTGTGAGATTGCTTGCATTTATGATAATCAGAAAAATAAACATTATGAAACGCATTAAAAGATATTTTTAAAAATCCAGACCTCAGGATTTCGCTTTGATGAGGTACAAAATTAGAAAAAAAAGTATAATTGATTTCCACCTTGACAAAGATTAATTTGGCCTTTTTGATGTTGCAGTCAACACTTCTAGGGAGCTCTGAATGTTTTTCAATAGTCATTGGGCACAGGGGCTAGTTTCTGACTTGAACGATGACCTTAATGAATTTTTTTCCTATAGAGTTGTAATGGGCATATAACTTAATTCCTATTATAACGGTGCCCAGATTTTTAGTACTCAAAAAAATGAAATTTTATTTCTAGAACTGGCTTTACTACATAGCTGTGAGCTGGATCCTGGTGGATTTAGTTTACATATAATCAGGTAAATTCATTCCAATCTAGTGACTTCCCAGGTCAGTTCAGGATTGTTGGATTAGTTACAGTTGGGGGTGTGTGTGTGTGTGTGTGTGTGTCTGTGTCTGTGTGTGTGTGTATCTTATGTGATTGGTCAGTCCTTGGGGGAATGGGTGGGAGTGGCTGATCTTTTTCATGTATGATTGGTCACTGGTGGTGGCAATGGAAGGGACCAGTGATCATCAATTTATCTGGTCAAGCCTGTTCTGGGACCAGTTGCTGATGTCCTTGAAGGCTGTCACCTGGACAGGGGCTCTAGTCAGGACTCTGTTGTATCTAAGTCCCTCAGGTTAGTCATACTCCTGAGAGATTGTCAGACTTCCCATCCATACTCCATTCATCAGCAGGACCCCACATTTCTCTGACAAGCTTCCCCCCAGTGTGAAGAGCTGGAACTAAGGGTAGAACAGAGACACTGTCTCCTATTAACTCTTTAGTCTGAGGTCAGAGGATGCTGATTCAGCTAATTCTACTTCCAGGTCTTGGTTGTACAGCTATGCAAACTTGCCTTAAAAAATAAGTAGTCTTTCAGCTTAGAAGCCAAACAATATGGTACATTTTTTTCACTGGTCTCTGGTGACATCCCTCACTCCCACCTCCATCCCAGGCAAACAGCAACCCCACATCTCTTTCTCTAAAAAGGAGTGACCGTGTGAATACAATAGGACTTGCTGTTTGAAGTCTCAAGGTTCACAGAGATGCATAAAACACAGCATCTCTCCTCAAGAAGTTTATATTCTAGTTGGAGGGATAAAATAAATATATAAATAACTATAACATAAGGAAAGATAAGCTTCATATGGGAGGCTTAAGAAATGTGGTATGGGGCCGGGCACGGTGGCTCACACATGTAATCCCAGCACTTTGGGAGGCCAAGGCAGGTGGATCATGTGAGGTCAAGAGTTCAAGACAAGCCTGGCCAACATGGTGAAACCCTGTTTCTACTAAAATACAAAGATTAGCTGGGCGTGGTTGCACATGCCTGTAGTCCCAGCTACTCAGGAGGCTGAGGCAGGAGAATCGCTTGAACCTGGGAGACAGAGGTTGCAGTGAGCCAAGATCACTCCACTGCACTCCAGCCTGGGTGATAGAGTGAGACTCTGTCTAAAAAAAACAATAAAAATTAAAAATTAAAAAGAAAGAGAGAAGGAACAAGAAACGTGTTATGGGGCTTCATAGCTAGCTGCGGGGTTCTGTGCAAAGCCTGCTCTGTGCTAGATTTACAAATTCAAAGGAGTCATAGGTTGGGTTTCCTGGAAGCAGATTCTGAGAGGGAGGGTTGGGACAGTTGTTGGCAGAAGGTTTATTGGGCAAGTGTGGAAGGCAGAGTTGGGCAAGGGGACAAGCTGACCTACAGCACAGTTTCATCCAAGGCTCCCCTGAGCTTTGGGAAACTGTGGAGCTGGAAGAGCCCTTCAGAGTCATCCCACACTGAGACAAGGGAACAGGCCTTTGTATCTCTGCATAATGCAGTCATTGGCCAAGGGCTATCCCTTGAGAGGCAACAACTTTGAGTAGGGCAGGTCCCTGTGGCCCAGAGCAATGTGCAGTGAGAGGCAGAGCCATGCAGGCCCACTTAAATCCTCAAATCCCTACCAGTTGGGGGATGGGCTATCGGCCCTGAAGAGGATGTCTAAATGGAACACCACAATATCCACTATAAAAGGAGTGGTGTTCCTGCAATATATTAAAGTGTTTTATTTTTCGTATTACACTTCTTTATGTATGAACTTCCTTCTATTCAGCTAAAAAAGGATTAAGATTTTATGATGAAATTCCAAAATAAAGAGTTTATATGTAGCTCCTGATTTCTGAATATTTTTGAGACCCCACAATGAGACAACAGTTCTGAAAGCCAGGCTTTGCTGAAGAAGACTTTGTTAAATTCTGAAAATACCCTTTTTTCATATCAACAGACAAGCTTGGTAGATTCGGATTATATAATTTTATTTTATGCCATGGTGAAGATGATGGAGGTTATGACAAACAGGAAGGGGACGTAGAACATTGCTGATTATAGAGGGGGTTGAGATTAGGGTGAGGAGACTGCTCCACCCCTATCATATCCCCACCTATACCTCCTGTTTGGAACTCTGAGAAAATATAGCCTCCTAGAGTGACATGGGCCTAAGGCTACTGAGTAGAAATGGTGGGTTGACCTATGTAAGTAGACAGTAGGCCCGAGATTGTACTTTTGATCCTTCCTTAATCTGTTTCTGACATGGAAGGAATCTGAAGTTCTTTCCTCCTCTGTGGTGAATTCAGAAGATATTTGGTGAGTTTGCCAGAAGGGTCACCAAAGTGAGCCCATGTTGGAGGGCTGCATGGGAGACCACTCAAACCTAGGGTCAAATGGGAGTGGCAGCAGACCTCAAGGGATCTGCAGTGCTGGGTGGTGGTGGTCATTTAGTTGGCAGAGGAGACAGGTCATCTGAGCAATTACCATGCATTGGCCTTGCTGAAAAAAATAGACCAAGAATACTTCCCAGTAGATGTCTCAAGAACAGGGGCCAAAGGCCAAACACAAGTAACACAAAACACCTAAATCAATAGATGTTCTCTGCAACACTTTCCCTGATGCCATGAGTTATGTGAATTTCCTTCTACACCCAGACCCTGTCTTGGAAAGGCAGGGCAGGGGGAGCATCTTGGAAAACAGGAGAAACTGCTCTTTATAGGGAACTTTGAATTGACTATCTGTATAGGCAAGACTAAGTTATACCCAAAGAATCTTTAAACTAGAAAAGACTAAATTATTCCATTTGAAAGTTAACATTTCGTTCTGCCACGAGAGCTCATGTGTAAGCTGAGATTGGTCATAAAGAAAGAAACATGGCTTTAGCACAATGTTTGACTCAGGTACACATCCATTATCTCATTTCATCTTCATAACAACACTAGGAGATAAGAATTATCATCTCCAATTATTTATCTCTGTTATTTTCTACACTTTAAAGAAATCAACCCCCAGAAAAGCAAAGGACCTTTTCCAAGGTCAAATGGCTAGTGAGTGCCAGAGATCTTGCTGAACTGATGGTTCCACATCACTAGAGGAAAGGCTTTAATGGAGGGAATTATCCTTAAGTTGGCCCTCGAAGTGTGTGTGGGTTTTCTGTAAAGACTAGAGAAAAATATTTCAGAGAGGATGAGCCAAGATAGAGAAATGGGAATACACGAACATAGTAAGCATTGCTGATTGAATATTTTGTATGGATACATATGTATCATATATAGTCATAATTATGTATTGATAATGTATTGAGTGCTGACCACCTGCAAAGCATCATTCTAAGCCCTGAGTATTGCCTTATTTAATTGAATTACCACAATAATCCTTTGAGGCAAGTACCATTGTTATTATCTTCATTTTACAGATGAAGAAGCTGAGACAGAGAGATTAACTTGCTTATGTAGTTATGCAGTTAGTAAAAGGCAAGGCTAGATTTAACACAGGTAGGCTGACTTCAGAGTATTTGCTGTTCTGCCTCCCTGTTTTTGATATCAGGAAATGACATAAGTTGTTTCTATTTTGGTTGGACTCTGATATTTTAGGGAAAGGTTATTTAGTAAGCCTGAAAAGGTTGGTAAGAGTCACGTTGCAAAAGGCTTGAATGCAAGGCAGAGGAGTTTGCCCAAATAATTATATACATTATAGGTGGTAATTGTAGATTTTCTGTTTCTCAATGACAGGAATTCTCTAAATTGACTTGTGCAATTATAGTTGATCAACTGACACACAATATTTTTTTTTGAGGCTAAGAACACATCTGTTTTCACTTTCGCTGAAATTTCATTTGTTCTAAATCATTTGAAGTACAGTATTGATATTCTCTCACTGCCAGTCCCTTAATGATAGATTTTAAATTTTGGCACAGGGTCGTATAGAAAAGTAATCTGGAGGGCAAGAAGGCACAAATTAAAATTATTTGTGTGACATTTAGCGTATGATTCTTGTGGGAGCTCAATAAACTTTTTTTATTATTTATTGTTTATTAATGTGCCCAAAATAATTTTACATTTGAGTCATGATCTGCACATGCCCCCATTATAATTTTTGAATCCAGTCATGTATGGCTTTTCAGGGAGTAGATGAGCTTGTCAGCATTCTTAGAAGAGGTTTCCCTGTGAGCATTTACTACCCAATTCCAAACAGTATACAGTAGTGTTGATGATAATTCCTTATATTTGTTTAGAAGGTCTAGCATTATTTTTCAAGACTTAAGTGTTATGTGCAAACTTTAAATAGTAGATTTGGTTAGTCTCAGAAAATTGGAAGGACTTAACAGTAAATTGCATTGTTTTTTTCTTTCCCGAAAATTTTTATATTAAATTTAGTATTTAGTACTTGCTTTCAACTATGAATAACATTAATAAACAAGGTGAGATTTATTTTTAATGTTTCCCTCTCCACAGGTTGCTTACTATTTTGTTAGTGAGCCCTATTTTGATGCATTCAAATTATGAATATAATTGGCGATGGGGAGTTGTAATCACGTGGTCTGGAATTAAAGGAGTTTTTAATTTACTCTGGGCTCCTGATGTTTATAATCTCGCTGAACGAAAAGTGGAAGTACCACAAATGGTAGGAAAGATCATGTCTCATGATTATTCATATTTATCATTTTTACTTATCTTGCCCACTTGTCAGAGAACCCAGTAATAAAGTTAACCAGCTTTGAATTAGATTTTTAAAATGCATTCTTTTAAGTAGAAAGGAACAGAGCAGAACGTTATTTATGTTGAGAATGTGAAAGGGACCAATAGTCATGGAGTAGTTATGGATGTGGTATTAGATAAACTTGGGCTCTGATCTGGACTCCACCATTCACAGGCTGGGTGATCTTGAGGAAGTTCCCCAGGCTTGCTGAGCTTCAACTTTCAGTTGAGAATTGAGATGATGCTCAATAAAATACCAGACACTTAATAAATGCTCAATAAATGTTATTGAACACATACATGCTATTTTCTTTTCTTTTTTCTTTTTTTTTTTTTTTGAGACAAGATTTCACTCTGTCACCCAGGCTGGAGTGCAGTGGTGCAATCTTGGCTCACTGCAACCTCCGCCTCCCAGGTTTAAGCAATTCTCATGCCTCAGCTTCCCAAGTAGCTGGGATTACAGGTGTGCACAAACACATCTGGATTATTATTATTATTATTTGTTATTTTTAGTAGAGACGGGGTTTTGCCATGTTGGCCAGGCTGGTCTCGAACTCTTGGCCTCAGGTGATCCACCTGTCTCGGCCTCCACTCAAAGTGCTGGGATTACAGACGTGAGCCACCAGGCCCGGGTACAAATGCAATTTTTCAATAGCCATCAGAAAGCATGAAAAAATGATACTCTTGTCAGGAGCATTCTAATCCTTATAGTTCTTAGAACAAAAACTGAAATGCTAGTTAAGTATACCAAGATAAAAAAGATTTTATATATTTTTACATTAAAGATCTAGTTAGGTTTATGTCTTTAGGGCTAATTTTAAAAAATTTATTTCTCGAAAAATTCTGGGCAAAGACTCCATTATCTGTATCACAAAACAAAACTTGGTTTCCTTTCCACTCTTTCTCAAAGCCTTTCCCCATGGGTTAGCTGGTAGATTTCTGGGGAGTCTGGTGGTGGCTGCATCTGACATTCCAGGCAAGATTCAAAGAGCCCAGTGCATCTGCTGGCCGTGCACCTTGTCATTTGTGACAGCACTATGAGCTAGCTAGAGAAGTTTCCAGAAGCTGCTAGAAATCTTCAGGATCAGCCTCTCATTACCTCCTAATCAGATGAACCCCAGATCTGTTTCTGGGAGGGGGAAAACCGCTTGAATGATATGAGCTCAAGAGCACTGACTCACCTACCAAGGAATCTGGAGGTAGATGTACAGAGTTTGTTGCTATTGTCTAATTTCCATCCTAGAACTTCTCTTTACTATTTTGCTGCTGCCCCGAAGTCCCAAGGAGTACAGTATTTATTTAATACCTTCTTTTTGGGAGCAACTATTGACCTCTCCATCTTGCATGTGGAGAAATCCAATCAAAGAGAGTAGTAGCCTTCTGTATGTAGCATGAGAGGGAAAGACCTCACGTGCCCTAACTCCCCAAACAGGAAGTGCTATTTTTGATGGAGTATCATATTCCTATTCCTCACCACATTTTTTTTCTGAGGATTTATATCTGTGGGCCCGATCTGGGCATGAATTTTGAGTTCAAATAACCAGTGGTTTTGCAAAGACTTTGGTTCTTTCCATGCTCCAAAAGAAAAGTAAAATAATCAACATTACAGCTCCTCCGATTCTCTTTTATGCAAGGAATTGGCCTAAAACCAAGTCAATGAGAAGTTAACTAGCACCTGGGCATCATTTCACAGTGTTTCTTAATTCTGTCTGGTGTTAAGAATCCCACCCTAGACCTACAGAATCACAACCCACAGCGGGAGTCAGTATGTTTAACAAGCACTTCAGGTGATTGTTGTTATTAGTCAAGTGTGAGAGACACTGGAGGAGAAATTACTATTAACTCCTCTTTTCAGTGAAGGATGCTGTGGCTCTGAGTGGTGGTTAAATTAACTGCCCCCCAATCACATGGCTAAGAAATGGCAAAGTCATGGCCTACAAATATTACCTTTCTCCTTCCGCACAGCATCTCTCCAGGCCCCACCACAGCTCCTGCCTTCTCCTTCAGAGCCTCTGGTACAGCCGTAGCAAATGCTGGTGGCAGGCACACATCCCTCTGTGGCCCACGGTCACCACCGCCTGTGGTTGCTGGGCTTTCTCCCCACCCTGCAGGTTCCACAGCCATGCCTGAGATGGCTACCACCGTGCTGTCTTTGCATGACTGCTGCCAGGAGTGGCAACTGTGGAGACCTCCTCCCTGTGTCCTTAGCATAGAATCTCCAGTCTACTGTTTTCCTCATTCAGATTGAAAATTAATGTCTGCCCCAGTGTAGTGTGTTCAGGCAATGTCCACAAAACTGCCTTTTTGCCTTAACTGACTTATCAGAAACAGGATTTTAAAATGTGGATTAAGATATTAATAGAATTTTGTAAGTGGCTAATTGAACAATGATTGCTTTTGGAGAACTTATTTAATGTTTTGGTTCTAACTATTTATGTGCTTTGTTTTTAGTTTATACTCTATGTACAAGTAATATCATTATTGACAATGGGAATAAATTCATACGTGATGACTCAGTCAGCCAGGAAGTTAGGTAAAGTATGTGTCTCATTCATGAATTAGCTGGGGAGAATAATACAAACAGGTTATTGTTGGGTGTCATGGGGACATTTCTCATGAAGCTCAAGGAATTGGTTTAGAAATTATTCATTTTTCATTTATTCATATATTTAGATGCTGTATTACTTGGGATATTGTTTCAGCCAGTTTAACAAAAGCGAAATGAACAGAGGCTTAAACAAGACAGAAGGTTTTTTTTTCCCTCCACCAAAAAGTCCAGAAGTGTGAGATGGTTCTACTCTACATAAAGTTGTTTAGAAATCCACGTTCCTTTCCTTTGATTGCTCTTCCATGCCCTAGGGTGCTGCTCTTGCCCACAGGGTAGAAGCCTGCTCACTACCACCATGTCTACAATCCAACCAACTAGAAAGGGGAAATGGTGGGGGAGGGGTGTGTGGCAATGGAGGGTAAGCAGCCTCCCTCTGTATGTATCATTATCACTCACATTCCATTGGCCAGAACTTAGTCACATGGACACACATGGGCAAGGGAAGCTGCGAAATATCATCTTTCCGGGCTGGCGATATGATCAGCCAAAACTTGGAGATTCTATTAGCAGAAGGAAGAAGAAGAGAATGGATGTTGGGAGATAACAGCAGGCTCTGCCACAGTTGGTTATTTCTAAAAGGAATCTCAGGCCATTTATAATAAAATGCATAAATATAATAAAATAACAAATAGACACATTCGGTAGAGAAATCCAGGATAAGATACTTGGTGGCAGTAGGTTCAAGGGGAGAGGAGAAAACTGGGGTGAGATTAGGCAAAGTCTTATCGTAGAGCCTTAGTATAGTTCAATATGCCATGGCCTGATCCTCAGCTTTGCTGCTACAGAGACCCGATTTTGTCTGGGTATTTAAAATTGATCAGACTACTAGAGATTTACATATCAGGCATAACTTGGAGATATTGCAGGTTCAATTCCAGACCACGTGACAAAGCAAATAATGCAATAAATATCACAATAAAGCAAGTCATACAAATTATATGGTTTCCCAGTACATATAAAAGTTGTGTTTACACTATACTGTAGTCAATTATAATCAAAAGCACAGTGTCTAAGAAAACTATTTACATACCTTAATGAAAAAATGCTTTCTTGCTAAAAAAATGCTAACAATCATCTGAGCCTTCAGCAATTCATAATCTTTTTGCTGGTGCAGGGTTGATAGCTGCTGACTGATCAGATCAGGGTGGTGGTTGCTGAAGATTGGGCAGCTGTGGCAATTTCTTTAAGACAACAGTGAAGTTTGGCACATCAACTGACTCTTCCTTTCATGAAAGATTTCTCTGTAGCATGCAGTGCTGTTTGATAGCATTTTACATAGAGTAGAGCTTCTTTCAAAATTGGAATAAATCCTCTCAAAACCTGTTGCCACTACTTTAGCAACTAAGTTTATAAAATATTCTAAATCCTTTGCTGTCCTTTCAACAATGTTCACAGCATCTTCACCAGGAGTAGATGCCATATCAAGAAAGCACTTCGTTTACTCATCTGTAAGAAGCAACTCCTCATCCATGCAAGTTTTATCCTGAGATTGCAGCAATTCAGTCACATCTTCAGGCTCTACTTCTAATTCTAGTTCCCTTGCTATTTCCACCACATCTGCAGTTACTTCCTCCACTGAAGTCTTGAACCCCTCAAAGTCATCTATGAAGGTTAAAATCAACTTCTTCCTGACTCCTATTAATGTTGATATTTTGACCTCCTGCTATGAATTATGAATGCTCTTAATGGCACCTAGAATGGTGAATTCTATCCATGAGGTTTTTTATTGATTTTCCCTACATCCATCAGAGGAATCACTATCTATGACAGCTATAGCCTTACAAAATGTGTTTATTAAATAATAAGGCTTGAAAGTCAAAATGACTCCTTGATACTTGGGCTGCAGAATGGATGTTGTGCTGGCAGGCAGGGAAACAACATTCAACTCCTTGTCCATCTCCATCAGAGCTCTTGCATGACTAAGTGTATTGTCAATGAGTAGTAATATTTTGAAAGGAATCTTTTTTTTTCTGAGCAGTAGATATCAATAGTGAGCTTAAAATATTTAGTAAACCATGCTATAAAGAGATGTGCTGTCATCCAGGCTTTGTTTTTTCATTTTTTAGACCTCAGACAGAATACATTTAGCTTAATTCTTAAGAGTCTTAGGATTTTCAGAATGATAAGTAAGTATTGGCTTCAACTTAAAGTCACAAGCTGCATTAGCCCCTAACAAGAGTTAGTCTGTCCTTTGAAGCTTTGAAGCTAGGCATTGGCTTTTCCTTTTTAGTAATGAAAGTCATCCATAGCATTCTATTCCAATATAAGGCTGTTTATCTGCATTGAAAATCTGCTGAATCTACATTGAAATCTACATTGAAAATCACCTTCATCAATGATCTCAGCTAGATCTTCTGGATAACTTGCTGCAGCTTCTACATCAGCACTTGCTCTTCACTTTGCACTTTTATGTAATGGAGATGACTTCTTTCCTTTAACCTCATGAACCAATCTCCGCTAGCTCCTAACTTTTCTTCTGCAGCTTCCTCACCTCTCTTAGCCTTCATATAACTGAATAGAGTTAGGGCCTTTCTCCAGATTAGATTTTGGCTAAAGGGAATATTGTGTTGGTTTGATTTTCTATTCAGACCACTCAATCTTTCTCCATATCAGCAATAAGGCTGTTTTGCCTTCTTACCATTGGTGTGTTCACTGGAGTAGCACTTTTAATTTCTTTCAAGAGATTTTTTTTTCCACTCACAACTTGGCTGACTAGTGCAAAAGGCCTAGTGCTTGGCTTATCTCGGCTTTCAACCTGCCTTCCTCACTGAATTCAATCATTTCTAGTTTCTAATTTAAAGTGAGAGATGTATGACTCTTACTTTCACTTGAACACTTAGAAGCCATTGTAGGGTTATTAATTGGCCTAATTTCAATACTGTGTGTCTCAGGGAATAGCGAGATCCAAGGAGAGAGCGAGAGAGAGATGCAGAAATGGCCAGTCTGAGGGGCAGTCAGAACACACACTTACTGATTGTTGTCCTATGTGGGTGCAGTTTGTGGTGCCCCAACGCAATTACATTAGTAATATCAAAGACTACTGATCACATATCACCATCATGGATATAATAATAATGAAAAAGTTTGAAATATTGTGAGAATTACCAAAATGTAGACACAGAGATATGAAGCGAGGACATACTGTTGGAAAAATGGTGCTGATAGACTTGCTAGATGCAGGGTTGCTGCAGACCTTCAATTTGTAAGAACTGTAATATCTGCAAAGCACAATAAGGTAAAGCACAATGAGATAAGGCATGCCTGCACCACATTCACAGATTCATCAATAAACCAGAAGGCCGATTTACTAGTTTATAATGAGGATGAATTTCTATGTCTGAAATTTTTGTGACCATTATCACAGTATTCACCTCTGATACCAATTTTCTTGATAAACCAAATTGGTAATCAAAAGGTTTCTCATAGAGCATGGAACTAATGAGGGCAAAGGAAGGATAATGTTGAAGGAGAGTTGTTCTAAATATGGAAGTAGCCTGCTATATTCATCCTGTCCTACTCAGAGACAACACTGCTCTGCTTGGGTGTTTTCAGAAAGTCCTGCACATTCTTAGAACTGTGCCTCATAAACACTATTGCAGAACTTCCTGTGACAGCCCACCTCAAAGCAAAGGGCTCCAATGTTTGAGTGAGGCTAGCACGTGGGGCAGATTTTAGGCAGCTCTCCTTTTCCCCCAGTTATGGACTTGCTCCCCTCCCCTCCCCTCCCCTCCTCTTCCCTTCCCTTCCTTCTCTCTCTCTCTCTCTCTCTCTCTCTCTCTCTCTCTTTCAACGGCTCACTATCTTGCCCAGGCTGGTCTCAAATTCCTGGGCTCAGCCTCCAGAGTAGCTGGGACTACAGGTGCTTACCACCCCACCAGGCTGTGTTTGTTCTTCTTCATTTAAAAAAAAAAAATGATACAGGGCTGGGCGTGGTGGCTCACGCCTGTAATCTCAACACTTTGGAAGGCCAAGGCGGGCGGATCACAAGGTCAAGAGATCGAGACCATCCTGGCCAACATGGTGAAACCCCGTTGCTACTAAAAATATAAAAATTAGCTGGGCATGGTGGCGCATGCCTGTAGTCCCAGCTACTTGGGAGGCTGAGGCAGGAGAATCACTTGAACCCAGGAGGTGGATGTTGCAGTGAGGCAAGATTGCACCACTGCACTCCAGCCTGGCGACAGAGTGAAACTCCTCCTCAAAAATAAATAAATAAATAAATAAATAAATAAATAAAATAAAAAAATAAAAAAAGATACAGGATCTCATTCTGTCACCCAGGCTGCAATGCAGTGGCACGATTATGGCTCACTGCAGCCTTGACCTCCTGGACTCAAGTGATACTCCTGCCTCAGCCTCCTGAATAGCTGGGAGTATAGATTTGCACCACCACACCCAGCTCATTTTTTTTCTTTTTTAGTAGAAACAGGGTCTGGCTATATTGCCCTGGTTGGTCTTGAATTCCTGGGCTCAAGGGATTCTCCTGCCCTGGCATCCCAAAGTGTCGAGATTATAGTTGTGAGCCACTGTACCTGGTCTTGGTTTATTCTTGTTTGCAGTGAAAAGGTGTGCTTGGATTGGCAAAAGCTCACAAGGCAGCATGAGTGAAGTTAATTTGATGCCGGAAGTCTTGCTCACACTTTCCTTCCTACCAAATCCCTTTGGCTGCCAGGGATCCTGACCCAGTTGACTCTCTTTTTTTAAGATAAAATATGTGGGTTTCTCTCATGCTTCCTTTCTTGTGATTCCTCCTACTCTGGTATTCAAAAGTGAGATCAGTGAGGGATTGTACTATCATGACAATGCTTTTTTTGTCTTGTTTCTTTTTTTCCCCTCTATAAATTTTTGATTGTATTAACCAAGCTTCAGAATTTCTTTTAACTCACTGTGGAATAAAGATTGTATAGCAAGTACTTTATCTTTTCAGAGTCAATGTTCATCGTTTCTAGGAATACCATGTGGTACACATTTAACAGGTGCTTGTCGGACTTGAGTTTTATCAGTCAGAGTTTCAAACCAACTCCTTCCACCTGGTCTAATGCTTTTAAAAGGTCCCTCCTCATATTCTTCCAGGATTATCTTAACCACTGGGAGTATATTCAGATGTACTGGTGCCACCAAGTAGCCTACATGCCTTCATATTTCCCCTGAGCAACTGGAAAGTGGCTGTTGCCCCATCATATGGGTGGGATCTAATTGGGCAAATGAATACATTTTCTCCTTGTGTGGTCTTAGCCATGGGAATTTTAAATCCAAGGGAGCAGGCAGTCAGATGCCTCTTTGCTCCAGGTTACAGTGAACTGATCCTGATGTTTGAGAGGGATATCCCTACAGATCTTTCTGAATCCCCAAACTTCAAATCACTCCATTGTACGCAGTGTCCCATAGAGAGTGAAATAAAGTTAAACTGAAACGTTTAGAAGCCATTTAACCCTTGAAGAGACATTTCATATGCAATTTTAAGGAGAGAACAGCTTTATTGAGATGGAATTGTGAGTAAGTAGGCTAAGCTTATTTACTCATTTAATTCTTCTCTTTGGTAAGTGAGCCTTGTAGTTCATACCTCAAGAAAATACAAAATGCTTCAAATTTTGAACATATTGATTCACTGGCCAGAAAACAGAGATGTTAAACTTGAGGGATCTCTACTGCACTGGCCTTTAAATGTTATTATGTACAGTATAAGAAACAATGAGAGAACTTGTTAAAATGCAAATTTTCAAGCCAATCTGATTCTGTAGGTATGGAGTGGAACCCAGGAATTTGCATAGTTTAATAGGCAGCCCTTCCACCTGTACACTTTACACTTTGAGAAATATGGATTAGGTGCGTTGAAGTAGTCATGTCTTTAGCTATAGGGAAAGCAAGGAAACTAATAAACATTTTTTATCAGTTGAGTCAGATAAAGTTGAGCTGTACAGCCAAAAAGAAACAAATAGTTGGGTAATCTTCTGGAAAGTTTTGTATGAAAAATTGTCCTTGCTCTAACCACTCTGGTTTGCAGGTGATCTCAAGATTTCACTACATGATCATGCAACATTTTTTGCTTTCCCTTGCAGTCCTCACTGTACTCTATTAAGGCCTTTGCTTTTGTCTTTGTCACAGATTTGTGTGTTCTTTCCCTCCCAAGACAAATGATCTTGCAAAATGCCACTCAGCACATACAGGAGATAGTACAGAACACAATAACTTTATTTAAAACAGAAAAAATTTTGACAAATGTTAACTGGACCTTAGTAGAAGATAAAACGAGGATCGAATACATTCCTGTGAGTTGATACCTGGCAAAAAGTAGTTTTCCTTTCCTTCCCTTGGTCTGCCTCACTTGCTTTAGCCTATTGTTAAAGACCTGATTCTGCTAATTAAATGTCACAAAACTGAGGGGAGATAGTTACTGGCTTTGCTATTTTGGTGAAATGAGTTTGAATTCTGTCTCCAAAGAGAAGGTCTTGGTTATCCAGCTTTATTTGCCAAATACCAGGAGAATGGATGTTTTACAATCTGGCTGGTTGAGTACCAATCAATGGCCTCTGCCAAGATAATGTTTTTAATGGCTTAAGATACTGATAATTCTCTCCTGGTAGAAGTGTTATAAAAAGCAGAAAACATGGGCTGATTTAGAGAGCAATCAAACATATAGATAAGTTTAGAGAAGAATTTGGGATATAAATCTCCCCAAATGAGTATTTACTTTAGCACAATTGAAGGCAACACTTCTTATATGAAAAAACATTACATAGCTCTTCATTCTAGCAATTCTGCTTTGAATTATTGGAATCTTTGTTGAGAGTAGTATTTGCCAGTTCCTAATCATTTTTACTTATTTTTAACTTTATCCCTTTATGTTTTAAAATGTCATCTGATACGGTTCAGTTTTCCCACGTTTCACATAATGATATGAAGACAGAATCCACAACAGATGAAGCTTTAATGGAGGAAGCCAGATTGCATGTAGCTGCAATACAAATGGTTGGTGCTGTTCACATAATGTTTTAAAATTTCCTTTCTTGCAATGTCTTTGATCCTTGCATATGATTTTCAGATGACTTGAAAACTTTACCTTCTCATAGTCTATTGATTGTTAAAATTAATGTGTGATTTGTTAAAGTTAAAAAATAAAAAAATTCTCCTTCTTCCTGAGGCTTGAAGTTTAAGTCACAAACCTTATTATCCTGTTTCTATGTCTGGCAAATTTTAGCAGTCACTTTTGAGGGCCCTTAGAATAATGTTTGGTGCTATTTACATACTAGATAATTAAACATTTTCAAATATTTAAAATTGCTTTTATAAATTTAACATATCTGAGTTCCATTTATACGAAATTCTCTCAAGTGCTAATTTAACTGTTAGAGATATAATAAGCTAAAATATATCTGATGAATCAAAAATTCTCTTGAAATGTTGTAATACTAATATTTAAATGTTCTATATAAATATAGGAAGATTACCTGGTAAAATCAAGTTTATACCAGCTTGTCAAATTGTACATTTTAAACTGGAGTTATAATCAAATGGAACAAATTTTATTCAATATAAAATGTATATAAAATATGAATTGTGCCCAGAATTCTTTTTTAGTTTCTTTTTAAAACTTATTGTCAATATTAAGAATTCCTAACATATGCAAAAGTAGATAGAATAGTGTAATAAATCCTCATGTACCCATCACCCAACCTTAAAAACCATCCACATGTGACCAATACCTGCTGCATCCTAACCCCCATCTTATGTATTAGTCTGAAACAAATCATACATCTGTAAATATTTCAGTATATATCTCTAAATTTTAAAGTATTTTTAAAAACATAAAATACTAACATTATACTTAAAAGTGAACAATAATTCCTTAATAACATCAAATGTCGACTCAGTGGTAAGATTTCCAATTGTCTCAGAAATGTGATAAATATTTATTTTTACAGTTTATGTTTTCAAATTGAACTCCAGTAAAGTCCACACATTGCAATGAACTGATATGTCCTTCAAATCTCTGTTAACATATAAATTTCTTCTTTTTGCTTTCATTTTTTTCTGTTGAAGAATATATTTCTTCTTATTTATTTATTTTATTTATTTTGAAACAAAGTCTGACTCTGTCATCCAGGCTGGAGTGCAGTGGCGCGATCTTGACTCACTGCAACCTCCACCTCCTGGGTTCAAGAGATTCTTGTGCCTCAGCCTCCCTGGTAGCTGGAATTACAAGTGCGTGCCACCATGCCCAGGTAATTTTTGTATTTTTAGTACAGACGAGGTTTTGGCACCATGCCCAGCTAATTTTTGTATTTTTAGTAGAGATGAGGTTTTGGCACGTTGGCCAGGTTGGTCTCAAACTTCTGGCCTCAAGTGATCTGCCCACCTCACCCTCCCAAAGCACTGGGATTACAGGTGTGAGCCACCGCTCCCAGCTTGAAGAACATATTTCTTCTTAAGAAATTATTTTCATTCTTTTAAACATTTCTATACTTAGTTTAACATATTCTCAGAGTTTGAAAGGCTCTCGTCCACAGTAGAAAATTACGTATGGCCACAAATTCTTTGCAGAGCCTCCTATTAAAAAGTGGTATCTTTATCCTATCCCTTGAATTGGGGCTGTTCTTGTGATTTGTTTTGAGCATAAAATATGGCAAAAGTGGCTTTGTGAACGTTCTAGAGCCTAGGCATTGAGAAGATTTGTAGCTTCTACCTTTTTCCCACTCCGAATGCCACCCTGAGACTGCCATGCAAAGAAGCAGTCTCTGAAGAATGAGAAGCCACCTAGAGGAAAACTGAGGCAAAAGGGCCAGTACCTAACTTCCAGACTTGTGAATGAGGCTGCCTCAATTCAAGGGGTGGGGCAATAGATTCAACCTCTTAATAGTAAGACATGCACAGAATTTGTGGCCATATTTACTGTTCCACAGTTTGCCCACTGGCCACAATATTTCTACCCCTCCGACATGTAAAACAGACTCACCCTTTTCCAAGAACCCAAAAAGCTACATCCTATTTACTACCAGACTCAAAGTCCAGTATCTTATGATCTGCAATCCAGGCGAGAGGCTCCTTGGTTGCCTCTCCTGAAGTGTGAGTCTTCTTGATCTAGATACCTGTGAACTAAAAAGAAAAGTTATCTGCCCCCCAGACACCCAATATTCAGTGATGATCAACAGACACTACTGTTTAAGAGGGGGAAGAATGGGATGGCCTGAGAAATTACGTGTCCATGGCAATTCTGAAATCCATCTGGGCACACATACCAATTCTCCCCATTCTTTCCGTTTCCATAGGAAATAATCCATGCTTGTAGCCAAGTGGCTTTCTCAGTTTGATTTCTGCCTGTAGAAAACTGGGAGGTTTATTTATATTCACTTAGAACTGTCTCCGTCCCTTTTTGTCCAATCTAGCACAATTACCGTAAAAATTGTTTGTTTTCCATGACTCTGGTTTAGTCCGCCCCACTTCACAGTTTCTTTTCAGGTAGACTGTTGACTGTATCAGACAATGCAGATATGAGTCTGAGGAGGCCTTTAGTCTTGTTGAGAAGGTAGATGAAATACGACCTTGAATCTTTGGGTGGTCTTAACAAAGGGCCTTCAGCCACACCCTTGATTTGATTTGGAAGCAGAGGCCATATTTTACTGGCAGCACCCTGGATTTGGTCTTTTTTTTTAAATTATACTTTAAGTTCTAGGGTACATGTGCACAACGTGCAGGTTTGTTACATACGTATACATGTGCCATGTTGGTTTGCTGCACCCATTAACTCATCATTTACGTTAGGTATTTCTCCTAATGCTATCCCTCCCCCATCGCCCTACCCCATGACAGGCCCTGGTGTGTGATGTTCCCCGCCCTGTGTCCAAGTGTTCTCATTGTTCAACTCCCACCTATGAGTGAGAACATGTGGTGTTTGGTTTTTTGTCCTTGTGATAGTTTGCTCAGAATTATGGTTTCCAGCTTCATCCATGTCCCTACAAAGGACATGAACTCATCATTTATTATGGCTGTATAGTATTCCATGTTGTATATGTGCCACATTTTCTTAATCCAGTCTATCATTGATGGACATATGGGTTGGTTCCAAGTCTTTGCTATTGTGAATGATGCCTCAATAAACAGAGTTTGCATGTATCTTTATAGTAGCATGATTTATAATCCTTTGGGTATATACCTAGTAATGGGATGGCTGGATCAAATGGTATTTCTAGTTCTAGATCCTTGAGGAATCGCCACACTGTCTTCCACAATGGTTGAACTAGTTTACACTCCCACCAACAGTGTAAGAGCATTCCTAATTCTCCACATCCTCTCCAGCACCTGTTGTTTCCTGACTTTTTAATGATCACCATTCTAACTGGTGTGAGATGGCATCTCATTGTGGTTTTGATTTGCATTTTTCTGATGACCAATGATGATGAGCATTTTTTCATGTGTCTGTTGGCTGCATAAGTGTCTTCTTTTGAGAAGTGGCTGTTCATATCCTTTGCCCACTTTTTGATGGGGTTGTTTGATTTTTTTCTTGTAAATTTGTTTAAGTTCTTTGGAGATTCTTGATATTAGCCCTTTGTCAGATGGGTAGATTGCAAAAACTTTCTCCCATTCTGTAGGTTGCCTGTTCACTCTGATGGTAGTTTCTTTTGCTGTGCAGAAGCTCTTTAGTTTAATTAGATCCCATTTGTCAATTTTGGCTTTTATTGCCATTGCTTTTGGTGTTTTGGTCATGAAGTCCTTGCCCATGCCTATGTACTGAATAGTATTGCCTAGGTTTTCTTCTGGGTTTTTTATGGTTTTTAGGTCTAACATTTAAGTCTTTAATCCATCTTGAATTAATTTTTGTATAAGGTGTAAGGAAGGGATCCAGTTTCAGCTTTCTACGTATGGCTAGCCAGCTTTCCCAGCACCATTTATTAAATAGGGAATCCTTTCCCCATTGCTTGTTTTTGTCAGGTTTGTCAAAGATCAGATGGTTGTAGATGTGTGGTGTTATTTCTGATGCCTCTGTTCTGTTCCATTGGTCTATACTTCTGTTTTGGTACCAGTACCATGCTGTTTTTGTTACTGTAGCCTTGTAGTATAGTTTGAAGTCAGGTAGTGTGATGCCTCCAGCTTTGTTAGTTTTGGTTAGGATTGTCTTGGCAAGGCAGACTCTTTTTTGGTTCCATATGAACTTTAAAGTAATTTTTTCCAATTCTGTGAAGAAAGTCATTGGTAGCTTGGTGGGGATGGCAATGAATCTATAAATTGCCTTGGGCAGTATGGCCATTTTCACGATATTGATTCCTCCTATCTATGAGCATGAAATGTTCTTCCATTTGTTTCTGTCCCCTTTTATTTCATTGAGCAGTGGTTTGTAGTTCTCCTTGAAGAGGTCCTTCACATCCCTTGTAAGTTGGATTCCTAGGTATTTTATTTTCTTTGTAGCAATAGTGAATGGGAGTTCACTCATGATTTGGCTCTCTGTCTGTTATTAGTGTATAGGGATGCTTGTGATTTTTGCACATTGATTTTGTATCCTGAGACTTTGCTGAAGTTGCTTATCAGCTTAAGGAGATTTGGGGTGAGACAATGGGGTTTTCTAAATATACAATCATGTCATCTGCAAACAGGGACAATTTGACTTCCTCTTTTCCTAATTGAATACCCTTTATTTCTTTCTCTTGCCTGATTGCCCTGGCCAGAACTTCCAACACTATGTTGAATAGGAGTGGTGAGAGAGGGCATCCCTGTCTTGTGCCAGTTTTCAAAGGGAATGCTTCCAGTTTTTGCCCATTGAGTATGATACTGCTGTGGGTTTGTCATGAATAGCTTTTATTATTTTGAGATACATCCCATCAATACCTAGTTTATTGAGAGTTTTTAGCATGTAGGGCTGTTGAATTTTGTCAAAGGCCTTTCCTGCATCTATTGAGATAATCATGTGGTTTTTGTCTTTGGTTCTGTTTATGTAATGGATTACGTTTATTGATTTGCATATGTTGAACTGGCCTTGCATTCCAGGGATGAAGACACCTTGATCTTGGTGGATAAGCTGTTTGGTGTGCTGCTGGATTCAGTTTGCCAGTATTTTATTGAGGATTTTTGCATTGATGTTCATCAGGGATATTAGTCTAAAATTCTCTTTTTTTGTTGTGTCTCTGCCAGGCTTTGGTATCAGGATGACACTGGCCTCATAAAATGAGTTAGGGAGGATTCCCTCTTTTTCTATTGATTGGAATAGTTTCAGAAGGAATGTTAGCAGCTCATCTTTGTACTTCTGGTAGAATTTGGCTGTGAATCTGTTTGGTCTTGGACTTTTTTTGGTTGGTAGGCTATTAATTATTGCCTCAATTTCAGATCCTGTTATTGGTCTATTCAGCCATTCAACTTCTTCCTGGTTTAGTCTTGGGAGGGTGTATGTGTCCAGGAATTTATCCATTTCTTCTAGATTTTCTAGTTTATTTGCATAGAGGTGTTTATAGTGTTCTCTGATGGTAGTTTGTATTTCTGTGGGATCAGTGCTGGTATCCCCTTTATCATTTTTTATTGCATCTATGTGCTTCTTCTCTCTTTCCTTCTTTATTAGTCTTGCTAGCGGTCTATCAATTTTGTTGATCTTTTCAAAAAACCAGCTCCTGGATTCATTGATTTTTTGAAGGTTTTTTATGCCTCTATTTCCTTCAGTTCTGCTCTGATCTTAGTTATTTCTTGCCTTCTACTAGCTTTTGAATTTGTTTGCTCTTGCTTCTCTAGTTCTTTTAATTGTGATGTTAGGGTATTGATTTTAGATCTTTCCTGCTTTCTCTTGTGGGCATTTAGTGCTATAAATTTTCCTCTACACACTGCTTTAAATGTGTCCCAGAGATTCTGGTATGTTGTGTCTTTGTTCTCATTGGTTTCAAAGAACATCTTTATTTCTGCCTTCATTTTGTTATTTAACCAGTAGTCATTCAGGAGCCGGTTGTTCAGTTTCCATGTAGTTGTGCAGTTTTGAATGACTTTCTTAATCCTGAGTTCTAATTTGATTGCACTGTGGTCTGAGAGACAGTTTGTTGTGATTTCTGTTCTTTTACATTTGCTAAGGAGTGCTTTACTTCCAACTATGTGGTCAGTTTTGGAATAAGTGTGATGTGGTGCTGAGAAGAATGTATATTCTGTTGATTTGGGGTGGAGAGTTCTGTAGATGTCTATTAGGTCCACTTGGTGCAGAGCTGAGTTCAAGTCCTGGATATCCTTGTTAACCTTCTGTCTTGTTGATCTGTCTAATATTGACAGTGGGGTGTTAAAATCTCCCATTATTATTATGTGGGATTCTAAGTCTCTTTCTAGGTCTCTAAGGACTTGCTTTATGAATCTGGGTGCTCCTGTATTAAGTGCATATATATTTAGGATAGTTAGCTCTTCTTGTTGAATTGATCCCTTTACCATTATGTAATGGCCGCCTTTGTCTCTTTTGATGTTTGTTGGTTTAAAGTCTGTTTTATCAGAGACTAGGATTGCAACCCCTGCTTTTTTTTTTTGCTTTCCATTTGCTTGGTAGATCTTCCTCTATCCCTTTATTTTGAGAGTATGTGTGTTTCTGCATGTGAGATGAGTCTCCTGAGTACAGCACACTGATGGGTCTTGACTCTTTATCCAATTTGCCAGTCTGTGTCTTTTAATTGGGGCATTTAGCCCATTTACATTTAAGGTTAATATTGTTATATGTGAATTTGATCCTGTCATTATGATGTTAACTGGTTAATTTGCCCTTTAGTTGATGCAGTTTCTTCTCAGCATAGATGGTCTTTACAATTTGGCATGTTTTGGTCTTTACTCTTAGATCTTTGCCAGCTGTAGAAACCATAGACGAGAAACATGTTTACTTTCCAACCTGGCAAACCATGGCTTCTATATTTTGTCTAAGTTCTGCTTTAAGACTGAACTATTTCTCTTTGGTTTATCCCTGTCTCTGTCTTTCTCTACCTTATCATATGAAGCTAACAAAAAGCAGTACTTTTAATGTTCCTGGAATATTAGAAATCTAGAAATCCTCTTAGCAGATTCATGAGGTACATTTTCTGTCTTCCGAGTTGCCTCAGGTGACAGCCTGGCCAGTGGTACTGCCTTTTGATAGCATGGCTGCCTCCCTCCAGCCTCCTGCTACAGTTTCCCCACTGCTCTTCCAGCTTCCACTAACAGTCTTCTCACTGCCCCCCTACCCTCTGCCCACCACCCAGTTCCAAAGCTAATGCAGTATGTTTTAATTTCTGGAGGCTCTCCACAATTGATACTGATTTTTCCTGTTTTAGTCAGCGTCTGCTGTTTAACCAAGCAACCCAGACCTTGGTGGCTTAAAGCAATGATTTATTATTTCTCATGGTTCTGTGTGTTGGCAATCCAGGTGATTCTATTGTTGGTCTCGCTTTGGATCACTCTTATGCCTGTGGTCATTTCCTAGATCAGCTATGGTTGGAGGGTCCAGGATGTCCTCACTCGCAGGTTTGGCAGCTGATGCTAGTTGTCTTCCAGGGTGCTTTGTTTCTCCCCTCTATGGCCTATTCTGTATAGTTGGCTGGACTGGGCTTCTTCACAGCATGGTCTCTGGGTTCCAACAGGGTGAGAGGGGAAGCCACAAAGCCTCTTAAGTTCCAGGCTCTGGAGCCTGAACAATGTCACTTTTACCCCCATTTTATTAGTCAAAGCAAATCACAAAACCAGTCCAGAGTCAATGAGTAGAAAAGTAGATTACACCTCTTAATGGGGAAACAGCGATGCCAATTGCAAAGTGGGCATGGACACAGAGAGGCATGACACACTGCAGTCATTGTTATAATGACCTACCACATTTACTTTTTTAAACCAACAATCCCATGGAAGGACTTGCTGCATGCTATTTTTGAATAGCTTTCCTAAGAGTACCTTCTACTCTGGCATTCTTCCTGTGTTTATGACCCCTTTCCTTTTCAGTCTCCTCTATGAACTCTTTTTAACCCTTTAATGTTGGTGCACCTCAGGACAATTAACTCTGTCCACTGTTCTTATTTTATAGTCTCTCCTTCTTTAGTCCCAGCTACACTCATGATTTTAACACTATGCATAGATGCTCTACAAATCTGTAATCTTCCTTCCATACCTTTCAACACCAGCTCTTTAGACTCATGAATCCAGTGGTGGCTAGACAGCTTCTCCTTTCACTCTACCTCAAATCCATATTGAACTCATCCCAAGCCTACTGTTATATTCCAAGTGTTAGTGAATTAGACCATTGGTTGCTGGAGTCAGTCCTCTTCCTCTATCCTTCTCCAAGCTCTATCAATCTTACCTTCTAAATGTTTGTCAAATACACCCCTTTCCATTCTTGTGAATCTTAATTTAGGCCGTCATAATCTCTTGTCCAGACGATAACTTTCAATTGGTCCCCTTGTCTCCAATATTTCCATTCTCAAATTATAGTGACTTACTAAAAGACATGTGACTATACCTCCTTCCTGCTTAAAACCCTAAATGACTCCTCAGTGCCTACATTTTCCATTGTGAGTTTCAAAGAACACTTGTTCCATGGGATGCTAATAGAAACTGCATGAAAAAAGAAGTTTCCATGCTCAAATTAGTTTGGGAAATGGTGGCTTAAATAAAGTTAAATGGGTTTCTTTTAGAACTTCTTGTAGAACTCTTCAGAATTTTTAATATGCTGATATACATTGAGATTCTCCAAGAGAGACTATAGAATGCAACATTTTCTTACCCTTTCCCCTGCCCTGCATAGTTTTTCAGGGATTGGGGTTGAAGGAGTATCTCACAGAATGTGTATATCACATTCCAAGAAAAGTTTACCTATGATATTAAGTCAAAGCACAATATACAAGGTATTTTAAAATCTGGCCTCTGACTGTTTCTCTAACTGATGCTCTGCCCCACAACTTGTTTTTTACTGCACTCAGCATACTGTTTCTCACCTCTGTACGTGCACTAGAGATGCCACCCTCTGCCTACCTCTTTCTTCACTCTGCTCGCCCCACGACCATTCTTCATCTGGATAATTGTACTTCTCCTTAAAACTCAGTTGAAGTATCATCTCCTCCAAGAGAAACTCTCTCTGATCCCATCTCTACATCAAGTCTGATTAACACCCTGTGCTGAATGTTATCCCCTTAATTTCCTGTTTTATCATATAAGCATCTAACTTTTCCCCTGCCCCACTAGATTGTGAACCCCTTAAAGCCTTGGACTATACCTCCATTGCCCTAAAACAGGGCTTGGAACAGAGTAGGCATTTAATAAACATTTGTTTAAAGGATGAATGAATAAATAAACAATCCATCATATTAGTAAATCATAATTTTCTTGATCCAGGCCTACTTCTTGATGGGCAGGGCCGGAAAAACTGCAAGTGTAAACACTGGAGGTAGGCCTCAGGACTGAACTTCTGGGACATAGTTTTCTCACAGTGGACATCCTACCAGGGCCATCACGGAGGCTTACAACGTAGGGAAATCCACTAAGTGCTCCAGTAGCCCTCAGAGTAGAGAGAGCCTGGCCATTGCCCCATACCGTTTGGAAGGCAGTTTCAGAATTTGCATATCCTTTATCAAAGCTGTTACTGGTGGATAATTTTTCTGTCTTCTGGAAAAGGAGCTAATGAGTGAATGAGAATTGTCTTGAGATATAAGTGGTGTGAATTCTCTCCTTTCCTGAAATGACTATCATCCCTCAAATTTTAAGACTTGAGAAAATGTGTTAAATGCAGTAGTGGTTGGAGTCAACATTTCTAAACAATGGATAGGCAAAGTGTATGGTCAGTATGTGAGGAAATGTAGGCAGCAGTTCCAGGAGGTAACGCTAACCTCTGAATGTAATGTCAGTGTCATGTAGAAGCTATAATTTTTCTGCTATTTTAGGGGGAGGATTGACACAACAATACAGCCTATCTTTTTCTTTTGATAGTTCTTTGTGGGGCTGAAATGATTAGTTACACTTAGAATTAATACTTTGCACTCTCTATTCTGCTGTAGAAAGATGATGCTACTGATGTTATTTATATTACTGAAGTAAACTCTTTGAGTTGTATATATAATATGCGTATATATGTGTGTGTGTATATACATATATATACATATATATACACACACATATATATACACACACACATATAAATTTTTGAGACGGAGTCTTGCTCTGTTGCCCAGACTGGAGTGCAATGGCATGATCTCGGCTCACCACAACCTCCGCCTCCTGGGTTCAAGCGATTCTCCTGCCTTAGCCTCCTGAGTAGCTGGGATTACAAGCATGCGCCATCATGCCCGGCTAATTTTGTATTTTTGGTAGAGATGGGGGGTTTCACCGTGTTGCCCAGACTGGTCTTGAACTCCTGGACTCAAGTGATCCCCCTGCCTTGGCCTCCCAAAGTGAGCCACCATGCCTGGCTGAGTGGCATACATTTTGATTTTCTAGAAAGCTAAGACCCTTTTTATCTCATAACATTCAGGACTATACTTTATAAAAATGAGTATTCTGTAAACATTTGCATTGAATGATATTTATTTCCTACTACATAATTTTTTGTAATGGCATATTTTGATATATTGAGTTCAGTAATAATAGTGAGGGCTATGTAAGGGTTAAGAAGAATACATTCCATTTATGTTTTGATCTTTTGTAATCTTCATTTAATGTATGTTTAGAGTAGCTTTGAAAAACAGCGTAACAATGGAATTCTTGAAATAGAGGCAGCCCGGATATTAATTGGTGCAGCAAAATGCTATTACTCCATCCAAGGAAAGTAAGTATAACACTTCTTTAATTGATATTTCCAAAATTGAATGACTATATGATGAAGAATGAATAAAATGAGAATTAAATGTCCTGATTGATCAATCTATTATTTCACATATCTGTATGTATCCATCTTCTGTCTGTCCATCTGTCTGTCCTTCCATCCATCTATCCATCTGCTTTTTATTTTATTGGTTTATTTTTTTCCTCTAAAGTTTTATAACCTTGGTGACATTAGGGGAGTCTGGAGAAAGATTGGACTGTCATGTAATTAGATAAGACACTCGGGAATCCATGAAAGGGAACTTATATAACCTCAATAACTATTATAATTATTTTGCCTTTATATTATCTTCACTTTAAATTACCAGACAGAGGAGGTTTAGAAGCCTGGAGGCTGCCATTAGACTGCTCCCTGGGGTGGAGCAGGCTCTGGAAGAATTGACCCAACTGCTGGTGCTGACAAGTGCAATTAAGTCTGGTGGGAAAAGCTCAGTATCTTGGAGATATAACAATATCTGGTTACAGTCCTGGCAAACATTAGATAATAGATGATCTAACACAAAGCTGTGGGGCAATAATAATAGGAGATCCTGGCTGGGTGATAGATAACATTTCAGCAGCCAGGTAATCTATTTGGAAGATCTTTACCAGTCCCTGGAATAAAGTTTGGGAAAGTTAGAGCTTTCAGGGCCTTGGAGAGGGTTGGGCCAGACCAGCATGACAAAGGAAAGCTTGATTCCAAACTCCAAATGGTCTAGAGAAGCTTTACTTATGTTCAACCTCTGGTCAGGAACAGAGGCAGCAGGAGTCTCATGCTAAAACTACTCCTGTACCATGACCATGGATGGATAGGTGGATGGATGCAGAGGCATGAGACTGAGCTTATTTGGTGGGTCCATATTAAATTTATACTTAGTACACCTTCCCCTTTTATATTAACCCAAAGTATAGCACTTGCTTTTTATTATAACACATATGTACATTTTTCTCTGTTAGATTCATGAGTATTTATGATGTTTCAACTTATATGAGAACTAGAAGTTGGCTTATAAAGTTTAAAAATGTTTTAACTTTCTTGGAATATTGTATAGAAAAGATACATTTTATTCCACCTGAGTAAGTATTGTGAACCTTTAATAGAAACATACTTGAAAATACTACCATTTCTACATTGTCATAATAGCTTATCTCAATTTTCCTTATTTGAGAAAAACTATATTATGGTTTATTTTCACTGATTGGGTGGTGCTTGCTTCTCTTCTTCCATTCTATTTTAGCAACTTCATTGACATCTCTATGAGAGAGTAGTCAGGAAGGGAAAAAGGATGTTCATATTTGGATCCTTCAAGTTTTAATTGCTGTGTCTGAGGGTTGTAGTGTGTTGCGGGCTGCTTAATATTCTTCTGGATATAACATAGAGCAGGGGTGAGAAATAGCTAACTGGTAGACTAGATCTAGCTCTGTTTAATTTCATCTGTTCTATTGTGTGATTCTGTTGATCTATAATTAGGAAAAACACAACATGGCCTTAATAATACCTGTAACCAATTTTCCAAAATATCACAAAACACAGATTTTACTTAACTGGGGTAGATATTTTACTTAGTTTTATAAATTGTGAGCTTACATACTTTTTAGAGCAGAGAGACATAATTTTTATACCAATAGAACATGCCAAAACAAGAACATACCAAGGGCGTTAATGCTGCTAAATTTTAAGAGGTCATTAACCTTTTATAACAAATTCTAGTAATATTTTTTACTTTTTTCCATTTAATAAGTTTAAAGAGATATACAAAAAATCAAAAGTGTAGGACCTTGACATATATCCAAAGAATTTCTTTTTGTCATGCTGTACATTAGATGGAATGAAAAGTTTTAATAAATATATGTCATAGTAATTATTTAATATCATATTTTTCCCATTCTTGATTTTAAACAATCCAATGTGTAATTTGTTTTCCTCTAAATTTATTTGTTTTTTGTTTTTATTTATGAATCTTTGCATTGTTTCCAGGGTACTGTGGCCTTGAGTTTTAAAAATGCTTCTCATCCCTGATATGGATTTTTAAAAATCATGTTTTTTACCTTTCTTCATTATGATTTTTATGTATAGAAAATATGCTTTTGATTTTTGCTTACTATTATTTTATATTATGTATAGTCTTCAAATTAATTTTAATGATTTGTTTAAACAAATATTGAACTTCAGCTGCTAATTATACTTTTAAGTGATCTAACATTTTATTTGATCTCTTTTCAGGAGTAATACATTTCTGACTTTTATATTTCACATAGTATTTTCTGAAGAATTTGAATATACAGGACAGATTATAAATTTGATATATATTTATCCTATGATAATACATCTGTGGCCAATGGCAAGAGGTTTAAATGTATCAGCACTGATATCAATAAACTACTATTTTATGTTTTTATATGTATTAGAATCAACATTGAAGGTACTGTTTAAAATAGAAATAGAATCTATAAAAAGAGCAATTCAGGTATTTTGAATCTATTTTGTCATATTATTGAAGTAACTTGATACCAAGAGCCATTTGCTATGATAGTTGATGAGATCCTAGAATTTTAGTAAGCTTTTTGAATTTTCCAAGTTTAATAGTGAAATTAGTATAAGAGTCATGGTATTGGACATCAGTTAAGTATCATAAAAGTAGAGAGATTCTCAAGGATCAGGTAAAGGAGAATTGAAAATCCAGACATGGACGTTTCCCTCAAATATTTTGTGTAATGATGCAAGAAATAAATAAGTGAATAAGAATTGGTTTGCTAGGTCTTTGTCATAAAATGTGAGTTAATTATTAGTATAAATGTGTAAAAGGTGATTTATGAGCATTACTATTTCATACTTTATTATTAATAGTATTGCAATGAATCTGTTTATTGCTATTTTTAATAGTTGTTTTTGGCATTCCAGCTTTATTATAGAGTATATATTTTAAATCAAATTATAAATGGTGAAGATTTTAAAGAATTTTTGGGGGGATTCCAAATGAATAACTTAAAGCTCAACTTTCGGAATATAACTCATTTGTAGTTAAGAACTTAGTTGTTAATTTTATAGATTTCTTCCCCCCAACATTACTGTATAGGTGCTATGAAATGACATTTGTTTTCTGTACAGATAATAATTTTGAAAAGGAAATATTTTCAACAATGTTGGAATACTTTGGAATTTTTTATCCTGGTTATTGGAATCATTGATATCTTTTGTGTATACTTTGTGAAATTGAGACCAGACAACTTGGCTCTTATACAGCTTACAGTAATAATGGGATATTTAAGAATAATTAGGTTTCTTCCTCTCTTCAAGGTAAGATTTCACATTTTAAAATATTAAGATTTGCCAGGAGTGGTAGCTCACACCTATAATCCCAGCACTTTGGGAGGCCTAGGTGGGTGGATTGCTTGAGTCCAGAAGTTTGAGACAACCTGGGTAACATAGCAAGACCCCATCACTACAAAAAATTAATAAATTAGCTGGGCATGATGGTGTGCACCTGTGGTCCCAGCTACTTGGGAGGCTGAGGTGGGAGGATCGCTTGAGCCCAGGAGGTGAGGCTGCAGTGAGCTGAGATTGTGCCATTGCACTCCAGTCAGACAGAGTGCAATGATGGCTCTGGTGACAGAGCCAGACTCTGTCTCAAAAAATAATAATAATAATAAAATAAAGTATTAAAATTCTTTTTTTACATTGTGTGTTAAGTGAGTAAGAAACCTCATTGTTTTGAAAGAAATGAGAGCAGGAGTTGTCTCTTCTGGAACACCCTCTCAATAGGTATCTGCATGGTTCCCTTTCTCGTCACCTTCAAGCCATTGCTCAAATCTCAGCTTGTCACAGAGGCCTCTCCTGACCAGCCTATGTCAACTGGCAACCCACCCTTCACACCCTCAATTTCTACCTCATCCTCCTGATTACCCTCTACCTGCTCAACTTTAATTTTTGCCCCACAGTACTTATCAGCAATTTACTGTATATTGTATGTACTCTCTGTGAGGTAGAGATCTTTGTTTTGGTCTTTCTTTTTACATTTTTTAATAGAAATGGGATCTCACTTTATTGTCCAGGCTGGTCTAAAGCTCCTGGGCTCCAGCAATCCTCCTGTTTCGGCCTCCCAAAGTGCTGGGATTACAGGCATGAACCACCATACTCGGCCTGTTTTGGTCATTGATGTAACCTCTGCCTCCAGAACAGTGCCTGGCGTATAGTAAGCACTTAATAAATATTTGTTGAGTGAAAGAATAAAAATCTTGGTGCCAGTAGAAGCAGGGTAACCCAAATACAAGTTCTTTAAGTTTCAGTAAAATTTGTTCATGTCTCCCAAACTGTACAGAAACAAAAATATTTCCTCCATAGCTCCACAGTCACATAGGATACTACCTATGGAATTTAATTTTACTGTGGCCTTCAATTTCCTTAACAATTACTATGCCTTCATTCCATGACTCTGGTTTTGATACTGAAGGCAGATTTTTATACTTTCAGTTTCAATTCTTAAACCTCCTTTCTCTCTTTCCAATGGAGTTGCATTACATAAGCTTTTAACTTCAGGGCTTTAAATGATTTCACTTGCCATGCCATGTTTGTTGTTGTTTAATTCTTATTACATCAAGCAAATCTATTATATTAGTATTTATTGAAGTTAGATACAGAGACTTAACATTAAAAAAATTGCTATAAACTCTGATGGTGAAATGCACATATTAGACTCCTCCACCTACTTCCCATTCTCCACAACATTTAATAGTTATCTTTAAGGCAGAATTGTTTGACTATCCAGTTTGTGCTTACAGATTTTCTTTTTTGTTCCTTCATTTATTCTACATTGGTGTGACCAAACTTTAGTGTTCATAAGAATTACCGTTCAGAGTTACTGTACCTGGTTTAAAGGGTAATTTTGATTCAATGTGCTTTTTGCCTTATGAGCTGAGTTTGGAGCAAAGTGCTCATGTAAGGTGTAACTCCACCGTCATGTAAACTGTCCTAGAAATCAGGATGTGTTGTGTGATGCAAAGACTTAAAATGGAAGGTAGGAGTTTCTTTAGGTAATCAGTATTTATACAGAAATCGTATGCAGGTAAATATAAAATAATTATTTTAGAAGTCATACTTCGTGAAAAGTATTTAAAATGAAACAAAGATTTAAAAGTGTATTATTGTGGAAACTGTCACGGGGAGTGACAGCTCTATGGGCTGGCGGCGCCGCAGTAAAAGAATTTACCAAGACAGTTGTAGATGAAGAAAGGCATATTTATTTATTAGAGACAGTAGAAAAATACATTGCCAGGGAAACAACAGGCAGCCTGCAAGAAAGAAGCCAACTGCAAAGAAGCAAAGGCTTGCTGGAGATTTTATAGGATAGTGTTTATGCTGTCTGTTGAAAAGGGCTTTGTGCTGTTAATGCCATGGTTGCAGTGAGCTAACTTGCAGGAGTCTGGTGGTAGTTGGGCACAAGATTTTGAGTTATTTGTGTAGGAGGGCAATGCGTCCTGGGCCATAAAGAAAGGCAGACTTGCAGCTTATCTGCTGCTTCTTTTTGCTTTCCCCTGATCCCACCAGCCTGACTCCTTTTGCCTAATTAGGGACTTTACAAAAACCAAATCCATTTAGAGTGTGGGCAGCAATGTTCTGAACTAGTCATCCCTTCTGTCTAGCATGCTCTGACAAATCTCAGTGAAGTATATTACCATGGTTTTTAATTGAACACTCACTATTTTCCAGGAACTGTTTAAAGCACTTTACATAAATTATCTGGTTTAATTAATAGGATAGCCTTGTGAGGTAGATTTCACCACTATGTAAAGTTAGGTGGCTCATAGCCATTGTCAGCATAATGTGGCTTTCAAAAAAAACAAATCTGCATTGGAAAACGTGAAAGAATACTGGCAATCTTTAGGTGCCCTAAAGGATAGCTCAAGGAGTGTCAGTGCACTGTAGAGTGTAACTTTGAAAAAATCCTCTTTAAACATCTCTCCCTTTGTCCAAAATTTCAAAGGCAAAATAGCAGCTTAAAAAAAAAATTCCCTTCTCTGCTCTTGGAATTCCTTCACTATGATGCCATCTCCCGGTTCACTTTTTTCTTCTCCCTTGTTACCCAGTCCCTCGCCATCTGCCCCTGTGCTCTGACATGACTTTAACCCTGTGGGAAGCCCCCTGTCTGTGTGAGTGACGATGTGGATTTTGAGGAGCCCCTCTATTGGAATTCTGGTATTTAGATATTATTTCCTCATTTTACACATGAGGAAACTGAGTCCTCAAAGTCACTAAATAACTTGCTCAAGGTCACAGAGCTGGTGAATAGGAGAGCTTGCATTTGAATTTAGAGAGGTGTATATTTAAAATCCCATTCTCTTAAGTCATGACACTAGCCTGCCTTAGCTTATGATTGGAGAAATATAAAACTAAGCAGGATCTTAGATACCCTAAGTTCTTTATTTTGCAAGTGAAGAAACTGAGGCACAGAGAGACGATTTGTTCAGTGAGTAACTATGACCCAGGTTAGGAGACCTGGTTAGGGGTTTTCTGAAATCTGGGGGTACAGAGAATGAGGGAAAAGGCAGTGCTAGAGACTTTCCCCTAAAGCAAGAGTCAGTTATTCACTAAGCTTCACCTTCTTTAGAGAATGGGTCTTGACTTTTGTAGGCACAGAATCACCTGGCAGACTTGCTAAGACATCGACTACTAGGCCCCACCCAAGAGTGTCTGATTCCACAGGTCTCCAGTGGGACCTGAGATTTTGCATTCCTAACAAGTTTGTGGGCTCTGCTGTTGCTGGTCTGGAGATGACACTTTATGAATTTCTGCCTCAGAGGGTGCTTTTCCTCATCAAATGTACAGGTTTTTTTTTCTTCTTCTCATTATTCCAGATAATAGTACCAATACTGATAAGAATTGCAGATGTGCAGATCAAAAAGCGCCTCAGCTTGATGTATAGTATTACAAAAGGCTATATCAAAAGTCAAGAAGATGCCAAACTTCTAATAAAACAAATAGCTGTCTGTGAATCAATATATCAGGTGAGAAACAAGCACTGGTCATTTGGGGAGAAAAACCCCTTAGGTGTATTAACTTCTTTTAAGACTAGTTCTATGTGTGTTTGACGAAACAGACAAATTCCAACAGTTGAAAGGGATTCAGTTGTTTATTATATCATATGAGGTGCTACAGAGAACAGTCTCTGATCATTACATTTCAGCTGTTATCATCAAACTCATTTATTATCTTCATGGCAGAAAACATATGATCTCTTTTCTGAGTGCAGAGTATAGAGAAGAGATCTAGTATGTCTCTGTAACACTCTCTAAAAGACAGGGCACTTGGAAAGGTGTATGCAGGAGTTGAGACTTGAAAAAGGCTTCAAAGAAAGGGTAAGTCTTAAGTGAAGAGGAAGAGAGGAAAAGAGAACAAAGATTTGATAGTGAAAAGTTGAAATCCTGGTACTGTGGGGTGGGTGAGTAGAAGTATTTATTTTTTATCATTTAAGACCCTCTTCATTTCCAGCCACTATGCTGTAAGTACTAGATGGGAGCCTAGAGGTGGAGTGAATCCTCTCCTAACCAGGCTCCCTCGCACCAGTCTGTCTATTACCAGTCACTCGCAAAAGAGTGGGGAAAGTGGAACGTGACTGCTCTCTCATTCTCATGCTTCTTTGGGCCTGATAATGTAGAGGAGACTCGCATTCTTTAGATAAAAAACTTCCTTATTTTTCACTCATAGCTGTCAACTCTGCTCTTTGCAGTGAGAATCTTTCAATTGATTTTCCAGGTTACAGATTTTTAAATTTCTAGTTGTGTTCTTTCTTCTGTTCAACCCATCTATTAAACTTTTTAATTTTTTTTGACAATTACTTTTTGATCTCCAAAAACTGTGGTTGCTTCCTTTTCATAACAACTGTTTGCTTTAAAAGAATTAACATAATATTATCTAGAATCTTCTTTTCATCTTAAAAGATATTTTGCTTCCTGTGTTAATTCTGCTTCCTTGGGGTTCACTCTCCTATTCATTGTGTTTGGTTTCTATATTTCATTCTGTTTTTGCCCCCAGTGTTTGGTGATTTTGGTTATATTTTCATACGTGTCAATGAGGGGCTAAGGTGAACAGTATCAACAGCTGAAAGGTGTTTTCTCAGCCCAAGTTACACTCTTGATTTTTAACTGGAGATGGATTTAAATCCTGATTACTACAATGATTATGTGTGGATACATAAAACCATGGATGGCCTAGAGGTTATGTCTTCTGGTTACGGTGCCTATTTTTTGTGGTGACGGTTACGTTACCTCAGTCAAGAGAGGCTCTTTACTTATTGAAATAAGAAGAGGAAAAGAGGCTGTGAAGATATCTACCTTTATTGGATTGAACATTAATGTGTAACAGAATTCTGTCCTGTTGCTTTACTTTGAAGAATGGAGAAGAAAATTAAAAGAACTACTCAAAGGCTGGATTGATCTGCATTAGAAAGAACACAGAGCTATTCATAGGAGAAAAGATTTCAGCAGAAGGAGGAAGAGAGAAGAAAAACAAGAGACAGTGGGGGGAGTTAAGAATGTGTTTTCAGGAGTTTGGGAGAAGATGCAGAGATCTGAGGGCAGTTGCCTTGACGTGTCACAGGTGAAGTGAATCCCCTGTGACATTTTGAAAGAAGCACCAGTAAAGATTTAAATGGCCTTTTGAGATGTGTTTAGATGTCTAACTGGTGTTTATTCTGAAACTGACTTGGTTCTGGAAATTGGCCTGTGGCAGCTCACCTTAAGAAAAATAAATGTATGCCCAGGCTTTCATGATTATGCTCTCTTTGTAGGCAGGAGTCAGGTCCCATGCGCTTTTGTGCAAAGGCGTTCTAGAGCAGTCTTACAGGGTTGCTGTAAGTCTAGTTTGGTGTGAAGGGGGCCTAGCTGCTTTCTTTGCACCTATGCAAGCAGGGCTGGGCTAGGATATGTTGGTGCCATGGACAGGCTAGTAATTTGGCACCTTCCCAATATTGATGCAATGTTATCGAGTAAGAAGAAATAATTTAATAAATATTACATACCTTATTCTTATATTCAAAATGAGGGATTCATTACATGCGATTTTTTTCTAAACCAAAACAAAGACAACAAAAAAACCCCACAAAAACTTAACTTTGCTTAAACTTTAGATAACAAACCAGGTGTTCCCTATAAAGAGCACTATGCCATGCATTATTTGGGGCAGAGTTTCAGACATCTGTACCTGACAACCCTAAAGAACTGTCAGTTGTGTGATTCCAGGACTGTTGGTGTAGCCAAGTGCAAACTCCCCAGTGACTCAAAGCTGGAGGGTAAGCTTTAAGAGGAAAAGTGCCTGGGACATAGTGGGCATCCAACAAATACCTGTTGTATGATTGATTGAACAGAGATTGGTTAGCCCTGGAGTGCAGTGATTTCTTCAGTTATCTAAGGAGTTATTTGTTAGAAATATGAACTAATCAATATCGTATTTTCTCATTTTTCCACTTCTTTTTGTGCTCCTGATAGGCTGGCTTCCCAACTAGCTGCTCACTTGGCTCACTGCCAAATGAGGCGCTATGAGAATTCTCCTTGGTGCACAGTGGAGTACATACTGATCTTTTCTGATAACTATTAGGCAAGGTAGTTATGCAAGCTACTGACTGTACTAGACTCATTGAGATTGACGTCTGAGCATGGGCAAAGCAGCAGAATTGACCCAGAGGGAAGAAATGAGCCAATAGCTTTTCTAAAACTAGGTGAAATGTCCTCTACCATACTTCCTTTTCTCTGAATTTAAAAGGAAAGCCAGGCTAGGTGTGGTGGCTTATGCCTGTAATCCCAGCACTTTGGGAGGCAGAAGTGAGTAGATCACCTGAGGTCAGGAGTTCAAGACCAGCCTAGCCAACATGGAGAAACCCCATCTCTACTAAAAATACAAAAATCAGCTGGGTGTGGTCGCTCACACTTGTATCCCAGCTACTTGGGAGGCTGAGGCACGAGAATAACTTGAACCCGGGAAGTGGAGGTTGCAGTGAGCTGAGATTGCACCACTGCACTCCAACCTCGGCAACAGAGCAAGACTCTGTCTCAAAAAATAAAAATAAAAGGAAAGCCAGAACTATACTTGGTATAATAAGTATGCTTCTCAGGAATATAAGAAGAAATGCATGTTTTTCTTAATTTCTTACAGAAACTATATGAATAATAAGAAATACATGTTTTTCTTAATTTTTTACAGAAACTATGTGAAATTTTGGAAACCAACAAACAGGATGCTGTCAAAGAATTAGGTAGGTAGTTGAAGTATCTGAGTTCTTAAAGTCATACCTTATTGTCCTATAATTTAATAAAAGAAGAACAATTCATGCTTTCATTTACTTGCTCATTCATTTATGCATTCAACAAGCATTTATTAAACACAGCTAATGGGCCAGGTATGGGAAAGCAAAGATGAGTAGATCCTGACCCTTAAACAGTGCAGAATCTTGTGGAGTGTATGAGCGTATCAATAGATAATTGAAAAAGTTAGCAGAGTCCTGTTAGTTGTTATGGGAGTGTACAGGAAAGAATGAGAGGAGTGTGGAAAGTGTATTAAGGTGGCAAGGTCAGAGTCCTCAAGGTTAGAAGAAAAAGACATGTGAAGGTTACCTTTGACAAAATGGTTTTGTTTCATTGTTTTGTTTTTTGCAAAGATACTCTGGAACATAGGGCTGCAACGAATGTCATTTCCTGAGTATCTACAGTCACTCCACTTTATTTGAAGCACAGAGCAGGAGCCCAGGGATTTTATGCCAAGTTTTTTTGGGTCAGCTTTTCTCATGGGGGGCTGTGGGCCAGGCTGTCAGTGTGTGCAAAAGCATCTGGTAGAGGGCCCAGCATATGGAAGGCCCTTAATAAATGGAAGTTATCAGAAAAGAAAATAAAGTAAAACCATTTCATATTCATGACCACATTGTAAGATGCCATATGGGGTTACACTTTCCAAATCAAAATGGAAAGAATGTGATCTAATGAATGAAAGTGTAAGTTTAGAGACAACAGATTAGAATATTTTGGCATTATCTCAGAAAACCCATGACCCATTGTTGCCATTTATATGTTGACAGATTTTTATTTCTGTGCTTTTAAAGATTAGGGGTTAGGACAGCTGCATTATATTATGTTTTAGATCAGTATGGAATATTACAAAGTTTTCTCAATTCACTACTCTAAAAGGCAGTGCTTGTTTCCATGTGGTTACTGCAACTGATGACTGAATGCTTATCATGGCAGGAACTGCTAACTCTTTATGTACATTATCTCATTTAATCCTTATAATTACTCTGTGAGGCAAATACTATTATTACAGAGGTTAATTTGCCTGAGGCCCTATGGCTAGTAAGTAGTGAGCCAGGTTTCTAGCCCAGGTGTATTTGACACTAAAACCTATGCTTTTGATCATTGCTACCTTTCACTTTAGTGGTCAATTCATTTAGTTAAAAAGAAAAGAGTGTGTACCTTCGATATGGCAAGCATTGTGTTCAATGTTGAATATGAAGATGAAACAGATGCAATTTTAACCTTGACTCACAGTCCAGTTCATGTCTTCTGAGGTTTACTGAAGGGGAAAGAATATGCTCCTTGATCTCAGAAAGACCCACCAGCCAAAGTCCAGGGGTACTTTCATTGTGTCATTTATTCGTCTAACCAACAAAAATTATACAATATGGAGGATGAGACAGAGAAGTAAAAATAGTAACATGATAATGTAATGAGTTCCATAATAGAGATATGGAGGAGATGCCATGGGGATAAGAGAGAGAGAGTGATTTTCTCTTAGCTGATGGGGGAAGCCAGTTTCCAATTTTCTCATCCATAAAATAGAGTTGAAAATAACTCTTTGCCTGCTGACCTCATGAGTTCTGCATGAAACTAGAATCAAAGAATATTGTGTAAATGCTTTGGAAATTATACAGTATTATACTAATATTAGTTATTGTGGTTATTGCATAGGCCACTTACTGAATTTTATTTTCTTTGCTGTAGTACTCATGGAGCATGAGGGTCGTGATGTTGTCATTGCTTTGAAGACTAAACAGGCAATCCGGAATGTGATTGCTAAAGCTCTAAAAAATCTCACCTTCCTTTGTTCAAGAGGCATTATTGATAAGCATGAAGTCATTGAGATAAATAAGGTAATTTTGCTTGATTCTGTCCGCATAACACCCCAGCCTTCATGGTTACTTTAGCAGTGTGTAATAAGGAGGGAGATTGAAAAAATTGTTTAACCACAGGTGTTAACTCTATAATCACCTTCAGCCTTTGATAATGCAAAGGACAACGAATGCCGATGCAATCCGGTACACTCCATTTGTCAAAACTACTTGATTGCAAGTAACAGAAACCAACTTGAACTAAGTTTAGTAAAGAAATGGTTGGGGGATTTATCAAAAGGACGCAGAGTACTTTATAGAACCCACAATAGCCAGGATATGTGACAAGGCCTAAGGAAGGGATTTGAACAGCGATGTAGAAAGCTTTCTAGATTCTCCATTTCCTATCAGGGTTGCCCTCTATGGCATCTTCCTTTGGCTTTCCCTATAGACTCACTAGATTTTTCTGCTTCTCCATCCACTGTGTCAATTGAATTATGAAGATGATAGGTTCAATCTGAGTTAATAAGTCAGTGAAAATAGTAATAAGGGGAGACTAGGGACAAAAATGGTTAGAGGAATTTAGATAGGATGAGACAAGCTGTGAGTCAACAATCAAGGTTAAACTTGCCTAACAGTAGTTTATTTAGATTTCCTTAGTTTTTCCCTAGTGTCCATTTTCTGTTACAGGATCTGATCCCCATTATTTTGATTATTTGTTTTTAGGTACTTCTTAAAAAATTAAAAGCACTAAATAACTTTCCAAAGGCAATCCCACCCCCAACTCCTGACATATACCTTCACAACATCATTTGGCTGGAAGGTAAAGATGTTCTCATTGACTTCTTCAAGGTAAAGATTCCGTTTTCTATTCTGGCTCAGGTTTGATGGTAATTATCCATTTTTTTCCACTCCCTAATGAAAGATTAACAGAAAAGCATATCACATACTGGCCAATTCAGGGAAAGCCAAAATGGAGGCCCAGGAAAGCCTAGAGGAAGACTAGATCTCTTTTTGAGCCTAAAGGGCAAAGATAGTTTTTCACAATGGCTTATCCGCTTATGAGTAGCTATATGTGTCTGACTATTACCAATCCCATTCTATTTTATGTTGTAGAGTTCTGGACTTCTTGATGTACACTCTGGGAGAGACATTTTTTAGAGCAAGGGTCTCAAATTTAAGTTACTGCACAGACCGGGCAGATAGTGTAAAAGTAAAGCCAATTGGGCATAGTGTAATAGGGAACAGTGAGAACTGAGGTGTATTCAAGTTCATGCTCTGTCAGCTGACGGTTGCCACAGGACTTTGAATTCTTTCAACAAATATCTATTGAATATCCTCTACATGCCAGAGACTGTTCTAGGTTTTGGGATATGGCAGTAAACAAAACAGATGAAGTCCCTACTTTCATTTTTTAATTTTTATTTTATTCTTTTTATTTATTTTTTTGAGATAGAGTCTCACTCTGCCGCCCAGGCTGGAGTGCAGTGGTGTGATCTCGGCTCACTGCAACCTCCGCCTCCCGGGTTCAAGTGATCCTCCTGCCTCAGCCTCCCAAGTAGCTGGGATTACAGGCCTGTGCCACCATGCCCAGCTAATTTTTGTATTTTCAGTAGAGACGGGGTTTCATCATGTTGGCCAGGCTGGTCTCGAACTCCTTACTTCAAGTGATCCACCCGCCTTGGCCTCCCAAAGTGCTGGGATTACAGGTGTGAGCCACTGTGCCTGGCAGAAGTCCCTGCTTTCAAAAGCTTTTAGTGTATGGATGGAGACAGACAATAAACACACCAAACACATAAATAAGTAGCCTATCAGATGGTTGTTAAGTGCTAGAGAAAAATAAGGGGAGAAAAGGTAACACAGAGCGGCCATGGAAGGCTGCTCTAATAAGGTGACATTTGAAGAGAGATGTGAAAGAAGTGAGGGAGCAAGCCAGCTAGTATCTTACAGAAGAGCACTCCAGGCAAAGGGAGTAGTGGGTGCAAGGAGGCCCCGAGGCCAAGTGTGCCTGGAGTGTTCCAGGAGCAGCACAGAGGTCCCTGGCAGGAGCAGAGCTGGAGAGAGCACATGAAGTCAGGGCAGTTGCAGAGGGCCCGAAGAACATCATGACTCTCAGGTGCCCTGGGCACTTCTGCCTTAGTGGGCCTCTTCCTCCATAAAAAAGTATTAAAAATTAGACTTTATGACTGTGTTAGTATCACAATGAATATATTAGTATTATCTATTAAAACATTTTTCTCTATCTAAAACTAATTTTCCTCCAGATTCTAAAAAACATTAAAACATTGTTTTAAGTGTCTAAAAGTATTGTAGATGCAGGCACTGCGCCTGCTGATGCCTAGTGGATGGCTCCACCCTGGTCTCCATCCCTCCCTGCCTGAGACATATACAATCTTTGCTATTACCCTAACTGCAGACGTTCAGTTTGCTTCTGGATTTTGCATATATGAATCTTCTGCCCTGGAGGTCTTCAACTCATGTTATCCGAGCTATCTGCTACTCCTCTTTCAAGTCTCAGCTTAGCTGTCCTGTCTGCTGTAAAGTCCTCACCGAACAACCAAGATAGGATCCTGTGGCTTTTCTGCATTTTTTTTTTTTTGAGATGGAGTCTCACTCTGTCGCCCAGGCTGGAATGCAGTGGCACGATCTCGGCTCACTGCAAGCTCCACCTCCCGGGTTCACGCCATTCTCCTGCCCAGCCTGTAGCTGGGACTACAGGCGCCCGCCACTACGCCCGGCTAATTTTTTGTATTGTTAGTAGAGACGGGGTTTCACCGTGTATTGTTAGTAGAGACGGGGTTTCACCGTGTTAGCCAGGATGGTCTCGATCTCCTGACCTCATGATCCGCCCATCTCGGCCTCCCCAGTGCTGGGATTACAGGCGTAAGCCACCGCGCCCGGCCTTTTCTGCATTTTTTTTTTTTTTTTTTTTTTTGCATAGCGCCCTGTCCCTGTCTTCTTTGTCATAATTATCCCATTGGATTGTAAATATCTACCCAACATAACTAAAACTTTTTTCTGAAGGCAGGGGAATTGTTTAGCTTACCATTATAACCCAAGCCTCAAACGGGCTGAAAAAAAGTTTTCATTCATAAATATGCATATTTATTCCATAGTTATATCAGTTACTATGCTAGGTACTAATCACAAAGTCAAAGTTTGTTTGCCTGTTCCTTTATTTCTAAAAGTTGATGTGGTATATTAGCACGTTACAGTTCAGTAATAAACCAAGAATATAATTAGTGTTTTTATGCTACTTGGAAACTATTTTAGCTTTAAAATCATATATATATATACACACACACACATATATAATAAAATCATATATATATATATATATATAGAAAATATTTAGAAAAGTAGACTAGGAAGCTTTTGTGTTGACTCTCTTTTTCTTTTCGTTTTTTTTTTTCCCACTCAGGAAAGAGCCAAACTTGCCTGTTTTGACTCTGGAGATACCATTTGTAAAGGAGGTGAAATGCCACAAGGAATCTACTTAATTATTTCAGGAATGGCAATTGTAAGGGACTATTGATTTTTTTTTTTTTTTTTACTTAAAATGTATTTTGAAACATGTAATTGTAGAATAAGAATAAATTTAGATACTGAAAAAGTTTAAATTTTTAATGTGATGAAACCATTTCTACTCTGAGCATGACAGCTGAGAGGTGAATATTCAACACCTGAAATGTGCTTCCCATTCTACAAAATGCTGTCATAGTCTTTACTTATTTCCAGCAATCCTGGGAGGAAGCAGGATTTTTCAGAATGTTCAGAGAAGGAAATCAATACTTGGCGTGGCTTAAATTACTCACCTAAAGGAAATAGAATGAGGATCAAAAATACAGCTTTTAATCTGTCTCATGGGAGGCTTTTGTTGACCAGAGAGAGAGACAGAGAGAGAGAGAGGGAGAGAGATTTCAGTAGAGTGATGGGGACAAGAATCCTTTGTATCTGCATAACAGTAGTTTAGTAGCTGGTTTCATGCGTGAGCCCCATTTTGTGAACCAAATAATTCCTAGATCCTGGATGATGGTCATAAAATGACAAATCCTTAATATGGCAAAAATAATACCATTGGCTTTCTGGTTTTGAAACGGGTATATTAGACCTTAAAATATCATGGAAATAAACTACCATAATAAATAGAATACTAACACAATATAACACTTATTTACTATCTGGCACTATTCTAAGCACTTTTCATTCATTCATTCACTCATTTATTCAACAAAATGTTTGCTTCATTACCACCATGTGGCAGGCACTGTTAATTCTAGGCATGGGATTGACAAAACAGACACAAATTCCTGCCTTCTTGGAGCCTAATTTCTAGTAGAGGGATAAAAGGAGATGGGACAATGAACAAAACAAGTAAGTTTACAGTATGTTACAGATGATGGAGGTATGAAGAGATTAGTTGTGATTTTTTAAAAGGTAGTCGAGAAAGGCAATATAAGCTGGGCATGATGGCTCACAGCTGTAATCCCACCACTTTGAGGGCTAGGTGGGTGGATCACGAGGCAGGAGTTTGAGACCAGCCTGGCCAACATGGCAAAACCCTGTCTCTACTAAAAATACACAAATTAGCCGGGCATGGTGGCATATGTCTATAATCCCAGCTACTCAGGAGGCTGAGACATGAGAATCCGAGATCCTGCCACTGCACTCCAGCCTGGGCGACAGTCTCTGTCACTCAGTCTGGAGTGCAGTGACACCATCTCAGCTCACTGCAAGGTCTGTCCGTCGGGTTCAAGTGATTCTCCTGCCTCAACCTCCCAAGTAGCTGGGATTACAGGATTACAGGCACGCACCACCACGCCCATCTAATTTTTGTGTTTTTAGTAGAGACGGGATTTCCCTAGGCTGGTGTTGAACTCCTGACTTCAAGTGATCCGCCCGCCTTGGCCTCCCAAAGTGCTGGGATTACAGGTGTGAGCCACCGAACCAGGCCAACAACCCTATTTTTTACATGAGAAAACTGATGAACAGAAAAAAAAAATTCACTTGGCCCCAACTACACATACTCAGAGGCCAAAGATTACTTTGAACCCATGTAGTCTGTCTCCAGTATCCATGTGCTTAGCCATTATACTATACTCCCATTAGAATTCTAGGACAAACACACTGCTGCCAGTATTTATGAAATACGGCAAGTCCGATACTTAAAAGCTGCAACTTGCTGTAACATGTTTCTTTGGGGATTTTCCTGCCATGACTGGACTAGCTAAACCTTCTTAAACTATAGTCCAATAATGTCTGGTCTGAAGAGGTTATATTAGTACTTTTTTGATACCATAACAAATTACCACAAATTTAGTGCTTAAATATATTATCTCATGGCTGTGTAGGTCAGAAATCCAATGGGTTCTGCTGATTTCACTGCTTGGGTCTCAAGAAGCTGAAATCTAGATGTCAGTAGTGCTATGTTACCTTCTGGAAGCTCTAAGGGCACAATCTGTTTCCAGGCTCTTTGAGGTTGTTGGCAGATCTAGTTATTCTTTACGGCTATTGAACAGAAGTCCTTGCTTCTTCAAGGCTGTCAGCTGGAGCCCACCTTGAGCTCCTAGAGCTTCTCTTTTGTCCTTGCATGCAGGTCCTCACATCTCAGAGCAAGCAAAGGCATATGGAATCCTTCACACATCTCTCTCTGATGGACTCCCTTCTACTTGCGAGGGCTCATGTGATTACAGTCCCCGCAATATTCCCGTCTGTTGTTTAATCAAATACTAATCTGGTACAGCTGTGAAGGGACTTTGTAGATCTTTTTAAGGTCAGCTGATTAGTAGCCTTAACTCCAAAAATCATCTTTTTAAGGTCAGCCAATTAGCAACCTTAATTCCACTACAAAGTCCCTTCACTGCAGTCCCTAGATTAGTATTTGGTTGAACAACAGACAGGAATCTTGGGGGGGCCTCCTTTAGAATGCTGCCTACCTCAAATGCCATCATCTTTTCTTTGTTTGCAAAAAGCAGAGGCATTCTTCATTGCTCAAAGATCCTTTGAATTGCATTCAAAATTACAGCCATTAAAAACAAATTCAAACTCTTCTGGAAGCATGAATGCCTTTAAAAGTCTGAATGCTAATTGCTGGGAGAGAATGACCTTTTGCTTCCTGTTTCCTGTGTCTTGAACAAGAACCTTCCTCTTTGATGTTTACAGCTAAACTTTCTGAAAAATTCTGTAATCTTTCTAATCCCAATTCTTTCAGCTTCCCCCTAAAATCTGATACCGCGGTTCTTTCTCCAGCTATGCCTACCAGTTATTTTCTTGAAGTAACTCAACCATCCTATGTTCATCCTAAAACCTTTTCCTGTTGATATTGCATGGTAATTTTTCTAAAGCATTTTAAAAAGAGACAAGGCTTTCATTAACATCATGGCTTGGTTTGGAGGCATATTAATTCATAATATCTGATTTATGTGCCCATGCAATCAAAAGTTATTTCCACCTGATGCATTAGCCCATTGCGGTAAGAATATCTAATGGACTCAATGAGTGATTGCATTAGTTGCATACTATAATTTCCAGTTTTGGTGGGTTTTTTTTTTTTTTCTTTGAGATGGAGTCTCACTTTGTCGCCCAGCTGGAGTGCAGTGGCACGATCTTGGCTCACTGCAACCTCTGCCTCCTGGGTTCAAATGATCCTCCTGCCTCAGTCTCCTGAGTAGCTGGGACTACAAGTATGCGTCACCATGCTCGACTAATTTTTGTATTTTTTTTTAGCAGAGACGGGGTTTCACCATGTTGGCCAGGCTGGTCCCGAACTCTTGATCTTGTGATCCGCCCGCCTTGGCCTCCCAAAGTGCTGGGATTACAGGCGTGAGCCACTGCGCCCAGCCCTGGTGGGATTTTTGTATAAGACAGGTATAAGTAGAAAGTTGTAAATAGGGGTCATCTGTAAAACTAAAGATTAGAAAAAAATCCTTGCCTTGGGGAGTTGAAATGTTAAAGAAATCATGATTTTTTTTTCTTAAGCCTAATTCTTCTTTCACACCTGACAGGAGATCTTTCCCTTCCATTGGAAAGTTGTAAGAAATAGTGGGAGCTCCTATGATTTGATCAAAGGGTTTTTCATTTTTTCTTTCCCTTTGCACACTTTTTTTCCCTTTGCAGTTGCATAGTTTATCTCCTACCTTTGGAATAGAGAGTAATCAAAGGTGTGATAGAGGGTCCAGAGACATGTTTACAGAGTTCTGTACTACTGGGGACATAATTGGAGAGCTAAGCTGTCTGCTTAAGCGTGAAATTGAATATACCGTCATCTGTGAAACTAGTTTACAGGTAGGAAAATGGTTCTGTCATGAGTTATTAATTATTCTTCAAGTAAATAAAAAATACCAGCATCTTTTCTTTTTTGGGGTTTTGACATCTTAGTCACCCAACCAGCTATTGGGAGGTAACATAGCTGAAAAGGCAGATTTAGTGTCTCACATCCCAGGCTCTGCCAAGCTCCACTGCATCCTGCCTAAGGGAGTAGTTATTTAACCTCCTTAAGTCTCAGTGTCCTTGTTTATGAAGTAGAGAGAATACCAACCTTTTGATGTTATGAGGATTAGGAAAACATCTACGTAAAATGCCTGACACATATAGGTGCTCAATAAATGGTCACCATTATGACAACAGTGTTTTTAAAGAATATTTATTTGTTTTTAAAACAACTCCATTAAAAAGTGGGCAAAATATATGAACAGATACTTTTCAAAAGAAGACATACATGTGGCCAATAAGCATATGAAAAAAAGCTCAACATAACTGATCAATAGAGAAATGCAAATCAAAACCACAATGAGATACCATCTCACACCAGTCAGAATGGCTGCTATTAAAAAGTCAAAAAGTAACAGGTGCTGGAGAGGTTGTGGAGAAAAAGGAACAATTACACACTGTTAGTGGGAGTATAAATTAATTCAACCATTGTGGAAGACAGTGTGACGTTTCCTCAAAGACCTAAAGACAGAAGTACCATTGACCCAGCAATCCCATTACTGGGTATATACCCAAAGGAATGTAAATCATTCTATTATAAAGACACATGCACATGTATGTTCACTGCAGCACTATTCACAACAGCAAAGACGTGGAATCAACCTAAATGCTCATCAATGATAGAGTGGATAAAGAAAACATGGTACATATATACCATAGAATACTATGTAGCCCTAAAAAAGAGTGAGATCATGTCTTTTGCAGGAACTATGGATGGAGCTGGAGGCCATTATCTTTAGTAAATTAATGCAGGAACAGAAAGCCAAATATCACATGTTCTCACATATAAGTGGGAGCTAAATGATGAGAACACACAGACACAGAGAGGGGAATAAAACACACTGGGGCCTATTGGAGGGTGGAGGGTGGAAGGAGGGAGAGAATCAGGAAAAATAACTACGGGTACTAGGCTTAATACATGGGTGATGAAATAATCTGTACAACAAACCCTCATGACACAAGTTTACCTATGTAACAAACCTGCATATGTACCACTGAACTTAAAACTTAAAAAAGGAATACTTGTTTGTTTTTAAACTTCCTTCTATGTTTCATTTGCTAAGTAAGAAGTTATCTATTCAACACCTAAGTGTCCTGACATTTCACTAGGTGTGGGGAATTCAAATAGAAATGAGCCAAAGACCAAGGGACAAAGTGGTTCGTTAAATGGGTCCTGCTCCCTGTGCCACCCAACTGGGTGATACCCTCCAATAGGGGTTATCAGACACCCTATACAGGAGCGTTCCTACTGGCATCAGTTCGGTGCCCCTCAAGGTCAGAGATCCCAGAGGAAGGAGCAGGCACCTATCTTTGCTGTTCTCCAGCCTCCTCGAGTGACATCTCCAGGTGTGGGAGCAAACCAGATGAATAGGGCCTGAAGCAAATCCCCAGCAAACTGCAGCAGCCCTGCAGAAGAAGGACCTGATCATTGCAAGAAAAACAGAAAGCAACAACAACAGCATCAACAACAACAAAAAAGTCCCCACAAAAACCCCATCTAAGGGTCAACAGCCTCAAAGATCAATATTAGACAAACTCATGAAGATGAGAAAGAATAAACGAAAAAACACTGAAAACTCAAAAGGCTAGAGTGCCTCTTCCCCTATACATGATCGCAATGCCTGTCCAGCAAAGGCACAGAACTGGATGGAGGACAAGATGGATGAATTGACAGAAGTAGGCTTTGGAAGGTGGGTAATAACAAACTCTGCTGAGCTAAAGGAGCATGTTCAAACCGAATCTAAAGAAGCTAAGAATCTTCATAAAAGGTTACAGGAGCTGCTAACTAGAATAACTAGTTTAGAAAGGAACATAGATGACCTGATGGAGCTGAAAAACACAGCATGAACGCTTCATGAAGCATGCACAAGGATCAATAGCTGAATCTATCAAGTGGAAGAAAGGATATCAGAGTCTGAAGACCATCTTGCTGAAATAAGGCATGCAGAGAAGATTAGAGAAAAAAAGAATGAAAAGGAACAAACAAAACCTCTGAGAAATATGGGACTATGTAAAAAGAACAAAGCTATGATTGATTGGAGTACCTAAAGAGGCAGGGAGAATGAAACCAAGTTGGAAAACACACTTCAGGATCAGGATGTTATCCAGGAGAACTTCCCTGACCTAGCAAGGCAGACCAACATTCAAATTCAGGAAATACAGAGAACACCACTAAGATACTCCATGAGAAGATCAACCCCAAGACACATAATCATCAGATTCTCCAAGGTTGAAATGAAGGAAAAAATGTTAAGGGCAGCCAGAGAGAAAGGCCAGGTCACCTACAAAAGGAAGCCCATCAGACTAACAGTGGACCTCTCCGCCGAAACCCTTCAAGCCAGAAAACAGTGGGGGCCAATATTCAACATTCTTAAAGAAAAGAATTTTCAGTCCAGACCTTCATATCCAGCTAAACTAAGCTCCATAAAAAAAGGAGAAATAAAATTCTTTCCAGACAAGCAAATGCTGAGGGATTTTGTCACCACCAGGCCTGCCTTGCAAGAGCTCCTGAAGGAAGCACTAAATATGGAAAGGAACAACTGGTACCAGCCACTGCAAAAACACTCCAAATATATAAAGACTAATGGCACTATGAAGAAACTGCATCAACTATTTTGCATAGTACGCAAAATAACCAGATAGCATCATGATGACAGGCTCAAATTCACACATAACAATATTAACCTTAAATGTAAATGGGCTAAATGCCCCAATTAAAAGACACAGACTGGCAAATTGGATAAAGAGTCAGGACTCACTGGTGTGCTACATTTAGGGGGCTCATCTCACATAGGCTCAAAATAAAGGGGTGGAGGAAAAATTACCAAGCAAATGGAAAACAAACAAAAAAAAAGCAGGGGTTGAAATACTAGTCTCTGACAAAACGGACTTTAATAAAGATCAAAAAAGACAAATAAGGGCATTACATAATGGTAAAGGGATCAATTCAACAAGAAGAGCTAGCTATCCTAAATATATATGCACCCAAGACAGGAGCACCCAGATTCATAAAGCAAATTCTTAGAGACTTACAAAGAGACTTGGACTCCCACACAATAATAGTGGGAGACTTTAACACCCCACTGTCAATATTAGATCAACAAGACAGAAAATTAACAAGCATATTCAGGACCTGAACTCAGCTCTGGATCAAGTGGAACTAATAGACATCTACAGAACTCTCCACCCTAAATCAACAGAATATACATTCTTCTCAGTGCCACATGGCACTTATTCTAAAATCAACCACAGAATTGGAAGTAAAACACTCCTTGGCAAATGCAAAAGAACTGAAATCATAACAAACTGTCTCTCAGACCACAGTGCAATCAAATTAGAACTCAGGGTTGAGAAACTCACTCAAAACCATGGAAATTGAACTACATGGAAATTGAACAATCTGCTCCTGAATAACTCCTGGGTAAATAATGAAATTGAGGCAGAAATCAAGAAGTTCTTTGAAACCAATGAGAACAAAGAGACAACATACCAGAATCTCTGGGACACAGCTAAAGCAGTGTTAAGAGGTAAATTTATAGCACTAAATGCCCACATCAGAAAGCTAGAAAGATCTCAAATCAACACCCTAACATCACAATTAAAAGAGCTAGAGAAGCAAGAGCAAACAAATCCAAAAGCTAGCGGAAGACAAGAAATAACTAATATCAGAGCAGAAATGAAGGAGACAGAGACACAAAAAACCCTTCAAAAAATGAATGAATCCGGGAGCTGATTTTTTTGAAAAAATTAACAAAATAGACCGCTAGCTAGACTAATGAAGAAAAGAGAGAGAAATCAAATGGATACAATAAAAAATGATAAAGGGGATATCACCACTGACCCCACAGAAATACAAACTACGATCAGAGAATAAACACCTCTATGTAAATAAACTAGAAAATCTAAAAGAAAAGGGTAAATTCTTGGACACATACACTCTCCCAAGACTAAACTAGGAAGAATTAAAATCCCTGAATAGACCAAAAATTAGTTCTGAAATTGAAGCAGTAATTAATAGCCTGCCAACCAAAAAAAGCCCAGGACCAGATAGATTCACAGCCGAATTCCACCAGAGATACAAAGAGAAGCTGGTACCATTCCTTCTGAAACTACTCCAAAGAGTTGAAAAGGTGGGACACCTCCCTAACTCATTTTATGAGGCCAGCATCATCCTGATACCAAAACCTGGCAGAGGCACAACAACAACAACAACAACAAAAAGAAAACTTCAGGTCAATATCTCTGATGAACATCAATGTGAAAATCCTTAATAAAATGCTGGCAAACCAAATCCAGCAGCACATCAAAAAAGCTTATCCACCACAATCAAGTCGGCTTCATCCCTGGCATGTAAGACTGGTTCAACATATGCAAATCAATAAACATAATCCATCAGATAAACAGAACCAATGACAAAACCACATGATTATCTCAACAGATGCAGAAAAGGCCTTCAATAAAATTCAAATCCCTTCATGTTAAAAACTCTCAATAAAGTAGGTATTGATGGAACATATCTCAAAATAATAAGAACTATTTATGACAAACCCACAGCCAATATCATACTGAATGGCAAAAGCTGGAAGCATTTCCTTTGGAACCTGGCACAAGACGAGGATACCCTCTCTCACCACTTCTATTCAACATAGTATTAGAAGTTCTGGCTAGGGCAATCAGGAAAGATAAAGAAATAAAGGTATTCAAATGGGAAGAGAGGAAATCAAATTGTCTCTGTTTGCAGCTGACATGATTCTATATTTAGAAAACCCCATTGTCTCAGTCCACAAACTCCTTAAGCTGATAAGCAAGTTCAGCAAAGTCTCAGGATACAAAATCAACATGCAAAAATCACAAGCATTGCTATGCACCAACAACAGACAAGCAGAGAGCCAAATCATGAATGAACTCCAATACACAATTGCTACAAAGAGAATAAAATACCTAGGAACACAGCTAACAAGGGATGTGAAGGACCTTTTCAAGGAGAACTACAAGCCACTCCTCAAGGAAATAAGAGGGGACACAAACAAATGGAAAAACATTCCATGCTTATGGATAGGAAGAATCAATAGTGTGAAAATGACCATACTGCCCAAAGTTATTTATAGATTCAATGCTATTTCCATCAAACTACCATTGACATTCTTCACAGAATTAGAAAAAACTATTTTAAATTTCATATGGAACCAAAAAAGAGCCCACATAGACAAGACAATCGTAAGCAAAAAGAACAAAGCTGGAGGCATCACGCTAGCTGACTTCAAACTATACCACAAGGCTACAGTAACCAAAATAGCATGGTACTGGTACCAAAACAGACATATGGACCAATGGAACAGAACAGAGGCCTCAGAAATAACCCTACACATATACAACTACCTCATCTTCGACAAACCTGATAAAAACAAGCAATGGGGAAAGGATCTCCTATTCAGTAAATGGTGTTGGGAAAACTGGTGAGCCATATGCAGAAAACCAAAACTGGACCCCTTCCTTACACCTTATACGTAAATTAACTCAAGATGGATTAAAGACTTACATGTAAAACCCAAAATCATAAAAACCCTAGAAGAAAACCTAGGCAATACCACCCAGGACATAGGCATGGGCAAAGACTTCATGACAAAAATGCCAAAGGCAATTGCAACAAAAGCCTAAATTGACAAATGAGATCTAATTAAAGAGCTTCTGCACAGCAAAAGAAACTATCATTAGAGTGAACAGGCAGCCTACAGAATGGGAGAAAGTTATTGCAATCTACCCATCTGACAAAGGTCTAATATCCGGAATCTACAAGGAACTTAAACAAATTTACAAGAAAAACCCCATCAAAAAGTGGGCAAAGGATATGAACAGACACCTTTCAAAAGAAGACAATTTACGTAGCCAACAAACATATGAAAAAAAGCTCAACATCACTGATTAGAAAAATGCAAATCAAAACCGCAATGAAATACCATCTCACACCAGTCAGAATGGCAATTATTAAAAAGTCAGGAAATGGGCCAGGCACGGTGGCTCATGCCTGTAATCCCAGCACTTTGGGAGGCTGAGGCAGGGGGATCATGAGGTCAAGAGATTAAGACCATCCTGGCCAACATGGGGAAACCCCATCCCTACTAAAAATACAAAAACTAGCTGGGCATGGTGGCGCACTTATAGTCCCAGCTACTCGGGTGGCTGAGGCAGGAGAATTGCTTGAACCCAGGAGGTGGAGGTTGCAGTGAGCCGAGATGCACCACTGCACTCCAGCTTAGTGAGAGAGTGAGACTCTGTCTCAAAAAAAAAAAAAAAAAAAAAAAAGGAAAAGAAAGGAAAAAAAATCCAGGAAACAATAGATGCTTGTGAGGCTGTGGAGAACTAAGAACACTTTCACACTGTTGGTGGGAATGTAAATTAGTTCAACCATTGTGGAAGACAGTGTGATGATTCCTCAAGGACCTAGAACCAGAAATACCATTTGACCCAGCAATCCCATTACTGGGTAAATACCCAAAGGAATATAAATCATTCTACTATAAAGACACATGCACATGTATGTTTATTGCCACACTATTCACAAGAGCAAAGACATGGAACCAACTTAAATGCCCATCAATGATAGACTGGATAAAGAAAATGTGGTACATACACACCATGGAATACTGTGCAGCCATAAAAAGGAATGAGAACATGTCCTTTGCAGGGACATAGATGAAATTGGAAGCCGCCATCCTCAGCAAACTTACACAGGAACAGAAAACCAAACACTGCATGTTCTCACTCATAAGTGGGAGTTGAACAATGAGAACACATGGACACAGGGAGGGGAACATCACACACCAGGGCCGTTTGGGGATTGAGGGGGTGAGAGGAATGAGAGCATTAGAATAAATAGCTAATGCATGGGGGGCTTAAAACTTAGATGACATGTTGATAGGTACAGCAAACCACCATGGCACACGTAGACCTAAGTAACAAACCTACGCATTCTGTACTTGTATCCTGGAACTTAAAGTACAATGAAATAATTAAACAAAAAAAGAAATGAGCCAAAGAATTCTCAATCTTTGGAGACTATATGATGCAAAAGAGCAGGATCCAGAGTCTTAGGGGTGTGTGGAGTGGAAGGAAATGTTGTTTTAGCTATTTCATGTCATTTCATTTTTGGAAGAGGAGAGAAGGCATGAGTTTAGTCATAAGGCTGAATTGAATTCACTGAAGTTCGTGTAACTTGAATCTGAAAGTGTATCTTTTTTATTCAGCTAAACTATTTGCCTCTGGAAACAAATACTGTGAATGAGCTCATGTTATCTACCATGACAATAAAAATAGATAAGTTCATATGGCTTAGTTCCTGAATCCTGGACTTTGGGCTCATGAGCCATATCCTTCATTATATCTATTGACTGATATACATTTTTCTGGTCTCTTATTAAAGTCTATAGCTTTAATCACACCATACATTTTATCATCTTATACTTAGCAAACAACCATTTTCACAATACAAATGCTTCTAAATGACAAGAGTATCATAATTATGCTAGAATTGATAGTTTTTCTGAAGGTTAAATCTGCAGGCATCTTGTTTTTTGATGGTCTTGTAATTTAGTTCCACATCAAGCTGCTATGGCCTGGTTCCTTTTTGTTTCAGGCCTGCTTTATCTCCCTGGAGGATTTATATGAAGGCTTTGATGCCTTCTGGCCATCTCTGGAATATAAAATATGGCTAAAGCTTGCTCTCAGTACTGCCTATCAGTATTTTGAATCAAGTCTTATTGATGAGGTAAGTTATGTGATTAAAATATTAATAAATTGAATTTTTATGCATTGTATTTTTTACAAAATGCATTTCATATTTTTGAGACAAAAATAGAAAGGAAATTTGTGTTTGATTTTTTTTTTTTTTGAGACAGAGGCTCACTCTGTTGCCCAGGCTGGAGTGCAATGGTGCAGTCTCAGCTCACTACAACCTCTGTCTCCCAGGTTGAAGCAATTCTCCTGCCTCAGCCTCCCAAGTAACTGGGATTATAGGCGCCTGCCCCCACCTCTGGCTAATTTTTTTTATTATTAGTAGAGACAGGATTTCACCATGTTGGCCAGGCTGGTGTTGAACTCCTGACCTCAAGTGATCTACTCACCTCGGCCTCCCAAAGTGCTGGGATTATAGGCGTGAGCCACTGTGCCTGGCCCTGTGTCTGCTTTTCTAAAATGAGATTGCTAGAATTTTAACTGCTCTCTTATCCTGAGTTCCTACAGGTTGTCAATCCTTTTGTCACAGCTAATTTTCCCAAGCTACTTGCAATCATTTCTAAAAAAAAAAAGAAGGTAGATTTAGCAAATTCAAAATAGGTAGATCCCCCCCTGAACCAAGCATAGTGTTAATCAGAATGTGTTAACAAACGCTCTGTCTGTATTTATTATTGCCTACTCTGCCGATGTTAATATAAGTCTGTAAATCTCCTGCCTTTTCAAAATCTTTGTGGAGGTGACTGAGCCTCTCTCATGGACTTCCCCTCCAAAGAGTAGTGGTTCAAGTTTTCTCTGGACAAGCACAATTTACAATCTCACATTTGTATCCTATTTAGTAACTATTGGAACCCTTACTAGCTAGTGAGTCAGGAACTGGGGAAGTGAACTGGGAAAGATTGGAAGTTCAGTAATATTCACTGAACTGAGCGACTGGGTATAAATAAATATTGGGTTAAAAAATGAGTGTGTCATACAAGCCAGTCAGGTTTCTTTTACTTTATTGCAATAATAACTTTCAGAAAAATTTTAGCAGAGGGATAAGGGGATTGGAATTCTTCTCTTTTCCTTTTACCTTGCATCTTCATGAGAAGTGGGACAAATTTAGAGTCTAGTATGAAACTTCAGGGGTGAGAATTAGGACCAATGGGTAGAAACTGTATGGACTCAGACTTGACTCAATAATAAGATGAATGTCCTTTAAATTTTTTTAAATTCACAAGCAACACATATTCATTATATAAATGAGAAAGTACAGATATAAAACATTAAAAAAATTGTATTTATTATTAAATAGAGAATCTCTATTTAATACTTAGTTTCTTTCTTTTTTTTTCCATTAAAGAACTAGCCAATTAAGATTTTTTTCCCTCTAAATCACAGAACTCAAAATGTATATGCATTTTAAAATCAAACCAAAACAGCTGATTTTTTTTTAGATTTTCTGGTTGTGAAATACTAGATACATTTGCTAATTTTTAAATGTTTTTGGTTCCCAGTTGTGCTGGTGCCCTCAGCAAATAAATGTATGATTCACCTGTCAGTGACTGAGATTCAGGGACTGGCTCATGTAGCTGTGCCCTGAATGGGGGTGGAGATGTTTAGACTGAGCTGACAGCCCTGTCAGGGCCCTGTGCAGGAGATGCCTACTGTTGGGCTGATCTCTAAATTCCTGGGTTAGTTTGCAAGCACGGCTGTAACAAAGTACCACAAACTGGGTGGCGTAAAAAAACCAGAAATGCATCGTTTCACAGTTCTGGAGGCTAGAAATTAGAAATCAAGGTGTTGGGAGGATTGGCTCCTACTGAGGGGCTGTGAGGGAGAATCTGGGCCAGGCCTCCCTCCTTGGCTTATAAATGGCTGCCTTTATATTCACGTGGCGTTCTCCCTGTGTGCAAGTCTGCGTCCAAGTTTCCCCTTTTTATAAGGACACTAGTTGTTCAAATTAGAGGCCCAACCTATTCCAGTATGACTTCATCTTAACTAATTGCATCTGCAATGACCCATTTCAATAAGGTCACATTCCAGGATACTGGGAGTTAGGACTTCAGCATAAGAATTGGGTGGGAGGTGGTGTGTGTGTGTGTGTGTGTGTGCACAATTCAACCCATAATAACTCCCTCCCAGTTCTAAAGTCTATGACTCTGAGCCTTGAAGTATAGCTCAGACTCTAGCTTGCTTTGTTTTGGCTTTGTGTTATTCCTATTCACCTGTCAAGTGGAACATAAGCTTACTTGTAAGTGAAACTCTGAATCTTTTAAGACTCTGAGTCTTGTGCAAATAGAAATCTCCTGAGTCATAGCCAACTACCCTGCTGTGGCTGAGAGCTCACAATTTAGGGCTGGGCAACAGTATCCAGGGCCCATTAACAGCATAAACATTTGGAATTTAGAAATTTGTCAGAGGCCATTCTGAATGCTAAATAAATCCTGTCTGTTGGTGCCAGGGGCTGTGTACCTTCTGACACCCTCAAATAATTCAGATAGATCAGTAAATCTGTTTTCTTCTTGATACCATCTGTCAGTTTGTATGACTTATTTTCTAAAATGCAATTTTATTATAGGACTTAAGGTTTCAGAACTGTGTGATGTTCAATCAAGCATATGTGGAAACTTTATCAAGCTATAGTGACATGATTATTGATAATATGACCATGAAATTTGTTATCATTGTGTATGGCAGTGTAATTGATACTAAGACAGAGGAACCATATTTTGCACCTTGCATTATACCTACAACCTGTGAGCAGGTAAGAAATATCATTTCTAAAGAGTCTCTTGCTCTTCACGGTGCTCCAAAAGTGACTTTAAAACTCAACTGATCACCTTAAAAAGAAATTTAACCTGGAATGACCCTGTAGTTCTTACTTGCCTTTTACAAACAGTAAAAATGTACCTAGGGCTTCTGTGTACTGTAATACAGGTGCCCTACACAAGGGTGTGCCCAAGGGACAGGGAGCTGAAATCTGCCTGCTGTTTGCTTGCCACGCCCTTTGCCCTGGCGTGGGGCTGTGCCAAAGGAAGGATGAGATGCTGTAAGTTTTCCCTAGTTTACGCCAAGGCAACGATGCCGTGTTCTAGCATAGCTCTGGAAGTATCTGCACTGGTTGACAAAAAAGGAGTAGAGTAGGGGCCACATCACTTTGTTGACACATTAGGGGCTATGGGCACTTGATAGTAGATCCTGGGCCCTGGGCCTCAGCATTCCATACCTCTGTAAAGACAAAGGAAGTGTGACCACCTAGGACATAAGAGGGCATGGGAAGGATAGAAGCAAAGTCCCTAATGGCCCAAGCTGCCTGCCACTGGGCAAAGGAATGGGGAGGACCCAGAGGCCATGGGAAGAGCTGACTGACATCTCTTTAAATCTGGCAGTAAGTTTCTACCTTATGGGAGAGACCTTTTCTCCCAGTTCAGGCTGTGAAAAGTCATTATGAAAATTTGTCCTGGAAAAGTTGGTAAACCTAAAAAATGAATTTTCTTCTTTCAAAACATTCTTATTTTGTACCTTTCATCAATTCAGATGATGAAGGTAATTTACATGTTTTTAATAGAAAATTAAAATCTTGTTTAGCTTTGAAACAAAGGATGGAGGCAAGAAGCAAGGAAGCAACAGGAGTAATACTGCAGCTTAGTTTCTTAAGAGACCAGGGTTTGGAGTCAGGCACACTTAGGCTTAAAACTTGATCCCTGTGCCTACTTGTACTTGAGCTTAGGTAAGTTGCTTAACCTTTCTGACCCTCAATTTCCTTCATGGTAAGATAGGGATAAGGTCAGCAGCCATCTTATCGGGTTATTGGGAGGATTAAATGAGATAATATGTGGTAATCTAAAAATGATAGTTATAATGATTACTTGTTTGATGCTGGCATTCTGGGAGGCAGATTTTATGGCACATGGGACAAATGGTCTAAGAAAGGAAGACAGTCTTGCCATCCTGGGAATGCTGAGCCTTGAGCCCTTGAGCATCAGTGTAGGAGTAAAAGTAGCTTACTGGATGCTGGGGATTCCCTGCTTTCCAAACTGGGAATTTCCAGCCTAGTTATGAGTAAGGTGTAGAAATTTCCTCTCTGGTGTCTAAATATGCAAGGACAATTTGTTGGTCTAAGACTTCTCAACATCAAAGAGGATTTGAAATTTAGAATATAGAGCCAAGATTGAAGACCCAGCTTTAGGCTTTGGCTTATTTTTTATACTCTTTGGAAAGATTAGGAAGCAGCCAGGTTAGAGATCAAAGAATGCTCTTTTGACTAATTTTGACTTTTCTCCTCTAGGTTCAGGGAACTTCTGATTTAAGCAAGCTGCTGATAATCCAAGCATCTGAGCTTACCCAAAGAAATAGTAACACCAATGTCATGGGTAAGGGGTAGACCTTTAGTGGTAGGAAAACTATTGAGAAGGAACTTCAATACATGTAAAATTCCTTTAACTCTAAGAAAGTGATTTGAGAGGGCACTATGTGGGTTTATCATTAGTCCCCATCCTTGGGCCCACCCTGGCTGCCACATTGCCCTGGGAGGTCACATATGAGAGACTTCCAGACCCTAAAATCCAGGTGGCTCCTTCCTCTGCCATGTCCCTCCCTCCATACACTAGTCAGGGGAGAGCAGCTTCTGCAATGCACTCTGTTGCTGCCCTGGTAGGCTGCAGCCACATGGTGCTGGCAGTGCAAGAATGGGGAGGGAACAGACTCTTTCACAGGAGCCCAGGTATGGGGAACTGGTTTGCTCCCAGCAACTGAAGGGAATAGGAAACCTTACCCATAGTCAGTGAGTATTCCATGGTCACAGCTACAAGTCAAATGACTTGCCTTGAGTATGCCTTGATAGTCACTGAGTAGCTATAGTTACATTTATTAGCATCCAACTGCATGCATCATGGTGCTAAGCATTATACAGAGAAGACTTGATAGGAAGAGCTTGCTCTAGAAAAAACACACACAAGATCTTCCATCTTGTGCTCAGCATCCCTGCCCTCCCAAGCCCAATGACAAAATTCTCCCAGCTGCCCCAGCTTGAGGACACACTCTAGCTTTGTAACTCTAACTTGCACCATCCCAGTGTTTACAATTCATGTGATCCATCAGTTTAGCTATTATGCAATTCTTAATGGATTGTTGCTTTGGGGGGAGGATTTGCACGATTTCAAATTGTGTGCGAAGAGTGACGTTTTCTCAGTCTTATATCTCACTGTTTCTCAATTGCTTGCTTTTTATAAAATGCAGCCCCGCTGTGTGCTGGGTACTGTGCCAAGTGCCAATTGGTGAGTGAGCCAGATAAGGTGTTTGCCTTCATAGGGAGGAGAGACAGATATTCAATAAGTAATTAAGCTTTTCCCTTGGCAGCAATTTGAACCTCAGAGGTTCCTGTGGCTCACCCTCTTCTAGGGTCATATGCAGCACTGTGATTTAGGGAGCCCCCTCTGCTCCTGGGTCACCTTTCCAAGTTGGCTAGCACTGAGATGACCATTTCCCCAGCTCACAGTCTCTGAAGGTCTGCCGCTCTGCTGCTTTCAAATCACTCTTGGGGCACAGGAGTCTATGGCAAGGCTGGGAACTCAGGGTCTAGCGTCAGCCCCCTTGGGGCACCCTAAGAAGGGCTATTGAGTCAGAGATCTTAAGCACTGTCAGGGAGCAGGGCACAGGTCCCTAGTGTTCTTGTGCCCACAGGCCCCTTTTCTTGATGAGTTTCTCTGTAATCATTTTTAGATAGAGGGAAACACATCACTTTGTATTCCTCATGGGTTTCAGACAAAAGTCACAAATGGTAGGCACGTGGACTGGATCTTTGACTCTTAATTTGTTTAAGAGTCACTTGTTTTCTTTTAAAATTTTAAAATTAGTTGCCAAGTAGAAACAAATGTTTTGCATTTTAAAAATGCAGATTTTGAAGTTTTCATGAAAAAATAAGGTCTGCCAGCACTCAGCCCTCATTCCTGTATGTGGCAATAGATAGGGCTGAGTATCATTTGGCTTCTATAGAGGGAGCAGATGCTCTGCAGCTTGCCACAGTCCACACTGCTCACTCTCGCCTTTACCCCGCCCACTTCAACTGTTTACGTGATCTGCCTATTCTCATATGAGTTTGTCAGCCCTTGTATTGGACTTTAGGGAGCCTACTACGAACCTCTGAGGGAAGAAAAACAGGGACATTTGAGAGGGGGAAGGGAAAAGGGAAACTTATAGGGAGAAAGCAAATAGATATTTCAAAATATTTTCTGGTTGCCTTTACTCTTAAATTCCTAATTTACTTTTTCTGTTCAATGCTTGGATTTGGTTAGCCTCAGTCAACACGGTCTTTGAACAACCAGGAAAGAATATAAATGGAAGACAAAAGATGAGGTAATAAACTTGACACTTTGATTAGAATTTTTTCTTATTGCAAATATTGAACTATACAGCTAAAATAAATTGAGGCAAAATAGCAAATTGTAGGTGGTGAGAAAAGACACTCCTAGCTACAACTCATTAATTTGGACAAATTAGAATAAACCCCATTTAAATTACTTAAAAATTAAAATTACAGAGTATTTTTGAAAGATGTAATTTTGCCCCACCCCATTTTTACCCCCCTCACTGATATTTAGGTCAAAGAGTAGGGATCTATGGAATTTGGGGTGAGGAGGGACATACATCATGCACACGTGTAGACACTAGGGTCTAAATATCCATGCTCTGCCTCTGGAGTGTGGATTCCTGGATGTACAGATTGCTATGCTTGCAGTTTGTGGAGTCACAGGCTGATCACACGCATCTTCCTAGAGTACCAGTTTTACTTGAGGATCCTTTAAAGAAAAAGGTTAACTCATTTAACTGGTAGGTTATTTGAAACATTTTATATTAAAAAACATATTATCGAGTAGGATGACAAATTTGCATGAATTTTTAAGATAAAACAAGAGACTTCAAGACATTTTGTTGTGGAGAGTCATGTAGATGTTTGCCCCTACATCTTTTCCTTCTTTCCTCAGTAACCAGGACAAATTTAGAGAAGTTTGAGAAGGCTGGAAGTCACGCCTAGAGTTGAAAAGGAATATGGGCCTGTCTTATTGGACCAGGACAGAATAGAGACAATTTTGGTGGTGGTGGGGCAGCCTGCAGGGCTCATGACTGTAGAGGTCTCTATTAGGGCTCCTGTTTGGGCCAGAGCAGACTGCTGGGTGGACTGGAGGAGCAGATGGCTCTGACAGGTTAATAGGGTGCTAGACAAATGCAGAAGTGGGCCAGGTAGCAGTGATGGTGCTAAGCACAGGCTTCAAGGACCTTTAGCCTTTTCCCAGCCAGGTGCCAAGTCATCCCAAATAAACAGCTTTTTTTTTTTTTTTTTTTTTTTTTGAGATGGAATCTCACTCTGTCACATGGGCTGGAGTACATTGGCACAACCTTGACTCACTGCAACCTTTGCTTCCTGGATTCAAGCGATTCTCCTGCCACAGCCTCTGGAGTAGCTGGGACTACAGGCACATGCCACCATGCCTGGCTACTTTTTTGTATTTTTAGTAGTGACAGGGTTTCACCATGTTAGCCAGGATGGTCTCGATCTCCTGACCTTATGATCTGCCTGCCTTGGCCTCCCAAAGTGCTGGGATTACAGGCGTGAGCCACCGCGCCCAGCCATAAACAGCAAGAGAAGTCCCTTGGCCCACATTATCCCCAACTAGACAGCCACCCTAAGACTCTTCTAATAGCAATGTTGGTCCTGCCACTGTTATTTATGATAATCAAGGTAGTCTGCAGAATATTTGTTGGGGAAAGGAAAGTTGCATTGACCAAATTTATGGTCAATAGTTCCTTTAAACCAGGTAACTTGGTTCTTTTTAGGCAGCCCTCCTAGGGCCTTCCTCTCCTCTCTCTTAAAGGGACCTTATTTCACAAAGAGGAATTAAGAGTCAAATAATTGGTCTGGCGTGGTGGCTCACACCACCAAAAATTAGCTGGGCGTGGTGGTGGGCGCCTGTAGTTCCAGCTACTCAGGAGGCTGAGGCAGGAGAATGGCATGAACCTGGGAGGCGGAGGTTGCAGTGAGCCGAGACCATGCCACTGCACTCCAGCCTGGGCAACAGAGTGAGACTCTGTCTCAAAAAAAAAAAAAAAAAAAAAAAGAGTCAAATAATTGAGTTCCTCATTTGTTACTATCTTGTCTCAGCCCCCATTACTTAAAAAGATTCCCATTCCGATTTACAAAAAAAGTTTCCAATAGCCCTGCAATCAGTCATAAAGTTAATTGGAATTCAACTTCTGTAACATTTCTCTTCTTCTTAAACCCACCTTTGATAGACTACTCTCATGGAATTAATGTAGTATCTCTTCACAAGATGACAGCGTAGAGATGCACATGTAATTAATTATATGCATCACTCAAAACTCTTCATATGAAGATCTTTTAGGAGGAATGTTTCAGATAATAAAATAGAAATGCCTACATAAGTTTTCTGGTTCCATTTAATAGGTAAGAAGTTTTTCCTGAAATGTTTATAGGCTAATATTTAACTTTTGACTTTCTTTTATAGTTGAAAACTGGATACCATTTTAGAAAAGGGTATTAATGATACAAATATGATGTGTGGAGTCAGGTTAAAGACCAAACTACTTTCCTCGCTCAAATACTAAAGGATTATCTGCAAGGAGTTTACTTAGAAGCTACTGAAACAGGTTACTGCTGCATTTAGTTTATAAGCAATGGATGGACTTCTGTAAAACTTCTTAATTTTAAGTAGTTGCATTATATTTGGGATGTTAAAAAAGTCTTCAGGATAATATAAAATACACTGAAACATATGTCCTACCAAATGAAACCCTGTTTCCAGCTAAGAGCAAATTTTAACATAGTGCATTATAAAAAGTGTTGTATAACTGATATGTTACTCTCTAAAGCATAGAACCTGTAATTTTCATTTGTGAAATTGTTATAATTAGTGCCTCCCTAATATTTTCCCGAGTATAGCTATTCTCCCCTTCCCAGTTTGGTAAATATTGAAAAACAGAATTATATTCCACAATCTTAGTAACTTTCAGTAAGTAAGTAACTTTTGCTTTCAGTGAAATTTAGGAGAAATTAATATTCTCATATTGCATAGTACTGTTTGATGTCACCTTTCATTTTATTTTTAAAAATCAAATAAAGTTGAGTTTTATGGTTGTCTATTTATTATTAGAACCCATTATTCCTTTTCATCTCAACAAGACTGAAAGGAATACATAATACTTTAGAAGAAAACCATAATAGTGTTATAGGAAAGGGGTCAGATCCAGACCCCAAAAGAGGGTTCTTGGATCTCGTCCAAGAAAGAATTCAAGGTGAGTCCCAGTGCAAAGTGAAAGTAAGTTTATTAAGAAAGTAAAGGAATAAAAGAATGGCTACTCCATAGACAGAGCAGCCCCAAGGGCTGCTGGTTGCCTATTTTTATGGTTATTTCTTGATGATATACTAAACAAGGGGTGGATTATTAATGCCTCTCCTTTTTAGACCATATAGGGTAACCTCCTGACGTTGCCATGGCATTTGTAAACTGTCATGGTGCTGATGGGAGTGTAGCAGTGAGGACGACCAGAGGTCAGTCTTGTCACCATTTTGGTTTTGGCTGGCTCCTTTACTGCAACCTGTTTTATCAGCAAGGTCATTATGACCTGTATTTTGTGCTGACTTCATGACTTAGATTGCTTTATCCGTCTGGGAATGCAGCCCAGTAACTTTCAGCCTCATTTTACCCAGCTCTTATTTAAGATGGAGATGCTCTGGTTCACATGTCTCTGACATTTCCCTCTCCCTTTTATGAAAGAATCCTTAATCCTGAGGGTTGCAGAGGGATGACGATCCATCTTCTGTAGCTTTTTCAGGTTGAATGGGGTGATGATATTCTTGCCTAACTATGAGGGTCTCTTGCATTCAGGGTAGAGAGGAGCTTAGTAAGAAAGCATCAGTATAGTAAGGTCCATTCATAATTATTGAATTTTGACAAAAGGTGATATCTGGAAGATTTATAAGTGTTTAATTTAAGAAAACATTTAGGGCCAGGCGTGGCGGCTCACAACTGTAATACCAACATTTTGGGAGGCCAAGGTGGGTGGATCATGAGGTCAGGAGTTTGAGACCAGCCTGGTCAATATGGTGAAACCCCATCTCTACTAATAATACAAAAACTAGCCAGGCGTGGTGGTGTGTGCCTGTAGTTCCAGCTACTCAGGAGGCTGAGGCAGGAGAATCACTTGAACCCGGGAGGCAGAGGTTGCAGTGGGCCAAGATCACGCCACTGCACTCCAGCTTGGGTGACAGAAGGAGACTCCATCTCAAAAGAAAAAAAAAAAAAGGAAACATTTAGTATGCTTGTTCTGTTTTCCTACACAAAGAGTATAACAGCAATATATTCCACAAGAGTAAAACAAAGTAAGTAAAGTTATATTCTAAATAAACTAAATTAGAAGGCTTTTCATGAATTGGGCAACCGTTGGAGCTAAGCTGGTATGGGGTCAGTTGGTTGTAATGTGCCCAGAATTAGAATACTGATCCAGATTTTCACATTACCCGTCCTCTTGTTTTTTTCTGAGCAACAGTCAGAGATTACTGGTTGGTTCATAGGAATAAGCAGGGTTAGCCTAAATTGCAGAAACAGAGACAACTAATGAGACTAGAATTTAAGTGTACCATAGTTCTTGAAACATAATATTTCTCTCTCCAGTATTCCATTTTTACTAAAGACAAATCATGATGAGACTGATTTACTTTATTATACATGGCCTGATTATTTGTATAAAGTGCAGCAAGAATAATTATTTTTCACATAGGTTTTTTTAATTGGCTTTGATAGAACTCTGTTTTATAAGGAATCTCAGATAAGACTTTTTAAAAACTGAGTCCAGCCATGGGTTTGTACCCTCTAATACCTATGAGTTGGGTAAGTTTCTTTCCTCTTGCAGTCCCGAGATAACTTACTTCTACTTCTACTGGACTTGATAGAAAGTGACATTCTTTAGTTACCACAAGTCAGAAACCCTGTACAGGGACTGTGTAGGCAAGGTATGAGGCCAGTTCCCCAAAGGGCTTTTATTGGCTCTACAAGTTCATTTTAATTCCTTAAAGGAAAACACACCATTCCAATGAAAGCCTTGGTAAAATTATAAATTTCTGCAATTGTGCCCTTTTACAAAAGAAAACAGATTCTTATTGTACTTATGCAAATTACTATATTGCCATAAGTTAGGAATACTTGCAACTAGTTTCCAAATTCTGGAGAAATCAGGTAGAGAGAAACAAATATGTTCCAAATTTTGTTCACAGTAGTATATTTTACTCAATTGCTAACAGCTGTAAATAGAAAAACTCAAAAGAAAAGTTTCCTTGACTCTGAAAAACAAAACAAAGGATCAGCAGCATTTTAAGCAAAGTTAAAAAGATTAGTTCAGTTTTCTATTGGTTCAGTTAATTTAGTTAACACCTGTTCTATTTTATATTCATGAACATTCCAGCTCTTCATGAGAGTTCTAAAAGTTGTTTTCTCTATTCTGATGTTATAATCTCCAAAGTTATCAGAAAAACCTGCATTTAAGAACACCTGTTAGAGTTCTATAATTGATTATAAACCACCTTCTAAAGAGGATTAAAACAAAGTAATAATTGTCTGTGGCTGACAAAATGTTTTAGGGCAGCCACAATCAAAGAAACAATTGACAAGGAAATTTGTTACCTCTGTGGCATACAATGATTTTATGCAACAATTATAATTGTTACTGATAATGTACACTAAGTCATATCAGAATTATAGGAGTTTCCCATAATTTTGGAATATATACCAATAACACATTTATGAAAATACAGCCCAAAGAAAACCAAACACCATTTTATATTTCAGAATACTTCCTGTATGACTTTCTTACCAAATAAGCCAAATGTCACTGTTGCATTAGTGCATTATTTATGTCAAACCCAATTCTTAATAAAACCTTATAAATAAATCCATCCAATCTTAGTCAGTTTGACCATAAAGTAAGATTCTCATAAGCCTTTTATAACCCTTTACAAGTTTTTGTTAAAGAGCAGAAGCATGGTTTTGCTCTAAGAAAAACCTGTTGTGCTTTTATTCCAATGTTTAATTTATAGAAAAACTGAATAATATCCCTTAATTTAGCCAATGTCCACATACAGACTCTCTTTTATATATATATATATTTTTACAAACCTTCCACATTTGTTTAAACCTTTAGCTTTATTCTATCCAACTTAAAACAATTCTTTAACCCTTTAGGCAAAAAAAAACTACATTCTCATGCCTTTTTATAATCTTTTACCAAAAATATATTTTACTTTCCTTACACACCTTACATGTAAAAGTGTTTCTTCAATAGTCTCAATTACATGTTACAACATTAACTTTTAGTGACTTTTACTTTTGGTGGAAGCCCTGGTTAGTAAGCAATTTGAATTGTGTACTAGGTGTGGAGCCTAGCCCAGGACACACCAGGCAGAAGTGCAGATAAGGGCTGACTCTCCAGCATAGCTAGGGGTGTGGCTAACTCCACATGTTCCCATGCCTTACCTAGCAGTAACGCAGGCAAGTTGTACAGTAGGAGTCATAGTGGCATTTTATGAAGCATTTAGGAGGCCTAACAACCTTTGAATTGTACGACATTTCTTGCATAAATTCCCTTTCACAAATCTTTTCACAACTTACACAGACCATCTGAGACATTCTTGGACTTTCTGATTTGTCCTAAACATCCTTCCTTTTAAACAACCAGTCATTTTACTTTAGGACAAGAGTTTACCATACAAGATCCTTTTTTATATAAAATCTCTTTTTAAATAATCTTCTTTGTATAGGTAGGGTACATGGCTAATTTCACATGTCCCCAAGCCTTATCTAGAATCTAATGGCTTTAAGGTAGGTAAATTGAACAATTTTTAAAAGTCAAAGAAGCAATTTATGACCTTAAAGCATTTAGCAAACTTAATATCTGATCTGCATAATTTAGACTGAACGTTTTTATCAAAATTTTAAAGCTGTTTTTATTTCCCCAAAATTATTAAAGTTACACGAACTAAAAGGCATTACAGTTTTTATTTTGCTTTCAAAATATTTGATTTGTGTTTATTTTTGTTTAAGCCAATTAATGAGTTCTTTTATATAAACATTACACACAACACATATATAGCTACACAGAAAGACAGAAGATTACTACAGTAGTAGTAAAATTTTTCATTTGCCAATTTTTAAGTTTTGTAATTGGATTACTGGCTTTAGGGTGGAGCCCTTGGAAGAAAAGGGCCAGGAAAGAGGTCTCTGGTGCCTCCTATTTTTCCCAAGGAGTCCAGGCTGTTAGAGCTTGAACTGATTCTAACCATAGCACTCTTTAATAAAGTCCTTTTAGAATTTCTTATGCCAAACGGCCGATATTTCTGGCTTTTGAACTTTACCAAAGGTAACCTCCCGGGTGATTAGAGAAAGGAAAATTTAAGACAGTCCATGGAGGAGAATAGAACAGACAAAATCATGCAGATATTAAACCAGAAACAACTCACTTCCTAGGTGGGGAATTGAACCTGGACTGCAACTGTGAAAGTGCAAAAACCTTTGTTACTGAGCTACAGCACAGGGCAGTCTCCATTTTCTTTCCCAGAAGGAGTTTAGAGTAGTTGATTTCGAGCTCGCAAAGGCTTTTAACTATTTAATATGATTTTTAGAGCTAACTATGACATGAACCCTAAAATTCCTGTTCCCTGAAGGCGGAGACCAAAAGAATGTACCGCCACGTGGTTAAAAGGTCAAGCTCCCAAGGACATAAAACAAGGTGGAGACTTCATCCAGTTTTTTTGGTTTGTTTGTTTTAGGGACCTGCAGCCAAGTTTGCTACTGACCAGCCTGCTGGGTCTTCTTGAAAAGCAGGCTTACAGGTGTTCTAAGCCCATGTTTTATCCTGAAGTACCCCTCAAAACAGAAAAACAAATTTATACTACAAAATACATCAGCTTAAGACTAGCCCTAGAATTCTTTTTCACATTAATCAAAACTTTACAGAGGAAATAAACACCGTTTTTGTTTGTTTGTTTTTTACCATTCATTTAACCATTTGCACAGAGAGAGAGAAGCCAGAAAGCTGACTGGTAAGAAATTCTTACCCTTTTGCTGGCATGCCAGGCTTCTGGCTTCCCTTTCCTTGAGCGGCCCTAGTGATCTGGCTTGTGGCACCATTGCCCTGGGGACCAAGCCGCATCATAAAGGAAAATTATTTTTTTCATTCTGACCAGAGCAAAATACATGTGATAAAACATAGACATTAGCCACTCTGCTTAGCACCCAATATCAAACTGGCAAGGCTTAAATTTGCCCCCAGATGTGCCCTGTCATCTTTAATCCAACCTCTGACTTAGAGTTTCAACATGTGGTCTCTGGACAAGATGGCTGCCATGAATAACGAAAAGATAGGAAAAGAAAAGTAGAGCCAGGAGCAGTGGCTCACACCTGTAATCCTAGCACTTTGGGAGGCCAAGGCGGATGGATCACCTGAGGTCAGGAGTTTGAGACCAGCCTGGTTAACATGGTGAAAACCTGTCTCTACTAAAAATACAAAAATTAGCTGGGCATGGTGGTGGGTGCCTGTAATCCCAGCTACTAGGGAGGCTGAGGCAGGAGAACCACTTAAACCCGGGAGGTGGAGGTTGCAGTGAGCCGAGATCACACCACTTCACTCCAACCTGAGCGAAACAGTGAAACTCCATCTCAAAAAAAAAAAAAAGAAAAAAGTAGAGAAGGAAAGTATGCCTGTGGCAGGGTGGGGAAGGTGAAGAGCTTAGGGAGGCCAGAGAAACCCACTTATTCCATCCGACAATGAAAAAGTTCGGGTGGCCGCTTGTCGGTAGCAAACAAGTCTCTTCCAGCAGTCCCATTAGCTCTCAAGTTTCCCCTTTTAGGGATGGAAAAGTTCCCCATGTCCCATGATCCTGTACATGCCTAATCCTGTCACCCACAGCTGTCAGCAAAGAGTGCAAGGCAAATTAATACAACGAGAATAGCAGTTAACATTCCATAGTACCAAACCTGTTCTTAGGGACTTTACTGAGAGGGGCCTCTAACCAACCCCCTAAATCTTAGAAGGGACTCTAACCGTCCTAAGTTGGGCCTGTAACCCAAGGTTGGTCAAACGTCCTTGCCTTTTATTAAGAGAGGCCTTTAACCCACTCAGTCTTAGGAGAGATTCTAACTCCCCTAAGGTGGGCCTCTAACTCAATTCCATTCTTTACCTGGGTACCCCACCACTTACCCCAAGTCATCCAATCAGTGCTGCCGTCTATTTTCCTTGGGTTTTGGGGGGGTCTCCTCGGTATTGTCCCTTTTGTGGTTACATCCAGAAAGATGTTACTGGACCCCACCACTTACCCAAAGTTAGCCTTTGGGTTGGGGGTTTCTGCAGTACAGTCACTTCCCTTGTCATCAGAAAGATGTTACAGGACCCCACTACTTACGCAAAGGTAGCTGTTGGGTCAGGGTTTCTGCACGATAGTCCCTTTGTGGTCGCCAGAAATACGTTACAGGAAAGGGGTGCAGATCCAGACCCCAAGAGAGGGTTCTTGGATCTTGTGCAAGAAAGAATTCAAGGCCAGTTCACAGTGCAAAGTGAAAGCGAGTTTATTAAGAAAGTAAAGAAATAAAAGAATGGTTACTCCATAGACACAGCAGCCCCGAGGGCTGCTGGTTGCCCATTTTATGGTTAGTTCTTGATGATACGCTAAACAGGAGGCAGATTCCCTTTTTAGACCATATAGGGTAACTTCCTGATGTTGCCATGGCATTTGTAAACTGTCATGGCACTGGTGGGAGTGTAGCAGTGAGGACGACCAGAGGTCACTCTCGTGGTCATTTTGCTTTTGGTGGGTTTTGGCTGGCCTACTGCAACCTGTTTCATCAGCAAGGTCTTTATGACCTGTATTTTGTGCTAACCTCCTATCTTATCCTGTGACTCAGGAGGCCTTAACTGTTGGGGAACACAGCCCAGTAGGTTTCAGTCTCATTTTACCCTGCCGAGACCAGCTCGGTCAGGGAGACCCTAACCCAGCAGCGCTAGAGGAATTAAAGACACACACACAGAAATATAGAGGTGTGGAGTGGGAAATCAGGGGTCTCACCGCCTTCAGAGCTGAGAGCCTCGAACAGAGATTTACCCACATATTTATTAACAGCAGGCCGGTGATAAGCATTGTTTCTATAGATTATAGATTAACTAAAAGTACTCCTTATGGGAAACAAAGGGATGGGCCGAAATAAAGGGATGGGTTTGGCTAGTTATCTGCAGCAGGAGCATGTCCTTAAGGCAAAGATCGCTCATGCTATTGTTTGTAGTTTAAGAACGCCTTTAAGAGGTTTCCACCCTGGGTGGGCCAGGTGTTCCTTGCCCTCATTCCAGTAAACCCACAACCTTCCAGCGTGGGCGTCATGGCCATCATGAACATGTCACAGTGCTGCAGAGATATTGTTTATGGCCAGTTTTAGGGCCAGTTAATGGCCAGATTTTGGGGGGCCTGTTCTCAACATTACCCAGCTCCTATTTAAGATGGAGTTGCTCTGGTTCACACACCTCGGACAGAGGTAAGAATAGAAGGGAATACAAGAGAAGAAATCAAGTTCAAACTATTAAGAAACTTCTATACCTAGCTTAATAAGGCAGTATTTCTCAGCATGGTCCTTGGAGCATCTGTGTGTCAACAAATATGAGGTGTTTCTGAACATTACAGAAACCTGACCACAGTGGCATAACCACATAGGGGTTCATCTTTCCAGTTTAATAGGATGTCTGGAAATAGGCAGACAGGAGTGGTGCAGCTGCTTCAGGATGTTATTATGGACCCAGGGTTCCTGTAGCCTACTTCTTCTTCATCCTTGGCTTGTGATATTTATCCTCATGGTGGCAAAACAACACCTGTTAACACCAGGCCTCCCGATTGTTTTTCAGGAGTAGGGCTAAGAGCTTTCCCCTAATGAGGCTTTGCCTTTTCAGTTAGGAAGGGACCTGACCCTAGGCCAGAACTGTCACATGGCCACACCTATTTCAAAATTCACCTTGAGATGAAATGGCACCTCACCTTGTTACCCTAATGCAATCTTGGTGTTCTTAGTAAGGCTTAAGAGGGAAATGGGTATTGGTGGAACAACAGCAGTATTTGTTGTATTCTGTCACAGGTCACCTGGGTTGTCAAAAGTGAATTTGTGAGCTGTGTGTGGTGGTATGTGCCTGTAATCCCAGCTGCTCAGGAGGCTGAGGCAGAAGAATCCCTTAAGCTCAGGAGTTGGAGGCTAGCCTGGACAACATAGTGAGACCCTGTGTCTAAAATATTGTTTTAAAGTTAAATAAAATGGATTTATAGCCACCTATGGAATCAATCCCTGAGGGTAGGCCTTTGGGCTCTGCATTTTAATGTGCTCCTCAGGTGGTTTAGTGCAGATTGAAGCCTGAGTTCCATAAGTATAGGTGATAGAGTAGTAGAAGAAAACATACGTCTGTTTGTTTAGGAGGCAGTACATCACCATATATTTGAGACAACTAGAGGATAATACTTCATCCCATGCATATGTTAGGATACTGTGGGCTGCAAGTACCAGAAAACCCAACTCAGACTTAAATACTAAAGAAATTTTTATGTAATGCAAGTTAAAAGGCAGGACATATTTGTGATTGGTAGACTCAGTGAAGGTCATCAAATATCAGTTTTTCTTTCTCTCCACTCTGCTGTTTACCTTTTCAGCCTCATTCTATGGCTGATTCACTACTCCTAGGTTGTAAGACAGCTACCAGCAGCAATTAGTGCTTCATGTTTTCTTGTTTATATCCAGTGGGAGACAAACAAATGCTTACAATTGCTCTCCAGAGTGAGAAAGAATTCTAGAAACCTCCAACAATCCTCCATTTGTGTCTCATCAGCAAGAAGTGAACTACATGGCCATTTCTGAATGACAAGAGGGTAGCGATGGCCTTTTAACCAGTTAACGCTATGCCCATTTAGCTAGAATCAAAGTTGTCAGCATTTCCTCAATTTGCATTGTTTCAAAGAGGAAGGCTCAAATGGATGTGAGGGAGTATATCCCTATGCCAGTTCACTGCACCCAGTAATTGGCATCCTGACTTGGCCATTTAGGCACAGCCATTCTGGCTTCTCATCCCTTTGCTGAGCTTCTCACTGCAGATCCCTATCTTTTGGTTGGAGGTTGGGGGTAAGATCAGACTTTTGACAAGACCACAACAAAGGAATCACAGGTCTATCACTTTGGTCACCTTAGAAGACTAGCCAAAGCATTTCCTAACTCTTTGAGGTCGCATAGACTGCCTCTGAAGTTGTATTTCTTTCATAGCTGCAGTAGCCACACATTAATTCACTTGCTATAAATAAATCATTGGATGCATAATGAAATTTATTCTTTTCTATGAAAATTGAGGGCAGCAATTCTCATAAGGGGACTCTACTCTCCCTGCCTAATAGTGTTACAGTCATGCGTCACGTAACAGTGCTTCAGACAAATGATGGACCACATTTATGACAGTGGTCCCATAAGGCTTTAACGGAGCATTTATAGAAACCTAATATATTGCATTTGATGTTGGCATTGCAGATCAAGCAGGGAAATGACTGATATTCAGTAATGATGCTGGGACATTTGGTTTTCAATATGATAAAATATATAGAAAATAAAAATATATACCATCTAGGTTTGTATAAGTACACTCTATGTAATGTTCACACAACAAAGAAATTGGCTAATGGTGCTTTTCTTAGAATATATCCCGGTCATTAAGCAATGCATGACTGTGTTTAAAAATGTACTTAAGGATCACTTCTACCCTGGAAATGCATATTCATTAGGTAATATTTTATGTTTGGAAAAGAATACTTGCACAAGGTCTCATGGCTTCATGGCTGCTTAGTGACAGAACCAGAATTCAATTTGAGGGTACATGACCCATTTTCTTTGAGCTCTCTTTCAGCATTTTTATACTGACATCATCTATACTGGTAGAATAGTATATATAGCCAAGCACACACCAAGGCTGAATAAGAGGTAAGAGGGACAATAGATAGGTTTGAGGTTGGAGAAAACGTCGACGAATCCCATTTAGAATTTGCAAATTAAACAGCAAATATTCCATCCATCTGTAAACAAGATTCCAATCTGAGTAACTCATGTTGGAGATTTAAACTCTGAACTAGCACCATAAAAAAGGTGAAGCCAGACTCTCCATGAGAGAGGCAAGAACAAAAGAGGCAAATATCCAAGTGAAGAGAAGAGAGCAGTAAGGACCCTGATAGGGAAACAACAGGAGCCGGGGATAGTCAGATTTGCTGTAAGAGGACAGAGAGCATTTATTTATTTAAGAGACTGGGTCTATGTTGCCCAGGTTAGACTTGAACTCCTGTGCTCCAGCAATCCTTCTGCTCTCAGCCTCCCAAGTAGCTGGAACTACAGGCGCATGCCACCATGCTCAGCAGTATTAGCTCAGGGCAAAATATACTGAAATGGGGAGGAATGAGAGCAGGAAGCTAGCTAGCCCTTTTGTCTCTTTCAAACCAGCATTCCCCAGAATTGGAATTTCTACCTACGTTCTTGACCTTCTTAGTGTTACTCAAATTCTACATGTGGAGTAATCAAGGAAACTAAAGGCTTAATGACCTGTCTCTCATGTGGCATTAGGGCTTGTTTTACATTATTCTACTCAATAAAAATATAGAGGTTTTGACCGGGCGCATTGGCTCATGCCTGTAATCCCAGCACTTTGGGAGGCTGAGGCGGATGGATCACGAGGTCAAGAGTTTGAGACCAGCCTGGCCAATATGGTGAAATCCCGTCTCCACTAAAAACACGAAAATTAGCTGGGTGTGGTGGTACGTGCCTGTGGTCCCAGCTGCTCGGGAGGCTGAGGCAGGAGAATTGCGTGAACCCAGGAGGCAGAGGTTGCAGTGAGCCGAGATTGTGTCACTGCACTCCAGCCTGGACAGGGTGAGACTGTCTCAAAAAAAAAAAAAAAAAAAAAAAAAAGGTTTCATACAAAGGACTTATACCAGGTGCTATGGACTGAATGTGTCTCCTCAACATTCTTATGTTAAAGCCTAATCCCCAGTGTGATAGTATTTGGATGAAGGGCCTTTGGGAGGTAATTATTAGGTCATGAGGGTGGAGCCTTCGTGAATGGGATTAGTGACCTTATGAGACGTTGAGCGATGATCCCTCTCTTGGTCATGTGAGGATACAACAAGAAGGCAGCAAACTACAACCCAGGAAGCAGGTCCTCGCCAGACAGGATTTACCAGTGCTTTGATCTTGGACTTCCAGTCTCCAGAAATGTGAGAAATGTTTGTTGTTTAAGCCACCCAGTCTGTAGTATTTTTGCTATAGCAGCCCAAGCAGACTAAGACATCGTAAATGGGACACCCTTTTCTAAACCTGGCACTTATTAGTAGAGTATAATCAAAGTCTGAGAGAGTATTAGTTCAGAGCAGCAAAAAGCACAGATGTACCATTATCTTTGAGGTTCACATTCCTACACCCAGCAATCCCATTAAGGAATTAGGTTAAGAGAGCTCTTTATACCAGGGATCATAACATCATGGGACTGTAGGATCCAAACAAGTAACATGAAGGAGCAAAGTGGACCAAGATATGTGGTGACATCACACGTTCTTCAGCTGTTCCTCCATTTTCATTATATAAAATCTTATGTATCTGTCTTTGGAAGAAATTACTCATGCCAATCCTAGGAAGAAGGAAGCCTCTGCCCTTTAGGACATAAATCTGATACTTCAAAATATGACAACAGAATTCTCTGACCCAGTTTTAACAAAGGATTTTATTTTGTTCCCTAAAAAGTAAAATCTAGAAAATAGCAACCCACTGCAAGAAGAGTTCTATACTAAAACATTTTCAATCATTCTCTCTTCTCTTCACATGGTGTACTCTTTCATGTACACATCATCGGAAAACAGACTGATAAATGCAAACCCTGTGTGAAAGGCACATGGCACTAATATTGCTCACACCTGCTACACCTCCTTGGGAGCCAAGGGAAGCCTTTTCTGCAATCTCCCCATTTTGATAGAAACTTATCACAAATTTTTTTATAGCAAAATATTTAAAGGTCTCTTTCCCTGCTCTTCACTTATCTACTAGGAAGGTATAGAATTAAAAAGCTTTTTTTCCCCCAGCTGTGATCAAGATGTATTAAAAGAATATGAAAGAGCATCTGGGTTATTCTAGAAGTTCTGTGATCAAAACATATTAAAAAAAATTAAAGCGCATCTGGGTTATTCTAGAAGTTCCTGGGCTTTATACTTGGATATTTACAGAGGAAGTTGAACTTCAAGTTCTGCCACTCTTCAAAATGGGTGACAGGAGAGGACGTGATAGGACAGTTAAAAAAAAATTGATAGTCATTCTCTGATGGAGTGAAGCAAGCTTTGTCAACCATCAACAAATATGACTTCATTGGTCACAAGCCCTGCAGAGATCCAACAAGATTTGAGTTTTAAATACAGAACATATTTCAAACAGAACCAGCAGAGTGCTGATGTATGAATGGAATTGATTGCTGAAGGCAGAGAGTATAAAGAATCTCAAGAAACTTTTAGTGCCATTTTCATTTAATAAGCCATTGGTATAGCAACCTAAAAACCTTGGCTGTGATGACACCAGGATGTGTTTATGGAATTGCTGCAGGAAAACACAATTGGCAGCTGACATCCTCTGGCTCACAGCACCAGCTTCTCCAAGAGACTTAAGGCTGGGGTGTGTAGCGGAGGTATTTCTTGCCAGATGGGAGCTCTTTGGTGAAGACTCCTTTCGGGAAAAGTTTTTTGGCTTCTTCTTCAGGGATGGTTGGAAGGACCATCACACTATCCCCATCCTATTGAAAGACATTGAGAATGGTGAAATTCAATCTCATAGTGAAGCTTCAAGGCCTTCAGGAATTAACTTTAGAAAAGTAGCTACAGGTGCTAATGAGACTAATCAAGTGTTCTTT